>NT_187651.1:441807-793112 GCF_000001405.40 Homo sapiens
GAATTCTGCTCACATGAACTATACAATTTTTTTTTTTTTTTTTTTTTTTTTAGATGGAGTCTCGCTCTGTCACCCAGGCTGAAGTGCAGTGGCATGATCTTGGCTCACTGTAACCTCCACCTCCTGGGTTCAAGCAAATCTCCTGCCTCAGCCTCCAGAGTAGCTGGGATTACAGGCGTCCACCACCACGCCTGGCTAATTTTTGTATTTCAGTAGAGATGGAGTTTCACCTTGTTGGCCAGGCTGGTCTCCAACTCCTGACCTCAAGTGATCCGCCCACCTCTGCCTCCCAAAGTGCTGGGATTACAGGCGTGAGCCACTGCACCCAACCTACAAGCTCCTTAAATTGTATTTTTATTATGAAGACCCTCAAGTTTCACAGCCACTTGAGGTTTGATCATATCCTTTGTTTTATCTATAAATTTGCTCAAAGAGACTTCCCTCTCCATCTGTTTGTGATAGTTTTGTTGGGAACTCATTTCCATAGAACTTTATCTGAGGGAATATTTGAGGACTGGGCTTAGGGTACATTCCTCAGCATAGGATTTGGGTTTGCATGTCCCAGATATCTGGGATTGCTCCTGACCTGAGACCATTTTAAAACCACATTTGGGACTTTAAGGTCTTCTGGGACCCTTCCCCGGTGTGAAGGAGAGCCCATGGAGAAGAATTCTGCCAGGAGTCTTCTCTTTCCCTTCTCTACACAGAACAGTCTCTGAGACAGTCATGGTTATCTTCCATCCTCTTCTATGGGGTAGAACTTGCTTAATTTTTTGAATGTTTTAGTCTCATTTAGGGGTGCTAATCTAAGCTCTACCTGGACTGTGTGGCCATAGTCCTTGTTTACTGTCTCACACTTGGGTGTGGCCTATTAAATCTCAAACTCTGCATCGATGGGACCCCAGTGGTGTACTTCTAATGCCATCAAGAGAACATGATGCAAGAAGCTGAGGTGACTAATATTCCCTGTTCTTACACTCTGGATCTACCACCACTAAGGCCATGTTCTTTCAGGCTTCCCAGCTAATGAATAAGCGAAACAGAATTAATAATGCCAGCTCATCCTTGTAGGATGTGCACTCCTCTGACTTTGGCTACAGGACTCACCATCTCTCTGGCCAACATTACTGTTTTCAGAGCTGCCCTATTATATGAGGGCCTTCCTGCACGCCCTACTTCCATTCACAAATTTCAGCCTTGCATCAAAATCCAAAGGCTCTGCCTGTCTTCTCTGGCACCTTCCCATTGATCCTTCACAGAAATTTCCCCCCCAAATTTCTCCAACATATAATTATAACTTGGTGATTAGAACTGACGAGTAAGTAGCAAACACTAATCTAGGACAAGCATACTTTTCAAAAGGAATGTTACTTGTTGATTGTAACTTTTAAGAATTTACTTTACATTAACATCAACTCAACTGTGCAGTAAAAATAAATAAATCATTAATTTTAACATTTTTATTTTTAACGTTATGTGTTCTAGAAGAAAGTTTGTAGTTGGCCCGGCGCGGTGATTCATGCCTGTAATCCCTGCACTTCGGGAGGCCGAGGCAGGTGGATCACTTGAGGCCAAGAGTTCCAGACCAGCCTGGCCAGCATGGCAAAACCTCATCTTTACTAAAAATGCAAAAATTAGCTGAGCGTGGTGGCGGTTGCCTGTAATTCCAGCCATTTGGGAGGCTGAGGCAGGAGAATTGCTTGAACCTGGGAGGCAGAGGTTGCAGTGAGCCAAGAAACTGTCTCAAAAAAAAAGAAAAAAAAAAAGAAAAAAGAGAAAGAAGGAAAGAAAGAAAGAAAGAAAAGTTCTAGTTTCTCACTTTACGAGAAATGGGTCAGCACTGTCTTTTCCATATCAACATAAAACAATTGTGTGGGCTCTTTGACTAAAAATATAAAATGTACCTGAGAAATGTATATACTAAGTTATTTTTAATCTTGATGAACTATTGCTTTACCAACATATTGGAAGCTGTGTTAGTAGTGGCCTAATTTTCCAGAATTTTGATGATGCATATATGTGAGTATATCTTAAGCTAATGAAACTAATTAATGGATTGTAAAATTTTCTCTTTTGCTTCTCCCTTTTCCATGCCAGTTTTCACATAAATAGGACAATATCTTCTTACTTTTCCTGTCATCATGAGAATGCTGGACTAAGAATTTATGGGCATTAACCCCCCCATCTATTTAACCACCTATATTACATGTGTCCCTGATGTAACCTGAGCAAACTTAGCAAGTCTTTTATTCTGGGTGAATGCCCCGCTTCACCCAAATCATGAATGCTCTTTGCTTCATGGAACTCTATTGCTTTTGTTCCCAGAACCAATTATATCTTAGCTAATCTCTTGCCCCTTTAATTATCCTTGATAGTTTTCCAAATAAAATATGCAATCTGTGAACACTTTATTAGTCCCACTCTCTGGTTTATCCATTCATGGGTAAGGATACAGAATTGTCTGAATCCAGCTTATTATAAATTCATTATTCTCAATTGTGCCCAATGACAAAATTTTCCTTGCCCTGGGTCAACAATATTCTCAGTCATCTCTACTATTTAACTGTAAATCTCAAACTATGTGCTGTTTAGAATTATATGTGCCTATCCCATTCTGCCGGACGTACGTGTTCTTTTCTCCATGAGATTTACATCCTGTAATGCTCTGATTCAGAATTTTGGGGCCCAATCCCTATTCATTTGTGTCTTAACAGTCTTTGAAGGGATGTTTGACTTCAAGGATTCCTTGAAGTTTCCCTCTGAGCAAAGGTGAGATGCCTTTTGATTCATGCTTGCGTCATTACTAGCCCAGGTTTAGCTGACTTTTTTAGTGTAGGATTTGCAATTAACACACAATAAAGGCTCTCTGAACTTTAGTCTCTTTTCGAGGGAAATAACCATAAACATACTGCCACTCAGTACAGATGGAGAGGTTAGTGAAAATAAGCAGCATTTATGAAGGCATGCCAGAAGGACTATGGGCCAGCCATTTTCTCTGGATACTGGAAATTCTTCCTGTAATGAAGCCAGACCTGCATAGAGTATTAATACTCAACCACACAAAATTCAGATCTTACAGAAGTGCTTTTACAAAATATTCTTACAAAGACTCAGAGGGGGAAATTACAAGAAAATATTCTGTGAAACATCAGATTATTTACTTAAAGTTATTGTTGATGGCCATTATTTTCAGTACTCTTAGAAAAAGGATAATGAGAGATTTTTTTATTATGCAGCTAAAAGGAATAGTTTTGCCTTTTATTGAACAAAACAATTGTGTGTATGTTCATTTAACTTCTGGAAGATCTGAATCATGTAATTGTATCTGTTTTTTTCTATTTGTGGATAGACAGAACACTTAGAGCCACATGTGGAATACATTGCTAGAAACTAATTCTTCTTGGCATGGACTTTGTATACTAACTTAGTCCCTGGTTTCAAAGAATTTTTATTTTTCTTTCATTTTGATGTCCTCATCTAATTAATTTTATTGTATTTCATTCTGTTGGGTTATATGCAATTATAAGGCACAAAGTCTTACTGAAAAAAGAACATGAAATAAGCAAATATGCAAAAAAGATTAATATTCTATGAACAGTTCATATCTCATGCTTATACATAACTATCAAAGCACACACAATACTTGACATTTTATACATGTTCAGCAAACATTTATTTACCAAATGAAGAAAACTAGGGATTGGAAAACAAAGCTGTTTCTTCAATATTTTTTATTTATTAAAAAATACTACTAGAGTTTGTAATCCTGGCTGACTTTTATCTCAAAAGAGTCAACTCTGTATTATTGAAGTGCAGATTAATGGTTTAAATATTAATTGCATCCAAAATTTACATATTCTTATATAATTAAAATATACACTATATTTTTGAAAAGTTTAATTATTAACGATCAGTTTAACAACTAGAGATATAAGAATATATATGCTATTGGAATTTGTGATTAGCAAATTCCACTTGGAGTCTGCAACGTACAATGACATGCAAATTCCATTTTCCATTGTTTGTATTGTATTTTTAAACATCAAAAGAAAAAATGTTTTTAACTTTAACTCTAATATAATGTTGTCAAATAAGTGAAAGAGTTGTTAGACTTTAAAAAAACACATTACAATAGTGAGAAGCAGAATAAGTTATTTGTGATATGAAAGAGAAAAATGATGAGTTAATATAATTTTAATTCCAGTTGAGTTAAGAAAATGAAAAAGTGCATCATTGTCTCTTCTACTTGCAAATGATATTTCTTCTATTTTTAAGAGAGTAAAATTTGTCTTTCAGTTGACAGTGAGTTACAGGTGAAAAGCTTTTACTCTGATGTTTTACAGAACTGCTAAAATGTCCATGTGTTATTCTATAGAGAATTGTAATAGAGTTTAGTAGTATAAAAGTGTGAAAGATGTTTTTTACCTTAATATATGATATTTACTTGGTTGAGTTATATAACATTCAAAAATAGAGAATTTGGAGCCTGAAAACCTTGATTTCAGTTTAGCCTCCACTACTTACTGGATTTGTGACCTTAAGCAAGTTATTTCATTTTTCTCAAACTGGGTTTCCTCTTAGATGAAAATAACAATATCTACCTTCCTTTCATGTGATTTATTGAGACCAAATTGGAGTAATAGATAGTATAACTAGAACTTGGTTTTAAGTTATTTAAACATTATTTACTAGGTAAAACTTGTGCCTGTATAAAAATGAGAAACTTTATCTCTGAATGCAGATGCCATGTTTTCATTATTTGATAGAGATAAATAAACATGGAAATTGTATTACAATTTATACCAAACTGCAAGGGGCCAGGTGAGTCAACCAAATTATACGGACATGTCAAAACATGCTGTTTTACTTTGTTTTCATACTGCTATAAAGAACTGCCAGAGACTGTGTAATTCATAAACGAAAGAGGTTTAACTGAATTACAATTAAGCATGGCTGGGGAGGCCTCAGGAAACTTAGGAAATCATAGCAGAAGTTGAAAGGGAAGCAAGGAAACTTCTTCACAAGGTGGCAGGAAGAAGTGCCGAGCAAAGCGGGGAAGAACTCCTTATAAAACCATCAGATAACCTGAGAACTCACTCACTATCACAAGAACAGCAAGGGGCAAACCACCCCCATGATTCAATTACCTCCACCAGGTCTCTCCCTTGCTAGGTGGGGATTACGGAGATAATAATTCAAGATGAGATTTGGGTGGGGACACAAAGCCTAACTATATCACATTGAGTGAATGCATGCATATTCTTAAATGCAAAAATTGTAAATACATATATAAATAGATAAATAGATGTTTAGTGGAATGTAGATTTCTCTAAATATCTATGCAATTTTCATGAATATGAGGTGCAGGAACAATAACATTAAGAGTATCTAATATTATCTCAGCTCATACTGGCTGTGGTGTAGAATTCATAAGAGGAAGGCAGATTAAGTTCCCATTTCTTAGCTATTCTTAATATAAAGCAGTTTTAAAAACCCTGGTTATAGGATCCTATGAGACAAGCCTTAAAGGTATCTGATTGATTTAGATATAAATGACATATGGTTTTTTTTCTTATTATCAAGATGTTTTTGTAAATCTCATCTTTTTAAAGTGTCTCTTAATACACTTCTCTTTTTAACATTGGCTTCTAGAAAAAAATAATGAAGTAAGAAAAGAAAAGGGATTCTACATCTTGAGTGAGAAATTGCCTTATAAAAATGAACAAATAGAGGCTGGATGCAGTGGCTCACACCTGTAGTCCCAGCACTTTGGGAGGCTGAGGCAGGCAGATCACTTTAGGTCAGGAGTTCAAACCCAGCCTGGCCCACATGGTGAAAACCCATCTCTACTAAAAATGCAAAAATTAGCCAAGTGTGGTGGCACGCACCTGTAATTTCAGCTACTTGGGAGGCTGAAGAAGAAGAATTGCTTGAACCCAGGAGGCGGATGCTGCAGTGCACTGAGATCACGCCACTGCACTCCATCCAGCCTGGGTGACAGAGCAAGACTCCTCCGTCTCAAAAAGCAACAACAATAACAACAAAAACAAATAGAATAAGTGAAGAGATTTGATCTTATAATTGGTTGGAATATCCCATAACACTGCACTGTTTATGTTTGCACAATAATGAAAGTTCATTGAGTACATGTTCACTGACATATATGGATCCTCAGAAATATATATCTTAAACATATATATAAGTATATATAAATGTATACTCATACGCATAACTCAGATGTATGCAAAGACTTCATATATCTAGAATGTATATTGTGTATATTCTATATAATATGTAATGGAGGTTGATAGACATAACCTTTTCTTGATGGTGTAGGTTAGAAATAACTGGTTCATTTAGGGTAGGGCAGATTTCACTTGCACTGATATGGACAAATCAGTGTTAATGACAGAATGCAATAGAGTCATCCTGCTATGTAAACAGAAGCATAGATAACAAATAATACAAAATATGATAAAAGTTTACCTCATTCATAACATCATTTATCTGACCCTTTCCCGCAATTTATCTGGCCTATCTGCCACCATTTAATTAAAAAAATTACAGTGATTATATCATGACTGCTTTCAAATCTCACTGTACAACTCTAAAAACATACACTTATTTGATAGCCTTGAATTTCAGCAGAAAAGATAATACTTATAAGAGGTATAGACTTTAAAATATATCATATTTGTGCAGAATATTTTAAGTTATAAATATGTATGCATAAGGCCTAGTTGATGTAACATTAGTATAGATGCTACAAATGCAAGTTCATTAAAGAATATTAAGATATTCTTCCCTGTAAATCTAAGGAAGCAAAACAATGGGAAATTTCTCAAAGATCTAAAGCAGGAGATGAAATAGGGACAAACTGAGTGTTTGCTCAACCGTAATTGTGAAGCAATCAGTTTAATTTTCTCACAGTTGATTTTGTTTAATTAGGAGATGACATTAGCTAACTTTGCAGTTCTACATCGTTGCAAAAAGGAAAGAGGAGGTTTTGACATATTGTGCCTTTACTATTAAAGAAATATCATTCAGTGAGTTTTTTGTACACATTTCTATTTGTGTGGTTTTTTTCACTGAAAATAATGCTTTTAAATTTCAGAATACAACAGCTTAACTTATCACATAATAGAGATATACATATTGTATATCCCTTTTAAAATTAGTGCTAATGTAGCATGAGGGAAATGTAATTCAACAAGCTCGGAGCCCCGGCCGAGCTTCGGAGCCCCGGCCCAGCCCCGGCCGCGCACGCGCAGTGACGCGCCGGCCATGCCGGCGGCTGTTGTCGGGCCTCCAGCGGGCGGGGCCGTTGGCGGAGCAGAGCGGAGGCGCAGCCGGGCGGAGGGCCCACGAGGGCTCAGCCTTCCCGGTCAGCGGTGGTGACGGTATCCCAGAGTGCCAGAGAACCGTTGCTTTTCCGAGTTGCTCTTCTTCCAGGCTCCGTTGGTGGTCGGCATGGCCCGTGAGTGGGGGTGGGAAGCGGCGGCGAGCGTCCGGCGTGGGAGCCTAGCGCTGAGGCGCGGCGGGCGGGGGAGGCGGAGTCCGGCTGGAGAATCCCCCTGGGTCGCGCAGTGCGGGGATCCCCGCTTCAGTCGGCAGAGAGAGAGCTCGCGGGTGGTTCCGGTCCGGCTTTTCAGGCCGGACGGGTGCCTGCCCCTCAGGTGCGAGTTTGTGCGGTAAAGAACACACCCCGGAGATGTGGACACGGCCGCCCCAGGAGGGTCCTTGTTTGGAGGTACTTTATAGCTGATACCTCAAGTCTTAAGGCCTAATGAGGACCGGGAACTCCAGTGAGTCGCCTCCCTAGTTCTTTTGTTTGGCGCTCGCAGGTAGTAGCCGAATAAACAGGAGGCTTTAGAGCCGGTCCTAAATTTGATGTTCGTTTGTACCAGTCCTAGGTGTTAGGTCAGTCTGTTCTGCAAAATGAAAACAATGAAGCCTACCTTGCAGGGTTGTGGCTAGAATAAGGATGTAAAGGCCCACACTGCCTTTCGCAGACTTACCTTCAATCTGTTCAGTCTCCATCCACCCCTCTCCGCCTCTGCATGGGGATAAAGGTAACTCTCAAGTGATGGGCTGAACTTGTGATCTCTGTATCTAGCTTTCTCTTCCACCCACTCCCCTCAAAAGCCAGAACTTATTTTGGGATACCGGCCCAAGATTCGAATATCTGTTTTAAAATATCTGGTATTTATAGCTAGTGACCACCTAGATTGGTATGATAATACTCTTAAGTCTTTAAGTGTTTAAGCCACTTCCTTATTGTCAGATCTAGGAGCACCATCAATCTGTTACTCTGCTAGTTTATCTATGAAAACACAAACTAAAGATGCATTTAAATAAGGCCTGTTTATTGGAATTATTAATAATTTTGGAGATGGGAAAAGAGCATGACTGTTTGACTTTGTAGGTGGAAATCAACGAGAACTTGCCCGCCAGAAAAACATGAAGAAAACCCAGGAAATTAGCAAGGGAAAGAGGAAAGAGGATAGCTTGACTGCCTCTCAGAGAAAGCAGAGGTACGTGGTACTAATTTAATTCTAAAGTCACTGACGTTGTGATTGAAGCAACATTTTGGGCTGGGTGTGTTGCCTCATGCCTGTAATCCCGGCAGTTTGGGAGAGTCGGGAGAACTGCTTGAAGCCAAGAGTTTGAGACCAACTTGGACAACATAGCCAGCCCCTGTATCTACAAAATATTTTTTTAAATTGGCCAGGCATGGTAGCACATGGCTGTGGTCTCGGCTACTCTGGAGGCTGAGGCGGGAGAATCGCTTGAGCCCAGGAGGTTAAGGCCGCAGTAAGCTGCGATTGCACCACTGCACTCCAGCCTGGATGGCAGAGTTAGACCCTGTCTCAAAAAAAAAAAAAAAAAAAAAAAAAAAGAAGGCCTCATTTTGGGGAACAGAAAGCATTTTGTTAAGCCCTTGGTAGAACAGGGCCTAATGATTTGTGCCAGGCGGACTAAAACCACGTGGGGTAGACATCCCAACATATAGATAAAAACGTAAAGCTCTGAAGCTATTATTTGTTTCACAGAGACTCATGCAGCTCCTCCACAACCATAAGAACTTTTTATAGGCTGGGTGCGGTGGCTCACGCCTGTAATCTCAGCACTTTGGAAGGCCAAGGTGGGTGGATCACCTGGGGTCAGGAGATCGAGATCAGCCTGACCAACATAGTGAAACCCTATCTCTACTAAAAATACAAAATTAGCTGGGTGCAGTGGCACATGCCTGTAATCCCAGTTACTTGGGAGGCTGAGGCAGGAGAATCGCTTGAAACCGGGAGGGGGAGGTTGCAGCGAGTGAAGATTGTGCCATTGCAATCCAGCCTGGGTACTGAGCGGGAAACTCTGTATCAAAAAAACAAAACAAAAAAAAAAAAACAACTTTATTCAGCAAAATAACATCTTCTATATGCAAAACACTGTGAGGTGCTAGAGTTACAACATTTTCAAAGTAGACAGCCTACCCAAACTACTCTGAATGACAAGGGACTCAATTATTAATATATAATGATAATAGTTCTCAAGAAGATACAAAAAAGTATATGCATAATAGCTAGCTGTGCTGATTTCTGAAGATCCATTGCATTGGAGAGAATTCATGTACATAGCCTTAATATATGACTATATGTGCCAATGTAAAACTGCTACAGAAATACTTTAGACTGCAGCTTAAGTAAAAAAAAGTACACTCATGTTTCTAAAAGAGCTAATCAAAGCTTAATTTTATTCTCAAATGATTTTGTCCATATGGAACTTGGAGGTTAAGCGAATAACTGACTGCATGTGCTTCAGTGTGGCTTGTTAGGGGTTCTCAATCCTGGCTGCACATTAGAATCACCTGGGAAACCTTGACAGCTACTCAAGCCTTGCGTTATGCTCAGTTTTGATTTTTTGTTTTTTTAAAAAATTGAATTACAATAGTTGTACATATTTTGGGGGTACATGTGATCTTTTAATACCTGTATGTGGGCTGGGTAGTCCCAGCCACTTGGGAGGCTAAGGCAGGAGAATCACTTGAACCTGGGAGGCGGAGGTTGCAGTGAGCCGAGATCCTGCCATTGCATTCCAGCCTGGGTGACAGAGTGAGACCCTGTCTCAAAAAAACAACAACAAAAAGAAACTGGCTTGGCGTGGTGGCTCATACCTGTTAGCCCAGCACTTTGGGAGGCCGAAGCGGGTGGATTACCTGAGGTTGGGAGCTCAAGACCATTCTGACCAACATGGAGAAACCCCATCTCTACTAAAAATACAAAATTAGCCAAGTGTGTGGCCGGGCGCGGTGGTTCACGCCTGTAACCCCAGCACTTTGGGAGGCCCAGGCGGGCGGATCACGAGGTCAGGAGATCGAGACCATCCTGGTTAACACGGTGAAACCCCGTCTCTACTAATAATACAAAACTTAGCCGGGCGAGGTGGCAGGCGCCTGTAGTCCCAGCTACTTGGGAGGCTGAGGCAGGAGAATGGCGTGAACCCGGGAGGCGGAGCTTGCAGCGAGCCGAGATCGTGCCACTGCCCTCCAGCCTGGGTGACAGAGCGAGACTCCGTCTCAAAAAAAAAAAAAAAGCCAACTGTGGTGGCGAACACCTGTAATCCTAGCTACTCGGCAGGCTGAGACAGGAGAATCACTTGAACCTGGGAGGCGGAGGTTGCGGTGAGCTGAGATCTCGCCATTGCACTCCAGCCTGGACAACAAGAGTGAAACTCCGGCCGGGCGCGATGGCTCATGCCTGTAATCCCAGCACTTTGGGAGGCCAAGGCAGGAAGATCACGAGGTCAGGAGATCGAGACCACGGTGAATCC
Source organism: Homo sapiens (assembly GCF_000001405.40). Taxonomy (NCBI): domain Eukaryota; kingdom Metazoa; phylum Chordata; class Mammalia; order Primates; family Hominidae; genus Homo; species Homo sapiens. The sequence goes on from NT_187651.1 coordinate 452,632, forward strand.
CTGTCCGTACTAAAAATACAAAAAATTAGTCGGGCGCAGTGGCGGGCGCCTGTAGTCCCAGCTACTCGGGAGGCTGAGGCAGGAGACTGGCGTGAACCCGGGAGGCGGAGCTTGCAGTGAGCTGAGATCGCGCCACCGCACTCCAGCCTGGGCGACAGAGCGAGACTCCGTCAAAAAAAAAAAACCTTTATGTGTACAATGTGTAATGATCAAATCGGGGTAATTGGGATATCTCTATGCTCAAACATTTATCTTTCATCCAGTTCTGATTTAATTGGTCAGAGGTCGAGCATTAAAAAGCACCCTAGGTAAATTTTACTGTACTTAGGTTATGCCTTTTTTTTTTTTTTAAAGGCAGAGTCTTACTCTGTTGCCCATGCTGGAGGGCAGTGGCGTGATCTCGGCTCACTGCAACCTCCACCTCCTGGGCTTAAGCGATTCTCCTGCGTCAGCAATCCAAGTAGCTGGAATTGCAGGCGTCCGCCACCATGCCCAGCTAATTTTTGTATTTTTAGTAGAGACTGGGTTTCACCGTGTTGGCCAGGCTGGTCTCAAACTACTGACCTCAAGTGATCCACCCGCCTCGGCCTCCCAAAGTGCTGGGATTACAGGCGTGAGCCACCACGCTGGCCCAGTTATACCTTTTTTTTTTTTTTTGAATTTTTTTTTTATTATTACGCTTTAAGTTCTAGGGTATATATGCACAACGTGCAGGTTTGTTACATAGATATACATGTGCCATGTTGGTTTGCTGCACCCATCAACTCATCATTTACATTAGGTATTTCTCCTGATGCTATCCCTCCCCCAGCCTCCCAGCACACCCAGTTATACCTTAAACTGAACTTAAAACAGCTCCCAGGTGATTCTAATGTGCAGCCACTATTAAGAGTCATTGATAAATGAGATTAAAGACCTTAATTTAAGGCAAAGGTCCTGACACCTTTTTTTTTTTTTTCCCAGATATGGCGTCTTACTCTGTGACCCAGACTGGAGTGCAGTGCCACAGTCTCGGTTCACTGCAAGCTCTGCCTCCCAGGCTCAAGTGACCCTCCCACCTCAGCCTTCTGAGTAGCTGGGACTACAAGGGCACACCACCAAGCCCAGATAGTTTTTATATTTTTTGTAGAAACGGGGTTTCATCATGTTGTCCAGGCAGGTCTTGAACTTCTGGGGTCAAGTGATTTGCCCACCTCAGTCCCCCAAAGTGCTGGAATTACAGGTGTGAGCCACTATGCCCGGCCCTAACATTTATTATTAAAGTGATAAGCTTTGTCTTCAATTTCTGTTGACTCACATTAGAGTAAAAATGAACATGGTATGAATCAGTGACCCTGCAATAGTATTTTTATTGGAGAACCTAGTCTAGCTTGGTTCAGAAATTGTCATTGTTTACCAGATATGCACTCCTTATAAAATTCTATGCTAGACATTCTATATACATTATTCTTTATTCATCATAACTCTGAAAAATGGTATTAGCACTAATCTGTAGAATAGGAAACTGAGGCTCTGAACTTCAGTAACATTACTAAAGTTACACAGCAAGCACAACAGAGCTTGGTTTCAAATAGAGAAGTAACTGTCATGGTTCTTTTTCCACTGTACTTCATTTCTTTATAGCTATGTTTTTGTTTTTGTTTTAGTGAAAGCAAGTTTATTAGGAAAGTAAAGAAATAAATATTGGCTACTTTATAGGCAGAACAGCCTGTAGCTGTGTTATTTTGCCTTTCTTCTTTATTTTTATTTTATTTTATTTTATTTTATGTTTTTGAGACGGAGTTTCGCTCTTGTTGCCCAGGCGGAGTACAATGGCGCAATCTCAGCTCACCGCAACCTCCACCTCTCGGGTGCAAGTGATTCTCCTGCCTCAGCCTCCCAAGTAGCTGGGATTACAGGCATGCACCACCATGCCTGGCTAATTTTGTATTTTTAGTAGAGATAGGGTTTCTCCATGTTGCTCAGTCTGGTCTCAAACTCTCGACCTCAGGTGGTCCGCCTATCTCAGCCTCCCAAAGTGCTGGGGTTACAGATGTGAGCCACTGGCCTATTTTGCCTTTCTTCTATTCCCTTGTTTTTGCTATTGGCTTTACAGAAATATCTTACCATCATGGCTGTGGAAATCAGTTTAGCATTTCCTCAAAAAGTTAAAACAGGCCAGGCTCAGTGGCTTACACTTGTAAATCCAGCACTTTGGGAGGCCGAGGCGAGCGGATCAACTTGAGGCCAGGAGTTCGAGACAAGCCTGGCCAACATGGTGAAACCCTGTCTCTACTAAAAATACAAAAATTAGGTGGGCTTGGTTGCACATGCCTGTAATCCCAGCTACTTGGGAAACTGAGGCAGGAGACTCGCTTGAACCAGGGAGGTGGAGGTTGCAGTGAGCAAAGATTGTGCCACTGCACTGCAGCCTGGGCAACAGAGCAAGACTCTGTCTCAAAAAAATAAATAAAAAATTAAAAAGTTTGAAACATGAGGTTAATAAGTCAGAGTTGTGGGACTTTAACCAGAGCTGGTAGAGTGCTTGACACACAGTAGATGTTGAATGCATGGCCGTTTAGTCTGTTTTTAAAATATGGGTCCATGGACTCATGAATCACCTAACCCAGGTAGTCTGGTCATAGTTCACAGTTTATATGGCATGTGTCAGTTTGACTGGAGATGAGAAGGGTTAAGGGCTGGGCGCAGTGGCTCACACCTGTAATCCCAGCACTTTGGGAGACTGAGGCAGGCGGATCACAAGGTCAGGAGTTCGAGACCAGCCTGGCCAATATGGTGAAACCTCGTCTCTACTTAAAATGCAAAAATTAGTCGGGTGTGGTGGCGCATGCCTGTAGTCCCAGCTACTCAGGAGGCTGAGGCAGAAGAACTGCAAGCAGGAAGTGGAGGTTGCAGTGAGCCAAGATCGTTCCACCGCACTCCAGCCTGGGGGACAAAGCGAGACTCCGTCTCAAAAAAAAAAAAAAGTACCCTGAACATCCAGCTTTTCTTTATTGTAATCCAGTTTTAGTGACTAGCTTTTGGGCTTTTTTGCTTGTAAGAAACTGAAATCCTTCATAATATCTATGTTCTAGTCGTAGATACCAGTTAGGATACCTAGGAGAGTTCTTAAATGCCTCTTCTTTCAAGGAAAAAAATTAGAATGAATTAACTAGTTAACAACCAAGAGTAATAGCTATTATTTCTACATGTAGCTGCCTAATGTCACACACTTTTATATATTCATAGTGATTCCTTGTAACAACCTTGATACATATTGCCCGGATTTTGAAAGGGCTTTGAGGTTATTTGCCCAAGGTCATGATAACAGAGATGGTATTCAGAATAAGATCTGACTTCAAAGCCTTTCCAGTCTGTCTTTCCATTTTGTCTCCAGCCATGAAAATGGAAAGACAAAAAAGTTTATATCCTCTTTTAAATTGTCTTCTAATACACTGAATGGGTTATGTGTAGAAACCAAGTGAGAATATATAATTGGTTTTTCTGTAACAACTTATAGACTTTTCCCTCATTGTAGGGACTCTGAGATCATGCAAGAAAAGCAGAAGGCAGCTAATGAGAAGAAGTCTATGCAGACAAGAGAAAAGTGATGACTGGCTATTTGGAAAACCTGGGTGCTACTGCCAACTGGGTGTATCATAAGCTCTAAGATCAAGATTTTGTAGAGTGGACAGTCATTACATATGTTATAACTTATCCTTTAAAAACTATTTTAAACTTTATCCTTTCAGCTTTACTTAGTGCGATGTTTTAGAAGCAGTCTTCAAAGAATAAAACACTAACCATGCATGTGACATATTGGTGAACATTATTTTTATTATTGAACATTCATATATAATTTATTAGGTAATATGATCAGATAATAGGATCTCTTATATAATAAAGAATCTTTGTCATCAGCTTTGTTAACATAGTTTTTTTTTCCTCACAGTTTCTAAGGATAAGGATAAAATAGATCTTTGAAGTAAACTTAAATATATAATAGAAGTTAGGGTCCATTTGTATAATTTTGCTTTGAAATCAAGTTAAAGGGCCAGGTGCGGTGGCTTATGCCCACAATCCCAGCACTTTGGGAGGCCGAGGCGGGCGGATCACTTGAGGTCAGGAGTTTGAGACCAGCCTGACCAACATGATGAAACCTCATCTTTACTAAAAATACAAAAAAAAAAAAAAAAAAAAAATAGCCAGGTGTGTGGTGGCACATGCCTGTAATCTCAGCTACTCGGGAGGCTGAGGCAGGAAAATCGCTTGAACCCAAGGCAGAGGTTGCAGTCAGCAGATATTGCACCACTGCACTCCAGCCTGGGCAACAAAGCAAGACTCTGCCTCAAAAAAAAAAAAAAATCAACTTACAAAGCTTGCTTGAACAATTTACAACAGATACTTCAAACCACTGGAATAGAAACTAAGTGGATGTAAACTGAGGTCTCAGTTCTACTTATAGCTTTAACATTTTTTGGAATGAGTACCATATTTTCTGTTCTCAGCCTCTTCTAAAACTTGAGTCTTGATGGTAGTTATAAATTTGGAAATATGTAACCTAGAGAAATTAAGGTTTGAGACCTTGCTGCACTCTGAAGTAAACACAAAACTATGTCAGAGAGAATAAAAATGCCATTGTAGTAGTAAATAGAATAACTTAAAGTATTCTACAAATACTTGATTTTTCACATAATGCAATTTAACAAATTTTTCTGATCACCCAATATGTCAACCACTATCTGAATGGACAGATCTTGAAGTTAGCCTAACACAATATCTTGTGATTTGTCTCTTACCAGTGGTACCACCCATAAATAGGCTAGAATTTTTTGTGTCTAATACTGAATTCGACAACCAGGAAGTTTTTTGGGTTTTTGTGGGGTGTTTTTTTTTTTTTTGAGACAGAGTCTTGCTCTCTCGCCCAGGCTAGAGCGCAGCAGTGCCATCTCGGTTCACTGCAACCTCCGCCACCTGAGTTCAAGCGATTCTCCTGCCTCAGCCTCCTGAGGAGCTGGGACTACAGGCGCCCGCCACCACGCCCGGCTAATTTTTGTGTTTTTAGAAGAGATGGGGTTTCACCATTTTGGCCAGGCTGGTCTCAAACTACTAACCTCAGGTGATCCACCCTTCTTGGCCTCCCATAGAGCTGGGATTACAGGCGTGAGCCATCCCACCCGGCTGAAGTTTTTTAGCCTGAGTTTCTATCTTCATATTAGCCTAGATTTTTCATTAAATTAAAACATTGTTCTGGATCTTTGGTTAACTTTAGTCTTCAGAATATTCTATGATGGTAGTCACAAAGGCAAAAATTAAGTAGCTTAAGTTACATTCTAATAAAAGAAATAATAAAGAAATCTGATTGTACCACAAAGATTCTTTGTGGGCCTGGTTTCTGTAATTCTGTCTCCAGAATTTCTACACAGACTAATAAGCCATAAGTACAAAAAAACTTTTCATGCTTTAAGCTCTTTTCTTTGCCTTTTTTTTTAAATGAATAATTTCTTTAGTTTATCCTGTGGAATGGAAGAACTTTAGACCTTTTAATTCTTATAAATCGAGGGAAAGCTACGTTTCCAAAATAAAATGGATATTAGAATAAGGAAGATCTCTAGTTTGTAATCAATCATTAGTACTTTTTTTTTTTTTTTTTTGAGGCAGGATCTCGCCTTGTCACCCCGGCTGAGTGCAGTGGCACGAACGTGGCTCACTGCAGCCTCAACCTCCTGGGCTCAAGTGATCCTCCTGCCTCAGTCTCGTCTCCCAAGCAGTTGGGACTACAGGCGCATGCCACCACGTCAGGCTGATTTTTATATTTTTGGTAGAGATAGGGGTTTTGCCATGTTGCCCAGGCTGGTCTCCAACTCCTGAGCTCAAGTGAGCCACCTTCCACCTCTGCCCAAAGTGCTGGGATTACAGGCGTGAGCCACCATGCCTGGCCATTCTTGATTAATTTTTATGGCATTTAATTAAATAAATTTATTGTTAAGAGGTTTGATTTTTAACTGCAATATGACCAGATGTTTCCTCAAAGCAGGCGGAAAAATTATCGGAGAGGAAGAAAATTAAGTCTAATTGTTGGAGTATATTGACACCTATCATGTGGTATATTGTAATATATATATATATGCAATACATTGACACCAATCATGACACCACCATGTGGTATAGTTAAGGTAACTAAAAGTAGCTGAACTTATAAAGAGGGAAACAGGTCAATTATAGGATACTAAGGGAAAATACAGGTGAATAGCTTTTTTTTTTTTTTTTTTTTTTTTTTTTTTGAGACTGTGTCTTGCTTGCTCTGTTGCTGAGGCTGGAGTACAGTGGCACAATCTCGGCTGACTGCAACCTCTGCATCCCGGGTTCAAGCAATTCTCCTGCCTCAGCCTCCCAAGTAGCTGGGATTACAGGCGTGCACTACCACACCCAGCTAGTTTTTTTGTATTTTTAGTAGAGACAGGGTTTCACCATGTTAGCCAACCTGGTCTCAAACTCCTGATCTCAAATGATCTGCCTGCTTCGGCCTCCCAAAGTGCTGGGATTACAGATATGAGCCACCATGCCCATCCCTGGAGAATAATTTTAATTATTATTATTATTATTATTATTTTTTTTTTTTTTTGAGACGGAGTTTCGCTCTTGTTGCCCAGACTGGAGTGCAGTGGCGTGATACTGGCTCACCGCAACCTCTGCCTCCCGGGTTCTCCCACCTCAGCCTCCCGAGTAGCTAGGATTACAGGCATGAGCCACCACGCCCGACTAATTTTGTGTTTTTAGTAGAGACGGGGTTTCTCCATGTTGGTCAGGCTGGTCTCGAACTTCTGACCTCAGGTGATCCGCCCACCTCGGCCTCCCAAAGTGCTGGGATTACAGGCATGAGCCACCACGCCCAGCCTTAGGAGAATGATTGTAAAAAGTAAATTCATGTAATGATTTTATTTAGTTTGGATATTGTTAGGGCTTGTTGCTAAAGAAAGATAAAATTATTAGGTGAGATAGTACCAGATTTAGAATATAATTTGGAAAATACCAAACTCCATGGAACCCTCCCTTTAAACATCAAAAATCGTATTTTGCATCATTCTTAGGAGGTAGTGCGTTATCATTAGCAATTTTCATTAAGTCCTGCTGAAAATGAGAAGCAGCAGCCATTACTGCCCAAGATACACTGTGGTCAGTTTTATCAGTTACTTTTTTTTTTTTTTTAAACAGAGTCTCGCTTTGTCATCCAGGCTGGAGTGCAATGGTGCGATCTCCGCTCACTGCAACCTCCACTTCCGTGCCTGGCTAATTTTTTGTAGTTTTAGTAGGGATGGGGTTTCACCATCTTGGCTAGGCTGGTCTCGAACTCCTGATCTCAAGTTATCCACTCGCTGGCCATCAGTCATTTATTTTTGAATGCCTCTTCTATTAGTAGCATGTGTAAGAAATTGTGATCCATTTATCAAACTAGCCAGTTTTTGAAAATAGGGCTAAAAGGAAACGTTGATTTCTGACATTTTCCAAAAACTTAAAAAATTTTTATATAGGCTGGGCACAATAGCTCACGCCTGTAATCCCAGCATTTTGGGAGGCCGAGGCAGGTGGGTCATTTGAGCTCAGGAGTTTGAGACCAGCCTGGGCAACACAGAAAAACCTCATCTCTACCAAAAAAAAAAAAATTAGGTGGGTGTGGTGGTGCACGCCTGTAGTCCCAGCTACTTGGGAGGCTAAAGTGGGAGGATCACCTGAACCCAGAAGGTCAAGGCTGCAGTGAGCCGAGATTGCACCACTGCCCTCCACCCTGGGTGATAAGAGTGGGACCCTGTCTCAAAACATACACACACACACACACACACACACACACACACACACTCTCTCTCTCTCTCTCTCTCTCTCTCTCTCTCTCTCTCTCTCTCTCAAAAACACTTGGTCTGTTATTTTTACGAAATTGTCAGTCATAGTTATCTGTTAGACCAAAGCTGAGTAAGAACATTTATTACATTGCCTCCTACAACTTCATCAGCTAATGTATTTGCTATATAGCAATTACATATTGGAATATATTATCTTTAGAGATGGCCAAGTCATAAAACTGTCACTGAGAAAAGGAGAATGACAATGTGTATGCTCAAATGTACTTCCCTATAAATTTCCAAAAGACATGAAACTTACTACAGGTTTGTTTTTTTCACACCTTCACTTCTTAAAAACAAAAAAACTTTTACATAGCAGTAACTAATGCACATTAAAAGTTTATAAATAGCCTGCTATTGGATCATTTGCTTGGAAAAGTTGAGATTTTCAAATTTGATTATAACATAACTTTTGTAGAAATACACGGCCAGGTGCAGTAGCTCACATTTGTAATCTCAGCACTTTGGGAGGCTGAGGTGGGAGGATCGCTTGAGGCCAGGAGTTTGAGACCAGCCTGGGCAACATGACAAAACCCCATCTCCTCAAAAAGCACAAAAATTAGCCAGATGTGGTGGTGCACACCTGTAGTCCCAGCTACTTGGGGGACTGAGGTGGAAGGATGGTTTGAGTCTGGGAAGTTGAGGATGCAGTGAGCCAAGGTCATGCCACTGCACTCCAGCCAGGGTGACAAAGTGACACCCTGTCTCAATATAATAATTTTAAAAAGGTGCCTGTAATCCTAGCACTTTGGGAGGCCAAGGCGGGCGGATCACGAAGTCGGGAGTTCAAGACCAGCCTGGCCAATATGGTGAAACCCGTCTCTACTAAAAATACAAAAATTAGCCAGGTATGGTGGTGTGTGCCTGTAATACCAGCTACTTGGGAGGCTGAGGCAGGAGAATCGCTTGAACCCGGGAGGTGGAGATTTCAGTGAGCCGAGATTGCACCACTGCACTCCAGTCTGGGTGACAGAGCAAGACTTCATCTCAAAGAAATAAATAAATAAAAAACAAGGCCGGGCATGGTGGCTCATGCCTGTAATCCAGCACTTTGGGAGGCTGAGGCTGAGGTGGGCAGATCACCTGAGGTCAGGAGTTCAAGACCAGCCTGGCCAACATGGTGAAACCCCGTCTCTACTAAAAATACAAAAATTAGCCAAGCGTGGTGGTGGGCGCCTGTAATCCCAACTACTTGGGAGGCTGAGGCAAGAGAATTTCTTGACTCTGGGAGGCAAAGGTTGCAGTGAGCCGAGACTGCACCACTGCACTCTAGCCTGAGCAACAGAACAAGACTCTGTCTCAAAAAAAAAAAAAAAAAAAAAAACATACAAACCGAATTTCCATTCCACATACTACTCTTGCTGTTTTACCACTTGGACAAGACTGCTTGCTGGTACATAAGTTCTGGAACACTTCCTTGCAGCAGTCTGGCTGAGCCTTGGTATTTAAAAGAAATTTACCTACCAGCCTGGCTATAATTGACATAATCCTATTAAATACTTGCCTTTTATGAACATATATCACATGACATAAGTTTTTGTCAAATACTTTTTTTTTTGGTCAAAGACTGTAGCCTTATACCACTCAAGGGGGCTGTTAGGGTAGCTTATGAATGGATATTTCATACAGAGTTACGTATTTAACCCATTTCCTGTTTAGAAAATAAAAGTGGCCAGGCGCCGTGGCTCACGCCTGTAATCCTAGCACTTTGGGAGGCCGAGGTGGGTGGATCACGAGGTCAGGAGATCGAGACCGTCCTGGCTAACATGGTGAAACCCCGTCTCTACTAAAAATACAAAACATTAGCCGGGCATGGTGGCAGGCGCCTGTAGTCCCAGCTACTCGGGAGGCTGAGGCAGGAGAAAGGCATAGACCCGAGAGGCGGAGCTTGCAGTGAGCCGAGATCATGCCACTGCACTCCATGCACTCCAGCCTGGGCGACAGAGTGAGACTCCGTCTCAAAAAAAAAAAAAGAAAAAAAGAAAAAAAAAGTGCAGCTGGCTGCCAGCGCTCATTTAATTTTACATAAACACACTCTGAGGTTGACGCAAATTAATTTTCAATGTGAAAATACACAAACTGTTCTTAGAGTTATTTCTAAACAGAACTTGTCTCTAATCCTAATATAATGGAAATGTATATAATGTTACATTAGGATTAGAGGCAAGAGTATTCTTGGGGCAAACGGGAAATGGGTTAGTATATACTTGAAGTAATATAACCACATCTAACCTGATTTCATGATATATTGGAATTTTTGGTTGCAAGCAACAGGATCAGATTAATGAACTTACTGATAAAAATCTTATTTGAAAGAATGAGAGACTCCAGAGTCATGGAAAAGTTGAGGACTCAAGGCTTTGGAAAGGTCAAGAATTGTAACAGTTTCAGGTATCTTAAGAGTAGGTGTTATGAGGTGTTTGTTTTTGTTTTTTTTTCTTACAGTGCTGATATCAGGTTGAACTTCTGACATGTATATTTAGTTTTTATGTCACTTGGAGTGCCTCCAACTGAAGTTACATGGGTTAGGTACCCATCCCTCAGCAAGAGGAGGGCAAGTTGATGGTAAAACCAACTCTAGTAAGGAGTAGGTGGTCCCCTGTATTAGTCCGTTCTCATGCTGATAATAAAGACATACTCGAGACTGGATAATTTATAAAGGAAAGAGGTTTAATTGACTCACAGTTGTGTATGGCTGGGGAGGCCTCAGGAAGCTTACAATCATGGCAGAAGGGGAAGCAAATACATCCTTCTTCACATGATGGCAGGAAGGAGAAGTGCAAAGCAAAAGGGGAAAAGCCCCTTATGAAACCATCAGATCTCCTGAGAACTCACTCACTATCATGAGAACAGCATGAAGGTAACCACCCCCATGATTCAATTACCTCCCACCAGGTCCCTCCCATGACACATGGGAATTATAGGAGCTACAATTCAGGATGAGATTTGGGTTGGGGACACAGCCAAACTATATCATCCCCCAAAAAATTTAGGGTTCTTTGCCAAAAGGAAGGGAGAATGGATGCTGAGCAGACTAAAATAATATATTTTAATCCCTCTTATTGAAAAGCTAAGACTAAATTTTTAAAATTGTATGTTTTTGTTTTTTTGAGACGGAGTGTCGCTCTGTCGCCCGGCTGGAGTGCAGTGGCGCGATCTCAGCTCACTGCAACATCCACCTCCCGAATTCAAACAATTCTCCCACCTCAGCCTCCTGAGTAGCTGGGACTACAGGAGCATACCACCATGCCCAGCTAATTTTTGTATTTTTAGTAGAGATGAGGTTTCACCATATTGGTCAGGCTGGTCTCGAACTGACCTCAGGCAATCTACCCACCTTGGCCTCCCAAAGTGCTGGGATTACAGACATGAGCCACCACGCCCAGCTAATTCTGTATTTTAAGTAGAGACGGGGTTTCACCATGTTGGTCAGGCTGGTCTCGAACTCCTGACCTCAGGTGATCCGCCAGCCTTGGCCTCCCAAAGTGCTGGGATTACAGGCGTGAGCCACCGAGCCTGGCTGTATTTTTAAATACAAAAATTTGCCAGGTATTGTGATGGGTGCCTGTAATCTCAGCTACTCGGGAGGCAGAGGCCGGAGAGTCACTTGAACCCAGGAGGTTGCAGTGAGCTGAGATCACACCACTGCACTGCAGCCTGGGTGACAGAATGAGACTCCATCTAAAAAAAGAAAAAAATGTATTTTTTAAAATACATGATATGGCAAATCATAAAGGTGGTAAGCATCTGAAGTGTGAGAAATAATCATGCAGCTTATGCAGTTTTTGTCTCTACCAATCTTTCAAACCCTCAAACTGCAATGCTTGCTCATTATAGAAAATCTGGGAAAATACAGTAAGTTCTAAATTTCCATAAATTCTAAATAGCATCTCTTTGAAAACTAACTCCTTGGGCATTTATCCCAGTGAAATGATAATAAACAGCCAGCATTTGAAATGTATATTTCAATGACTCGTATATGAATACTATGTTCAGATCACAATAAAGGACATTTCCAGCACCCTCTTAGATAATGCCTCCCATCTGATTATCACCATAGATTAGTTTTGCCTGTTTTTGAATTTTTTGTAAATGGGATCACACGGTATGTGCTGTAGTGAGCCTAGCTTGATTTGCTCAACGTTACGTCTAAAAGAATTCTCTATTTTGCTGCTATGCAGCAGTTCAGCCTTTTTCACTGTTGTGTAGCATTCTGTTATATGAATATACCATAATTTAGTTACTCTACATTTCATGGACCTTTGAATTGCTCCCACTTTGGGGCTGTTATGAATAATGCTACCGTAACATTTTTATATATCTTATGATGGTCTTAAACACGCTATCTACTGAGTATATGCCAGGAATGGAATTGCTGGGTCATAGGGTGTGTGTCTATACACACACATACACACATTTTTTAGTAGGTACCATCAAACAATTGCATTTTTGTTGTTTTTGTTTTAGTTTGTTTTTAATGACCATACCATTTTACCACCAGCAATAAAGGAAGGTTCCATTGCTCCATACCAGCATTAGGTATTATCAGTCCTTTTATCTTTAACCATATTGGTGGGAGGTAGTGGTATCTCATTGTAGTCTTAATTTACTTCCATATACTTAATTTAAATACACTCAATTTATATACACACACGTATACTCTCTCAGCCTTCAGTAAGCCAGTCCCATTCCCCTGAACTAACCAATGTTAATAATGGTATACTTCTCTCAGTGCTCATGCAAACATGCATACACACACATACACATAAATAAGGGGTGTGGGAATGTATTTGATTCTGAGAGCTGCTGTAACAAATTACCACAAACTTAGTGGCTTAAAACAACAGAAATATTTCTGTTCACAGTTCTGGAGGCCAGAAATCTGAGAGCAAGATGTCAGCTGGGCCACACCTCCCTCTGAAGGCTCCAAGGGAGAATCCTTGCTTTCCTCTTCCAGCTGCTGGTGGCTCCAGGTATTACTTGGCTTATGGCAGCATAACTCCTATCTCTGCCTTTGTCTTTGTGGTCTTCTTTTCTGTCTTCTTCCCTTCTTTTTATGAGGACTTTTGCTGTTGGATTTAGGTTCCATTCTAACCTAGGATGATCTCATTTGGAAATCCTTAATTTCATCTACAAAAACTGTTTTCCCAAATAGGTCACATTCACGCATATCAGATGGACAGATGTATCATTTTGGGGTCCACCATTCAACCCACTACAAGGAGTTTTTTAAACAAAAATAGGAAACTTAGATGTAACTTAGCACTTTTTTTTTTTTTTTTTGAGATGGAGTCTCACTCTGTCACCAGACTGGAGTGCAGTGGCGCCATCTCAGCTCCATGCAACCTCTGCCTCCTGGGTTCAAGCAGTTCTCTTGCCTCAGCCTCCTGGGTAGCTGGGATTACAGGCACGCGCTGCCACACCCAGGTAATTTATTTATTTTTTTTTTGAGACAGAGTCTCGCACTGTTGCCCAGGCTGGACTGCAGTGGCGTGATCTCTGCTCACTGCAACCTCCGCCTCCCGGGTTCAAGCGATTCTCCAGCCTCAGCTTCCTGAGTAGATGGGATTACAGGCGCCTGCCACCACGCCCAGCTAATTTTTTGTATTCTTAGTAGAGATGGGGTTTCACCATGTTGGCCAGGCTGGTCTCCATCTCCTGACCTCGTGATTCACCCGCCTCGGCCTCCCAAAGTGCTGGGATTACAGGCGTGAGTCACAGCCCCCGGCCATAATTTAGCACTTTAAAAAATAATAGCCATGTTGGGCCAGGCGTGGTGGCTCATGCCTGTAATCTGAGCACTTTGGGAGACCAAGGCGGGTAGATCCCTTGTGCCCAGGAGTTCAAGACCAGCCTGGGCAACATGGCGAAACCCCATTTCTACTAAAAATACAAAAATTAGCTGGGGCGAGGGGATAGGCCGAGTTCCGGGTGTAAGGGGGCCATTAGGGAGAGCAGAGCGAGGCAGCTGATCTTCCGGATTGGGGGCCTTGCCCGGAAGCTGGACCTCACGGAGATGAAACGGAAGATGCACGAGGATATGATCTCCATACAGAACTTTCTCATCTACGTGGCCCTGCTGCGAGTCACTCCATTTATCTTAAAGAAATTGGACAGCATATGAAGATTGGACATCACATGTGAATGCATGATATGAAGAGCCTGGTTACAGTTTCTACTGTTCTCTGCAAGTAAATAGGCCCAGAAAGGTATAAGAGACTCTTTGAATGGACATAAAAATTCTGCTTGTTAAGAACAAGTTGAGCTCTGGTAACTGATCTTAATAGCTAAAATATAAAAATATTTGGGAAGTCTGAAATGAGGTCTCCTGGCCCTGGTGTGCCCTTAATGCCTGTGACAGTTGGCCTCTGTGAATATTGGTATAATTGTAAATAATGTCAAACTCCATTTTCTAGCAAGTATTAATAATTAAGGGAAGTATGTCTGAAATGGCACTGTCTTGTCAGTCATTTCTGTTTACCCTTCTGTCTGGAGTGTATTTGTGAAGAGTCCCTTATAACTTATGTTTTATGGACATCAGCACATAACCACAATGACATTGAAGCACAGGATCATTAGTCTATATTTTATTTTATTATTTTATTTATTTATTTATTTATTTTTGAGATGGAGTCTTGCTCTGTCGCCCAGGCTGGAGTGCAGTGGCACAATCTCGGCTCACTGCAAGCTCTGCTTCCCAGGTTCACGCCATTCTCCTGCCTCAGCCTCCCGAGTAGCTGGGACTACAGGTGCCCACCACCACACCCGGCTAATTTTTTGTACTTTTAGTAGAGATGGGGTTTCACTGTTTTAGCCAGGATGGTCTCGATCTCCTGACCTCATGATCCACCCGCCTTGGCCTCCCAAAGTGCTGGGATTATAGGTGTAAGTCACCATGCCCAGCCCGTTAGTCTATATTTTTAAGTAAACATACCAATTAAGAAAGAAGCCAAAAACCAAAATTAGCCAGGTGTGGTGGCACGTGCCTGTAGTCCCAGCTACTTGGGAGGCTGAGGTGTGAGGATCACTTGAACTCAGGAGGCAGAGGTTGCAGTGACCCAAGATGGTGCCGCTGCACTCCAGCCTGGGTGACAGAGTGAGACCCTGTTTCCACAAAAAGAAAAAAAAAATAGCCGTGCCTGTACTTCAGTACTTACAAATTTAACTTTAGTATAGATGTACAGTAATTTATTCAATCATTTCCTTACTCATAGACAATTAGGATGTTGCAACTTTTGCCACTACAAACAATTCTGCGATGTGGATTATCGTACTTATTCCCATTTATTGGTGCTTTCATTTCTATAAGAATGGATTTTTAAAGATAGAATTCCTTGGGAATAGTTATGTCAAAGCCAAATATAATATAGAGACAAATCTCTAAAAACATTTTATTTGGTAAGCAAGAGCTGCAATTCATGGCATACACACAGACCGGGCTGATCATTGGTATGATCAGGAGAATAAAGGGAAGGTTGCGGCCAGGTGTGATAGCTCATGCCTGTAATCCCAGCACTTTGGGAGGCCGAGGCGGGCAGATCACCTGAGGTCAGGAGTTTGAGACCAGCCTGACCAACATGGAGAAACTCCGTCTCTACTAAAAATACAAAATTAGTTGGGCATAGTGGCGCATGCCTGAATCCCAGCTACTCAGGAGGCTGACACAGGAGAAATGCTTGAACCCGGGAGGTGAAGGTTGCAGTGAGCCGAGATCGCGCCATTGCACTCCAGCCTGGGCAACAAGAGCAAAATTCCATCTCAAAAAAAAAAAAGAGAAGGTTCCGGGTTTTATGAGAAAGAACAGTATTACATACTGTTTTGGAAGAAAGCTCATTCACACTAGAGCTTGTGGGAGCTAGCAAGCTCTGATTGGTGAGCGATGGTGGTAGGTAAAACCAGTCTTAGAGTCATGGCAGTTCATTTTAGCAGCTATTAGGTAAAACTGGTCTTAGGGATACAGAAGGCTGGTTCAGCAGTTGGACTTGTGGAAAATTTAATTCTTGAAGCAGATGCTGTGTGCCCCGAATGCTTCTTCCCCCTGGCCCTTCAACTCTGATTTAGTTGAGTATTTCAAGAATGACCCAATTTATGTAATCAACTTTCACAGGTATACATGTCTTAAACTTTAAACAGATGTTTTGGGTTTTGTTGTTGTTGTTTTTGAGACGGAGTCTCACTCTGTTGTCCAAGCTGGAGTGTAGTGGTGTGATCTCGGCTCACTGCAACCTCCGCCTCCAGGGTCAAGTGATTCTCCAGCCTCAGCCTCCTGAATAGCTGGGATTACAGGCGCCCGCCACCACGCCCAGCTAATTTTTGTATTTTTAGTAGAGATGGGGTGGGGTTTCACCATGTTGGCCAGGCTGGTCTTGAACTCCTGACATCAAGTGTTCTGCTCACCTCAGCCTCTGAAAGTGCTGGGATTACAGGCGTGAGCCACTGCGCCCGGCAGTCTTTCCTTCTTTTTTTTTTTTTTTTTTTTTTTTTTTAATGACATGGGGTCTTACTTTATTACTCAGGCTGGTCTCAAACTTCTGGCCTCAAGGAATCTTCCCACCTTGGCCTCCCAAATTGCTGGGATTACAGGCATAAGTCATCATGCCTGGCTACAAACAGATATTTTCAATAAGAGGATAAAAGTTCATTTCCCCATACTTTGCTAACATCAAATGTTATTAATTCCTAATAGTTTTGCCAAACTGAGAGGAAAATGGTATGTTAGTTTTTCTGGGTTTTCTTTCTTTTTAATTTTTTTTCTTTTTTATTCATCGCAACACTATTCACGATTTTTTTATTTTTTATTTTATTTATTTATTTATTTTTTTTTGAGACAAGGTCTCCCTATGTTGCCCAGGCTGGTCTTGTACCCCTGGGCTCAAAGGATCCTCCTGCCTCAGCCTCCCAAAGTGCTAGGATTACAGGCATGAGTCACCACGCCTGGTTCACAATTTCTTTTTGTTTTTACCAAAGGCAGGTATATTCCTGAAATTTTTTGTTTTTTTGTTTTTTTTTTGAGATGAAGTCTCACCCTGTCACTCAGACTGGAGTGCACTGGCACGATCTCAGCTCACTGCAACCTCCGCTTCCTAGGTTCAAGCGATTCTCCTGCCTCAGTCTTCAAAGTAGCTAGGATTATAGGCGCCGCAACCATGCTCAGCTAATTTTTGTATTTTTAGTAGAGACAGGATTTCACCATGTTGGCCAGGGTGATCTCAAATCCTGACCTCAAGTGATCCGCCTGCCTCAGCCTCCCAAAGTGCTGGGATTACTGGCATGAGCCACCGTGCCAGGCCCTGAAATGTTATCTTAGTTATTAATTTGCAATTCCTTGGCTCTAGAGGTTGGGCATCTTCTCAGATCTCTAGTGGACATTTGGATTTTCTTTTTGGTGAACTGTCCAGTTTTTCTCTCTGCTTTACAATCTTTATTATATGCAATCTTCACATGTAGGTACTACCATTTTTTTAGTTTGTTTTTGAAACAGCATATTGCTCTGTTGCCCAGGCTGGAGCACGGTGGCAAAAACATGGCTTACTGCAGCCTTTGACCTCCTTGGCTCAAGTACTCCTCCTGTCTCAGCCTCCTGAGTAGCTGGTACCACAAGCCCATACCACCATGCCCAGCTAATTTATTTTTGTAGAGATGGGGCCTGACCATGTTACTTGGGCTCAAATGATCCTCTCCCACTCAGCCTCCCAAAGTGCTAGGATTACAGGCATGAGCCACCATACTTGGCCCTTTTTTTTTTTTTTTTTTTTTTTTTTTTGAGACAGAGTCTTGCTCTGTCTCACAGGCTGGTGTGCAGTGGCACGATCTCAGCTCATTGCAACCTCCACCTCCCAGTTTCAAGTGATTTTTGTGCCTCAGCCTCCCTAGTAGCTGAGATTACAGGCATGCACCACCATGCCTGGCTGACTTTCATATCTTTAGTGTTGCCATGTTGGCTAGGCTGGTCTCAAACTCCTGACCTCATGTGATCCACCTGCCTCGGACTCCCACAGTGCTGGGATTACAGGTGTTAGCCACCACCCCGACATTATTTGAAACTTTTATTTTATCATGAGAGAGTTCCAGGAGTCAACTGAAGAGAGATTTTTGGTATGAAAATTACATATGCAAAAAGACTGATTCCAGTACATGAAATTAAATTCAACATTTACATTAAATGCCTTCAAATATGGTAAAATGGTTTCTTTTGGCAGTTTACCTCATTATGTTTTGAATGATTTGTCTATCATATGAAATAACTTTTATAAATATAGTAACTCAGGCCTGGGCACAGCGGCTCAAGTGGGAGGACTGCTTAAGCAACCGAGTTTGAGACCAGCGTGGACAACATGGGGAGACCCCTTCTCTCCCAAAAAATAGCTGAGCATGGCAGCGCACTGCTAAAGGAAACAGAGTTTCTTTGGTGGGTGATTAAAATGTTCTGGAGTTAGATAGTAGTGATGGTTGCACAACCTTGTGAATATATTAAGGTTTCCGCTCTATCTACCATTCAATTGTACTCTCTAAAACGATTAATTCTATAGTATATCAATTATATCTCTAAATAATAAAAACAAAAAGAAATGGCTGGGTGCGGTGGCTCATGCCTGTAATCGCAGCACTTTGGGAGGCTGAGGCGGGCGGATCACAAGGTCAGGAGTTTGAGACCAACCTGACCAACATGGCAAAACCCAGTCTCTACTAAAAATACAAAAATTAGCTGGGTGTGGTGGCACACGCCTGTAATCCTAGGTACTCGGGAAGCTGAGACAGGAGAATCACTTGAACCCGGGAGGCAGAGGTTGCAGTGAGCCACTGCACTCCAGTCTGGGTGGCAGAGCGAGACTCCGTCTCAAAAAGAAAAAAATTAAAAAACAAAAAGAAACCTGGTTCTATATTTTGTTTAAATTTATTTTTTTAACCATCATGTAATATGTCCAGGTAATTTGTTTAAATTTTGACATCAAATGCAATTGTGAGAATTTTTATGATTCAGAAAAATCTAAGCAAGCTTTATAAAAACATACTTTTTTTTTTACTTTTTTTTTTTTTTCTGAGACACAGCCTCACTCTGTCGCCCAGGCTGGAGTGCAGGTTTTCATGTTTATCTGTGAGATGTACCTTTGGCACATTACTTTCCTGACATGAGATTTAAATTTTTTTTTTTATCTTGTGACAATTTAACTTTTTTGACACATAAAAATTGTACATATTTATTTGTTTGAGATGGAGTCGCACTCTGTCACTCAGGCTGGAGTGCAGTGGCGTGATCTTGGCTCACTGCAACCTCCGCCTCCCGAGTTCAAGTGATTCTCCTGGCTCAGCCTCCCAAGCAGCTGTCATTACAGGCCTGCACCACCACACCCGGCTGATTTTTGTATTTTTAGGAGAAACAGGGTTTCACCATGTTGGCCAGGCTGGTCTTGAAGTCCTGACCTCAAGTGATCCACCCACCTTGGCCTCCCAAAGTGCTGGGATTATAGGCATGAGCCACCGTACCAGACCCCTAAAAATTGTATATATTTAAGGTGTACCATTTGATGTTTAGATATACATTGTGAAATGATTACATTCCACATATTACCTCTACAGAGTTACCATTTTTGTACACTTGGTCAACATCATCCCATTCTCCCCTTCCTCCACAGATATTTCTTGTATACTATATAGAAGCCAAGGGTATTTTGGGGGAAGAGCTCAAAGTTCCTTTCGTGGAGTTAAAAATATATATATACTATGTACATATAAGCCATTTAGCAACCCTAGATGCTTAATAAAGAATACTGGAGGCCCGGTGTGGTGGCTCACACCTGTAATCCCAGCACTTTGGGAGGCCGAGGCGGTCGGATTACGAGGTCAGGAGTTCAAGACCAGCCTGGCCAACATGGTGAAACCCCATCTTTACTAAAAATACAAAAATTAGCCGGGTGTGGTGGTGGGCGCCTGTAATCCCAGCTACTCGGGGGGCTGAGGCAGAATTGCTTGAACCTGGGAGGCAGAGGTTGCAGTGAGCTGAGATCACGCCACTGCATTCCAGCCTGGGTGACAGAGCAATACTCTGTCGCAAAAAAAAAAAAGAATACTGGAGGCTGGGCGAGGTGGCTCACACCTGTAATCCCAGCATTTTGGGATGCCAGAGGCGGGCGGAATATCTTGAGCTCAGGAGTTCGAGACCAGCCTACACAATATGCTCCAAACGCCGCCTCTACAAAACATACAGAAACTAGCCGGGTGTGGTGGCGTGCCCCTGTGGTCCTAGCTACTTGGGAGGTTGAGGCGGGAGGATCGCTTGAGCTCGGGAGGTCGAGGCTGCAATGAGCCGAGATGGTGCCACTGCACTCTGACGACAGAGCGAGACTCCGTCTCAAAACAAACAACAAATAAGGTTGGGGGATCAAATATCTTCTAGTGTTTAAGGATCTGCCTTCCTTCCTGCCCCCATGTTTGTCTTTCCTTGTTTGTCTTTATATAGATCAAGCAGGTTTTAAATTCCTAGTAGGAGCTTACATTTACTTTTCCAAGGGGGAGGGGGAATAAATATCTACACACACACACACACACACACACACACACACACACACACACACACACTGGAGTTCGAGACGAGGCCTAAGCAACATGCCGAAACCCCGTCTCTACTAAATACAAAAAATAGCTGAGCTTGGTGGCGCACGCCTATAGTCCTAGCTACTGGGGAGGCTGAGGTGGGAGGATCGCTTGAGCCCAAGAAGTCGAGGCTGCAGTGAGCCGAGATCGCGCCGCTGCACTCCAGCCTGAGCGACAGGGCGAGGCTCTGTCTCAAAACAAACAAACAAAAAAAAAAAGGAAAGGAAATATAACACAGTGAAATGAAAGGATTGAGAGAAATGAAAAATATACACGCCACAAATGTGGGAGGGCGATAACCACTCGTAGAAAGCGTGAGAAGTTACTACAAGCGGTCCTCCCGGCCACCGTACTGTTCCGCTCCCAGAAGCCCCGGGCGGCGGAAGTCGTCACTCTTAAGAAGGGACGGGGCCCCACGCTGCGCACCCGCGGGTTTGCTATGGCGATGAGCAGCGGCGGCAGTGGTGGCGGCGTCCCGGAGCAGGAGGATTCCGTGCTGTTCCGGCGCGGCACAGGCCAGGTGAGGTCGCAGCCAGTGCAGTCTCCCTATTAGCGCTCTCAGCACCCTTCTTCCGGCCCAACTCTCCTTCCGCAGCCTCGGGACAGCATCAAGTCGATCCGCTCACTGGAGTTGTGGTCCGCGTTTTTCTACGTCTTTTCCCACTCCGTTCCCTGCGAACCACATCCGCAAGCTCCTTCCTCGAGCAGTTTGGGCTCCTTGATAGCGTTGAGTGGAGGCCCTGCCGCGACTTGGCAGTAGCTTATTTTGTTCACTCCTCTCTGGCTGGTGTGGGGGAGGTGGGGGCATTAGGCCAGGGTGAAGCAGGGGAACCACTTAGGAGTCTGTTAAGATGATCTGAACTTCAGAACAAGATGTTATTAACAGAGTGAAAGTATTTGGATTCTGGGTATATTTTGAAATCGGAGGCAACAGGTTTTTCAGATAGATTCGATAACGGAGGTTATCCTGAATAGTTGAAAAGATAAAGTTGCCTTTTGCTGAGGTGGGAAAGAGAAGATTGCCAGTAGAGCAGGTTTCTCAGGAGTTCAGTCTTGGGCATAGCATGGTAGGGGTGAATTTGGCTGGAGTGAGTTGGAGAGTAGGAGAAGAGAAATCCAAGGCAACATTTGACCAGCCTGGGCAACATAGTGTGACTCCGAGTCTGCAAAAATTAGACGGGTGTTGTGGTGCGCGTCTGTGGTCTCAGCTACCTGGAAGGTTCAGGCCTTGGAAGGCTCAGGGAGGTGGAGGCTGCAGTGATCTGTGATTGCGCCTCTGCACTCCAGCCTGGGCGACAGAGCCAGACCCTGTCTTAAAACAAAATAAACGGCCGGGCGCGGTGGCTCAAGCCTGTAATCCCAGCACTTTGGGAGGCCGAGGCGGCCGGATCACAAGGTCAGGAGATCGAGACCATCCTGGCTAACACGGTGAAACCCCGTCTCTACTACAAATACAAAAAATTAGCCGGGCGTGGTGACGGGCGCCTGTAGTCCCAGCTACTCGGGAGGCTGAGGCAGGAGAATGTCATGAAGCCGGGAGGCGGAGCTTGCAGTGAGCCGAGATCGCGCCACTGCACTCCAGCCTGGGCGATAGAGCAAGACTCCGTCTCAAATAAATAAATAAATAAATAAATAAATAATAAAAACATCGGTAGGCATATTTCAAGGAATTCTATTTAAAAAAAATTTTTTTAGAGACAAGTTCGCTCTCTGTGGCCCAGGCTGGAGTACAGTGGCATGATCCTAGCCCATGGCAGCGTTGATCTCTTGGCCTCAAGCGACCCTCCTTTGGAGTCGCTGGGCCTAAAGGAGTGAGCCACCACGAAATTTTATTATAAATGGAGGGTAGAGAAATTGGGCAATAAATGGAGGGGGAAGTGAGTTAAGAGGAATTTTAATTATGTGTGTGTGGTTTTAAAAGAGGGGGGTCTTGCTCTGTTGCCCAGGCTGCTGGGGTGCCAGTGGCGCAATCATGAATCACTACAGCCTTGGACTCCTGGCCTCAAGCTATCCTCCCACCTCTGCCTCCCAAAGTACTGGGATTACTAGTGTGAGCCACTGCACTAAGATAGGAGCAACATGTTTCAGCATGTTTGTGGGTTGATAGGAAAGATGAGAATGGGAAAGTTGATGTCGGAAAGAAGACAATGGCTAGAGCAATGTCCTAGAGTAGGTAAGAAGGGATGGATTTGGCCTTTGTTGGAAACATTAGCGGTTCTTTTGGTGACAGCTATATAGTTAACACATCTATGATACGTGAATGGGCAGATAGGATGGCAGGAGATTTTGAAAGTTCTCTTGATTCTTACTGTTCTCTTAGTGAAAGAAGCAAGGTTATCAGCTAGAAGCTGGGATGGGAGAGGAAAGAGAAGATGGGAAGTAGATAGTTCTTTAGAAGAGTGGGCAAGGGTTGGACTAGGGAAGTTTAGTGGAAATATTGCTAGGCAACATAAAGAGCCTACTTGAGATTCGTGGTCATGAGTTGAAGGAGACCAGACAGCAAGATTGTGTATGAGGGCACCCACAGAGTAAATGGAGAGTTGAAATTAATGCAGTTGTGATTTTACCACGTGGATATGAAGAAGTGAGGGGGAGAAGTACAAAGGAGTTCTCTTAATGATTGACCATGGAATTTAAGCTGGCTAAGAAAGGAAGTGAGAGGCCGGGCGCGGTGGCTCACGCCTGTAATCCCAGCACTTTGGGAGACTGAGGTGGGTGGATTACCTGAGGTCAGGAGTTTGAGACCAACCTGGCCGATATGGCGAAACCCCATCTCTAATAAAAATACAGAAAAATTAGCCGGGAATGGTGGCAGGTGCCTGTAATCCCAGCTACTCAAGAGGCTGTGGCAGGAGTATCCCTTGGACCCAGGAGGTGGAGGTTGCAGTGAGCCGAGATCACGCCACTGTACTCCAGCCTGGACGATATAGTGAGACTTCACCTCAAAAAAAAAAAAAAAGAAAGGAAGTGAGGATTTTAAGACCCTGAGAGACAGTTTAAAAAGTGGGAGGATCGGCCGGGCGCTGTGGCTGACACCTGTAATCCCAGCACTTTGGGAGGCCGAGTTGGGCAGATCACAAGGTCAGGAGTTCGAGACCAGCCTGGCCAATATGGTGAAACCTTGTCTCTACTAAAAATACAAAAATTAGCCGGGCATGGTGTCACGTGTCTATAATCCCAGCTACTCGGGAGGCTGAGGCAGAAAAATTGCTTGAACCTGGGAGGCAGAGGTTGCAGACAGCTGAGATCACTCCATTGCACTCCAGCCTGGGCAACAAGAGCAAAACTTTGTCTTTAAAAAAAAAAAAAAAAAAAGAATACAAAAATTAGCCGGGCGTGGTGGCGCGTGCCTATAATCCCAGCTACTTGGGAGGCTGAGGCAGGAGAATCAGTTGAACACGGGAGGCGAGGTTTGCAGTGAGCCGAGATTGCGCCACTGCACTCCAGCCTGGGCGACAGAGCAGGACTCCTCTTGGAAAAAAAAAATTAGCTGGGCATGGTGGCAGGTGCCTGTAGTCTCAGCTACTAGGGAGGCTGAGGCAGGAAAATCACTTGAACCCGGGATGTGGAGTTTGCAGTGACCCGAGATCGTGCCACTGTACTCCATCCTGGGCGACAAAATGAGACTCTGCCTCAAAAAAAAAAAAAAAAAAAAGTGGGAGGATCAATGTACTGCCAGTCCTAATGAAGTGGAATGATTGTCCCCATCAAATCACTAGTAGGAGTAAGTTGCAGAGCCTAGAAGGTGATGGTTAAGAGAGTGGGATTCTTGAAACTGCATTTATGGAGAGGTTGTGGTTATTGGTTATAATAAATAAATACAGTTGAAGTGAGTGAGTAGCTGAGATTTGGGGATGTATCAGTTCATTCTTACACTGCTACAAAGACATACCTGAGACCAGGTATTTATAAAGATAAGAGGTTTAATCAGCTCACAGTTCTGCTGCCTGTACAGGCTTCTCTTGTGGAGGCCTAAGGAAACTTACAGTCATGGTGGAAGGTGAAGGGGAAACAAGCACAGTCTTCACATGGTCAGCAGGAGAGAGAGAGAAGGGGGAAGTGCTACATACTTTAAAACAACCAGATCTTGTGAGAACGCTTATCAGGAAACAGCACTTGGGGATGGTGCTAAATCATTAGAAATCACCCCCATGATCCAGTCGCCTCCTACCATGCCCACCTCCAACACTGGGGATCACAATTCAGCATGAGATTTGGGTAGGAACACAGAGCTGCACCACATCAGAGGATGTACAAGATTGTGGTGGAGAGGAGTTTAGAGACCTGCAAATATAGGGTAATTGAAGGGATCATCTACATGGATATTTAAATCACCAAAAATTATGACAGGAGTAGTGTTGGAGAGAGAACTGCGATGTAAACATTAAGGAATGAGGAAGAGTGACTCGGTAGGCTGTAGGTGACTGCAATAGGAAACGATAATAGACTGTGAGTCTGGTGACAAGATTTTCCTTCTTTCTTTTTTCCCCCCCCCCGAGACAGGGCCTCTTTTTGTTGCCCAGGTGGGAGTGCAGTGGCGCGATCACGGCTCACTACAACCTCCTCCCAAGCTCAAGGGATTCTCCCACTTCAGCCTCTCAAGTAGCTGGAACTACAGGTGCTGACCACCATGCCTGGCTACTTTTTGTCAGGATTTTCAAGGCTGGGAATTTTGAGAGGGGAATGGAGGAGAATAATCTGAAAGTGCAAGTAAGGAGCAGGGAAGATTTCTTTTTTCTTTTTTTTTTTTTTTTTGAGTCGGAGTCTGGCTCAGTCGCCCAGGCTGGAGTGCAGTGGCGAGATCTCCGCTCACTGCAAGCTCCGCCTCCCGGGTTCACGCCATTCTCCTCCTTCAGCCTCCCGAGTAGCTGGGACTACAGGCGCCCGCCACCACGCCCAGCTAATTGTTTTTTTGTATTTTTAGTAGAGACGGGGTTTCACCGTGTTAGCCAGGATGGTCTCAATCTCCTGACTTTGTGATCCGCCCACCCCGGCCTCCCAAAGCGCTTGGGATTACAGGCGTGAGCCACCGCGCCAGCCAGAGCAGGGAAGATTTCTTCCCCACATCTCCAGTAGGTACAGTGATATGAAGTGTGTGGAGGAGAAAAGAGGAAACATCTATCATTTGAGATGGCTGCGAAAGGAAAAGGCATCCTCAGGGAGCTAGATTTTACTTAGAGCAAGAAATGAAGGGATGATTCAGAGGTTAAAGAGTGGATTTTATGAATTACTCAAGGGAGCACAGTGGAAGTTTCAGGAAGTGGTAGGAGAAGGTAGAAGATGGCAGGGTGTTGGGAATAATTTGAGAAATCTGAGCTACTGGAAATGACTGAGAATCAGATATAAAGGCAGTCCTGGTGGTCCGTTCTGGCTGCCGTTGCTGTGTAACGAATCTGCCAAAACTTAGTGGCTTGAAACAACAAAGAACATTTTATTATCTCTCATTGTTTCTGTGGGTTAGGAATTTGTGAGAGCCGTGCTGGGCAGTTTTCGTGCGGCTGTCTCGTGGTTGCACCTACATAGTTGCTAGAGCTACAGTAGCTGGGGACTGAGCAGCTAGGGATTGGCAGGCTATCTCTTTTTTTCATGTAGTCTCATGAAGATTTCTTTATGTGGTTTCAATGTGTGGGCTGGTTTGGATTTCCTTATAGCATGGTGGCCTCAGTTGGATTGCTGTTTTGTGATCCTTTTCATCCCTCCTTGTCCTGTCCCCAGACAACCACTGATCTACTTTCTGTCACCATAGATTAGCCTGCATTTTTAAGAATTTTTATAAACGTGGAATGATAGAGTACCTTTTTTGTCACGTTTCTTTTATTTATCATAGCTATTTTGATTTTCATCCATTTTATTGCTGAGTAGTATCCCATTGCATGTATATACTATACTGTATTCATTCGCTTGCTTGTGAACATTTGGGCTTTTTCCAGTTTGGGACTGTTAACAAGTAGAGCCACTATGAATATTAGTGTATAAGACTTCATATAGCCAAGGCTGGCAGATCGCTTGAGCCCAGGAGTTTGAGACCAGCCTGGGAAACATGGTGAAACCTCTATTTTTATTTTAAAATCAAAAATTAAAAATTTTCTATAAAAAATTTTAAAGAAGACTTTGTATAGACATACGCTTTCATTTTTCTTGAGTGAATACTTAGGTCTCAGGGTAGATGTATTTTAAGTCTTTAAGGAGCTGTCAAACTCTTCCTCAAAGTGGTGGTTGTACCATGTTACTTTTTAATATAACAGAGATTAATTGAGCAAAGAAAAATTCAAAAGTTGGACAGCCCCCACAACTAAATAGGTTCAGAACAGCTCCCCCATTTTGCATTTTGACCAGCAATGTATGAAAGTTCCATTTGCTCAGTGTCCCTGCAAACACCTGGTATGGTCAGTCTTTTTAATTTTAGGCATTATAATAGATATAGTGGCTTCTTGTGATTTTAATTAGCATTTCCTAATGACCAGTGCTGCTGTTGATCATTTCATGAGTGTATTTGCCATCCGTATATCTTTTTTGGTGAAGTGTCTATTCAAATCATTTGGGTTTTTTTTTTGTTTGTTTTTTTTTTTTGGAGACAGTGTCTCACTCTGTCACCCAGGCTGTTGTGCAGTGGTGCAATCACACAGCCTACTGCAGCCTCCACCTCCTGCGCTCAGTCTTCTTGTCTCAGCCTTCTGAGTAGCTGAAATTACGAGCACACGCCACAATGCCTGGCTAATTTTTTAAAATTTTGTAGAAACAAGGTCTCATTATGTTGCCTGGGCTTGTCGTGAACTCCTGGGCTCAAGCAATCTTCCTGCCTCAGCCTCCCAAAGATTGGGATTGCAAGTATGAGCCACTGCACCCGGCCAACTTACCCATCTTTTAATTGAATTTTTTTGTTGTTGAGGTTTGAGAGTTCTTCATGTTTGCTGGGTACAATATCTTTATCAGATAGGTAACTTGCATGTATTTTCTCCCGGTTTACACTTTGGTTTTTCATTTTGTTAACAACGTCTTTTTAAGAACAGAAAATCTTAATTTTGCTGAAATCTAATTTTTCAGTTTTTTCTTTGATGGTTTTGAGAGAGGAGGTAAAAAAAGACTAGGTAAGCCGATAGTTAGACAGAGTCCTCGGTAGAACTTCCCTTCTAACAAAAAGCAGCCCAAGAAATCACTTCTCTTCTAACAAGGAGCAGCCTGGAAGATCGGGCTGTAAACATGTATAAGGAAGCAGCTCTGGCACAGAGGGGGAGCTTCCTGGGTAATCAGCAAGCTTCACATACGTAAGGTGGGTATGTGAAGTAAACACAGTATGTGAAGTAAACACAGTGGACCTTAGTACATACTCAGATAAGGAAGCTGGAAGCTTGCATGTTGTGAGTTGTTGGGGTTGCCTGCAGCTGCACGGAGAGAAAGGGGTACCTGGGGCCAGGCATGTCCACCATGGTGGCTCCACCTCCCCTTATTTAGCACATGCACAATAGGAAAGAGATAAGCAATGTGGAGTAGCTCAGGCCAAGGACCTGCCTGCATAATAAAAGGTTGGGGTGGGGGATGCCAGAGATTCACGCTCTGTGCAGATGGCAACACCTGGTCCTAACTGGTTTTTTGCTCCCTATGTGTAGATAAGCTACCCCCTTCCCATTAGCTCATTTATAAAAATGCTTGCATTTCACTGTGGAATGGGAACTCTTTTCAGGACCTCTCTCTGCAGGAGAGAGCTAGTCTCTTTCTTTTGCCTATTAAACTTCTGCTCTAGCCTCACACCCTTGGTGTGTCAGCGTCCTTGATTTCCTCAGCGTGAGACCAAGAACCTCGGGTGCCACCCCAGGCAACAAGGCCATTTCAGTTTGTTCTTTTGTTATAGGCAATCCATGATCACAGATTTTTCTCTCTTTTTTTTTTTTACACAGTTTAGAGTTTTAGTTTTACACTTAGGTCTGTAATCCATTTTGTATTAATTCTTATATGTGGCTCAGTGTAGGTGGAAATTTGGTTTGTTTTTGCATAAGGATTTCCAATAGTTTTACCACCATTTCTTGAAACTACTATGCTTTCTCTATTAAACCACATTTGTAACTTTAGTTAAAATCAGTCACATATATCACAGGGCTATTTCTGACTCTCAATTCTGTTACATTGTCTATTAGTGTATATTGATGTCAGTACTACACTTTTAATTACTATTGCTTCAGGGTATGTCTTGTAAACCAAAAATAAAATTATAGGCCCCCCCCGCCCCTGCACAACCAACTGAATGGACCCATCCTCTCAGCCAAGGGCATTCCAAAATTAACCTGAAAAACTAGTTCAAGCCATGATGGGAAGGGGGAGTTGGACATGTCTCATCACACCCTACTACCTTTTGGAATTACTGATAGAACAGACTCTTAAAGTCTGAAAAGAAACATTTACAACCTACCCTCTCTGAAGCCTGCTACCTGGGAGCTTCATCTGCATGATAAAACCTTGGTCTCCACAACCCCTTATGGTAACCCAAACATTCCTTTCTGTTGATAATAACTCTTTCAACTAGTTGCCAATTAGAAAATCTTTAAATCTTCCTATGACCTAGAAACCTCCCTACCCCCACTTTGAGTTGTCCTGCCTTTCCTGACAGAACTCATGTACATCTTACATATATTGATTGATGCCTCATGTCTCCCTAAAATGTATAAAACAAAGCTGTACCCCACCACCTTGGGGACATGTCATCAGGACCTCCTGTGGCTGTGTCATAGGAGCGTCTTTAACTTTGGCAAAATAAACTTTCTAAATTGATTGAAACCTGTCTTAGCTACTTCTGGTTTACAGTCTTAAAGTTAGATAATGTAAATTGTCCAGCTTTGGTTTATTTTTGTCCTTAGTAGTTCCATATAAATTTTAGAATCAGCTTTTCAATTTAATACACTACTTTCCTCTTAGATCCACAATTAAATATATTTGATGCTAACAATTCTGTTTTATGTTTTTCGTTTTTTTTTTTTGAGACAAGAGTTTCGCTCTTGTTGCCCAGGCTGGAGTGCAGTGGCGCGATCTTGGCTCACCACAACCTCCACCTCCCAGGTTCAAGCAATTCTTCTGCCTCAGCCTCCCGAGTAGCTGGGATTACAGGCATGCGCCACCACGCCCGGCTAATTTTGTATTTTTAGTAGAGACGGGGTTTCACCATGTTGATCAGGCTGGTCTTGAACTCCTGACCTCAGGTGATCCACCCACCTCGGCCTCCCAAAGTGTTGGGATTACAGGCGTGAACCACCATGCCTGGCCAGTTCTGTTATTTTTAAAACCCAAGTTTCCCTGGTCATATCTTGGTTGGATGAAGCGTATTTTCAATAGATTACCCTGGAAAGGCTAGTGAGTACGGTATTCTTCTACATTTTAGACTTTTCTTAGTCTTGCTACTTCAAGGACAGCTAGGCTGCATATAAAATTCTTGGCTCATACTTTTTCCCCATAAATTTCTATGAGAAAGTCTAATGATAACTGATTTTCTTTATTTTGTAACTTAGTCTTTTTGCTTAGAGGCTCTCTGAGGATGGGAGGGGGTTCTTCCTCCCATCCCTAGGAATTTTTCTTTTTTTTAAATTCCTAATCACTAGACCACCAGGAAGATTGTTTGTTTTGTTTTGTTTTTATTCTTCAGGGACCCCATTTATACATACGTTAAATAAATACTGTTTGCCAATGTATCAACCATTTTGCTTCTTATTTATTTTTGTTCCTTTGGTTCTTTTTCATGGCTTTGCTTTGGTGCTCCTTAGATTTTCAGTCAGATGTATTTGTCCTTGGGTACCTTGTAATCAGTATTACCTTTTCTTCTGTCGCTTTGTTTTCTGTTCGTTTTGAAATTACTTGTTTCCTGGTCTGGCAATAACAGTTGAGATATGAGGAGTTTGAGCTGCCATCTGTCTGTGTATCTTGCTTTAAGACTGCACTCTTCTATTGATATCACTGGCCTTGATTTTGTGATTTCTTTATTTCTTCAGGACCACCCTTCATTTTCTACTGTTTGCTTCCTTTTTTTTTGAGATGGAGTCTCACTCTGTCACTCAGGCTGGAGTGCAGTGATCTTGGCTCATTGCAACCTCTGCCTCCCGGGTTCCAGCAATTCTCCTGCCTCAGCCTCCCAAGTATCTGGGACTACAGGTGTGCACCACCATGCCCGGCTAAGTTTTGTATTTTTAATAGAGACGGGGTTTTGCCACATTGGCAGGCTGGTCTCAAACTCCTGATGTCAAGTGATCCACCCACCCCACCCACCTCTGCATCCCAAAGTGCTGGGATTACAGGAATGAGCTGCCGTGCCCAGCCTCCCCCCTACCCCCCTTTTTTTCTTTCGAGACAGAGATTATAGGTGTGAGCCACTGGACCCAGCCTGTTTTTATTCCTTTTACCAAATCTCCAAGGAATATCTTCCCTTCCAAGTGCGAATGTAACCTTAAGTCAGTTAACCTCTTTGTGATTACTTTTCTTATCTGCAAAGTGACTTAATGATCTTAAGTACTTTTTTTTTTTGAGACAGGGTCTCACTGTCACCCTGGCTGGAGTGCAGTGGCACGATCTCTGATCTCCACTCACTGCAATCTCCTCTTCCCTGGTTCAAGCGGCCCTCCCACCTTAGCCTTCTGGGTAGCTGGGACTACAGATGTGAACCACCACGCCCAGCTAATTTTTGTACTTTTTGTAGAGATGGGGTTTTGCCATGTTGCCCAGGCTGGGATTATTAAGTACTTTTTATCATACAGCAAGATTGACATTTTATATTGGAATACATTTGTCTCTATATAACGGAGATTAACAGGAAAATGACAAGCCTGGGTGCGGTGGCTCATGCCTGTAATCCCAGCACTTTGGGAGGCTGAGGTGGGAGGATCACTTGAGGTCAGGAGTTCGAGACCAGTTTTGCCAAGATGATGAAAGCCCATGTCTACTAAAAATACAAAAATTAGCCCAGCTTGATGGTGGGCGCCTATAATCCCAGCTATTTGAGAGACTGAGGCAGGAGAATCACTTGAACCTGGGCGGCAGAGGTTGCAGTGAGCCGAGATCATGCCACTGCACTCCAGCCTGGGTGGCATAGCGAGACTCTTGTCTCAAGAGAAAACAAAACAAAACAAAAAAAAAACAGGAAAATGACAAAAAGTAATATTACAACTCAGTGAATTTTATAACAAACTTTTTTGGAATTCATTGACTAATACTATACCAAATCCAAAATACTCTCTAGTATACCAAATCCAACTCTACCCTATAGTATAAATTGGATTCTATTTGGACTTGTCTCACTAATCCCTCATACAGTGTGTTTTATTTTTTATTGAAGTAAAAAAATTTGTCATTTTAACCATTTTTAAGTATATAGTTCAGTAATATTAAGTATGTTCATGTTGTTGCGCAATAGATCTTCGGAAGTTTTTCGTCTTGCAACCTGAAACTCTACCCATTAGCAAATTCCCATTTCTCCTTACACTTAGCCCTTGGTAATCATCATTCTTTTTTTTTTTTTTTTTTTTTTGAGATGGAGTTTTACTCTTGTTGCCCAGGCTGGAGTGCAATGGTGCAATCTCGACTCACCACAACCTCCGCCTCCCAGGTTCAAGCAATTCTACCTCAGCCTCCCGAGTAGCTGGAATTACAGTCATGCACCACCACGCCCGGCTAATTTTGTATTTTTAGTAGAGAAGGGGTTTCTCCATGTTGAGGCTGGTCTCGAACTCCTGACCTCAGGTGATCTGCCCACCTCGGCCTCCCAAAGTGCTGGGATTACAGGCGTGAGCCACTGCGCCTGGCCCATTCTTTCTAATTCTATAAATTTGACTACTTAGTTACCTTACATAAATAAATTCTTATAGTTAGTGTTATTTTTGCTTCCATGCCTTTTTTGTTGTTGTTCATGCTCTTACTTGGAATGCGTTCTATTTTGTCTACCTATGCACATCCTGTTGGGTTTTTTTTTTTTTTGGGGGGTTTTTTTTGTTTTTTTTTGTTTTTTTTTCCCAGACAAGGTCTCAATTTGTTACCCAGGCTGGAGTGCAGCGGCGCCATCTCCACTCACTGCATCCTCAACTTCCTGGGCCCAGGTGATCCTCTCGCCTCAGCCCCTGCAGGTAGCTGGGACTATAGGCATGTGCCACCATGCCCAGCTAAATTTGGTTTTTTTGTTTGTTTGTTTTTGAGACAGAGTCTCACTGTGTCACCCAGGCTGGAGTGCAGTGGCACAATCTCAGCTCACTGCAATCTCTGCCGCCCGGGTTCAAGTGATTCTCCTGCCTCAGCCTCCCAAGCAGCTGGGATTACAGGTGACTGCCACCACGCCAGCTAAGTTTTGTAGTTTTAGTAGAGATGGGGTTTCACCTTGTTGGCCATGCTGGTCTCGAACTCCTGACCTCGTGATCTGCCTGCTTCTGCCTCCCAAAGTGCTGGAATTACAGGCATGAGCCACCACGCCCGGCCAGAATTTTTGTATTTTTAGTAGACACAAGGTTCTTACCCTGTTGCCTAGGCTGGTCTGGAAGTCCTGGACTCAAGCAATTCACCTGCCTTGGCCTCCCAAAATGCTGGGATTACAAGCCACCATGCCCGGCCTAAATCCTGTTGTTTTGTTTTGTTTTATTTTGTTTTGTTTTGTTTTGTTTGTTTTTTGAGACAGAGTCTCGCTATGTCTCTCAGGCTGTAGTGCAGTGGCGCGATCTTGGCTCACTGCCACCTCTGCCTCCCAGGTTCAAGTGATTCTCCTGCCTCAGCCTCCCAAGTAGCTGGGATTACAGGCATGTGCTACTATGTCCGGCTAATTTTTGTATTTTTAGTAGAGACAGGGTTTCACCATGTTGGCCAGGCTGGTCTCGAACTCCTGACCTCGTGATCCACCCACCTCGGCCACCCAAAGTGCTGGGATTACAGGCGTGAGTGGTTTTTATTTCTTAGGCCGGTTTCCTCCATATGATCTTGCAGTAGACATTAATTTCTTTCCTTTTTAATTAAAATACTGTTTGTATTTCACATTTTGATGTTTGTTAAGATTTGTTTTATATTGTTTTTTGTTTTGTCTTGTGTGATAGTCTTAAATCCCTAGTTAGATAATAACTGGAGAGTACCATGTTTCTATATATCTCTCAGTGACTTGCACAGTGCTAGCAGATAGTGCTAAAAAATTATTTATTATTATTATTATTTTGTTATTGTTGTTGTTGTTGTTAGACAGGGTCTTCCTCTGTCACCCAGGCTAGAGGGCAATGGGATGATCATAGCTTACTGCAGCCTCCAACAACTGGGCTCATGTAATTCTCCTGCCTCAGCTTCCCAAGTAGCTGGGATTACAGGCATGAGCCACCATGTCTGGACAAAAATATTTCCAGGTGCAGTGGCTCATGCCTGTAATTCCCACACTTGGGAGGCCGAGCGAGGCTGGAGGATCACTTGAGCCTAGGAGTTCAAGACCAGCTTGGCTAAGATGGCGAGACCCCGTCCCTACAAAAAATTTTAAAAACTAGCCAGGCATGGTGGCATGCACCTATATTCCCAACTACTCAGTGGGCTGAGGTGGGAGGGTCGTTTGAACACAGGAATTTGAGGGGAGAAAAAAAGAAGAGAGAAAGAGAAGTGAAGGAAGGAAGAAAGGAAGGAGGGAGGGAGAGAAGAAAGAAACGAAAGAAAGGAAAAGAAAAGGAAGGAAAGAAAATTGGTACCAGGAAAGCAGGAAAGGGAAATGGAAGTAAAAAAATAATAATAATAATAAAATGAAAATTGGTTAGTCACTATTAACAATTTGTATCCTTATAATCTGGAAACATTATAATTTCAAAAGAAAAAATATTCTTTGGATCATAGGTTCTGAGGTCAGAACAGCATTCCCGTAGTCTAGATGAAGTCAAGTTTTATCTGATCTTAATTGAAATAAATATAGCTGGCCTTGAACAAATCTACTCATGGTATGTGGATAGGAATTAAATTGTAGGGGCATTCACTTGATGGCATTCATTCTTAGAACATTTACCTATGTCTAGCTTTTGGAGTAAAGTCACATAACCTCTAACCAGGTAAGTTTCCTGTGGCTTTATTTAGGATTTTAAATACTCATTTTCAGTGTAATTTTGTTATGTGTGGATTAAGATGACTCTTGGTACTAACATACATTTTCTGATTAAACCTATCTGAACATGAGTTGTTTTTATTTCTTACCCTTTCCAGAGCGATGATTCTGACATTTGGGATGATACAGCACTGATAAAAGCATATGATAAAGCTGTGGCTTCATTTAAGGTATGAAATGCTTGCTTAGTCGTTTTCTTATTTTCTCGTTATTCATTTGGAAAGGAATTGATAACATACGATAAAGTGTTAAAGTACATGTTATTCAGTTTTCATTTTGAAGATTAGATGGTAGTATGAGTTAGTTAAATCAGGTGATATCCTCCTTTAGAAGTTGATAGCCTATATATGTCATCCTTTGTGGAGGCAATTTAAATAAAATTTAAAACATTTATTCCTGGCTGGGTATGGTGGCTCACTCCTGTAATCCCAGCACTTTGAGAGGCTGAGGCGGGTGGATCACCTGAGGTCAGGAGTTTGAGACCAGCCTGGCCAACATGGTGAAACCCCGTCTTTACTAAAAATACAAAAATTAGCCAAGCATGGTGGCACGTGCCTGTAATCCCAGCTGCTTGGGACACTGAGGCAGGAGAATTGCTTGAACCTGGGGGGCAGAGGTTGCAATGATTGCACCACTGCACTCCAGCCTGGGCGATAGAGTGAGACTCCATCTCAGAAAACGAACAAACAATGTATTCCTTTTAGTATTTTTACATTGTATCAAACTATGGAAGTCCTCTAATTGAGATTAATAAGAAAAAGACAATCTGAATTATAATTTTAAACATTTAACAAGCATGTAGTAAAATAATGATGAAGATAAATAGCATTAGTACAGCAATTAATATTTGTAGCATGCTGACAGTGCTCTGTGTGCGTTTCATATATTAAATTACTCTAATCATCCCAAATCCTGTAAGTTGGGTATCAATTCAAGTGTTCCTATTGGGTAGGAATATACAGTTCTTTTAGGAAATGTAGTATGGTTCTGTGTCTCAAACAGGACACTTACACAGTTGGCCAACATCATCACCTTCTCCATTCTCTGAGATGTTTAGTCTTACTGAGCACTAAATATGGGTCATCAATAGTCCAGACTACCTTGAGCAAACAATAGTCCAGACTACCTTGAGCAAACAGAGCATATACTCATACAGTGTATAAAGAGCACCAAGCATACAGATTTCATGTCTTTCTCATAGTTACTCTTGTAACATGAGCTAAAGATCAGACCTCTATGTCACCTTTGTAACTGATTTCTAGATTTTTTTTTTTTTTTGAGATGGGGTCTTGCCCTGTCACCCAGGCTGGAGTGTAGTGGCGTGATCATGCCTCATTGGAGCCTTCAACTCATGAGCTCAAACAATCCTCCTACCTCAGCTTCCTGAGTAGTTGGGACCACAGGTGTGTGCCACCACACCCAGCTCATTTTTGTATTCTTTGTAGAGATGCAGTCTCACCCTGTTGCCCACGCTGGCCTGGAACTCCTGAGCTCAAAAGATCCCTCCGCCTTGACCTTCCAAAGTGCTGGGATTACAAGCATGAACCACTGCACCCGGCCTAGATTTTTAAATGTGCTTTCCAGTATACACTGAAACTAGAAGTCGACTAAAGAATTACCAAGAGAATTCTATAAAATAGAGATTGAAATGGGGCTCGATGTGGGATGGGTTGGTGATATTGCAGGGAGAAGTAATCTGAGTAAAGGAGGAAAAGAACTGATTTGGGAAAACGATAGTTTTAGTAGTGAGTTTGAGTATGAATTAAGTTGAGATTGAATTTGAATTAAGTTGAGGTTGAATATGAATTAAGTTGAGGTTGAGTTTGAGGTATGAATTAAGATGTGAAATTGATCATTGGAAATGTTAGATTGAGAAAAGTCACAGCTGGATTAATAGCTTCAGAAGTGTGTTTGCAGACAGTTGCAACTAAAGTAATAAGAATAGATGGCCTTGGCCGGGCGCGGTGGCTCACGCCTGTAATCCCAGTACTTTGGGAGGCTGAGGCGAGCAAATCACGAGGTCAGGAGTTCAAGACCAGCCTGGCCCACATGGTGAAACCCCGTCTTTATTAAAAATACAAAAATTAGCTGTGCACAGTGGTGCACGCCTGTAATCCCAGCTACTCGGGAGGCTGAGACAGGAGAATCGCTTGAACCTGGGAGGTGGAGGTTGCAGTGAGCTGAGATCAGTGTGACTGCACTCCAGCCCGGTGACAGAGTGAGACTCTGTGTAAAAAAATAAAATAAATAAAATAATGGCCGTAAGCAAGTAAAGAAGGATGGCCAGCTCTTATTGGGAATGCCTAAATCTAAGGCTTGATCAGAAGTAATGAAACCGTTGGGGCCCTACATTGCTATGACATCCAAAGGGCCATGAATATCAGGAAGAAAGATAATTAACAGGGTCTAATGTTACAGAGAGGTTGAGAGCAAGGAGATTTGATTAAAAGGGTCTTTAGAGCTGATGTCAGGTGTATGATGCCTTTAAGAGCAGTTTTTATAGTGCAGGGGGTGGTCAAAAGAGAAAATAGGTGCTTTCTGAGGTGACGGAGCCTTGAGACTAGCTTATAGTAGTAACTGGGTTATGTCGTGACTTTTATTCTGTGCACCACCCTGTAACATGTACATTTTTATTCCTATTTTCGTAGCATGCTCTAAAGAATGGTGACATTTGTGAAACTTCGGGTAAACCAAAAACCACACCTAAAAGAAAACCTGCTAAGAAGAATAAAAGCCAAAAGAAGAATACTGCAGCTTCCTTACAACAGGTTATTTTAAAATGTTGAGATTTAACTTCAAAGGATGTCTCATTAGTCCTTATTTAATAGTGTAAAATGTCTTTAACTTAAGTGATTAGTACAGTGTTTCTATTGACATATACTTATACAACTTCAAAAACAACTATTAAATTTTCTGTTATTTAGGAACATGCATATTAGTCATGAAAGTATAAAGAATTAGATGGGAATGATAAATGCTAAAATCAGGACATGTGTTCCATTTGTGAATGGAAGGCAGGGAGAAGGTGCCGTTTGGAAGGAGTACCCAAGAGCCGTAAGCTGAATTGGCAGTGTTTTACATCTTAAGCTGAGAGATAGATTTTTTTTTCCCCTTTTTCTTTAAAAACTCTAAAACTGTTAATTCCAAGGAACCCAGAAGTCTAGGTAGATTATTTCTGCTAGTTAAAAGCAGTAGTCCTGAAAGCTGAATATTTTGGTGTCTTTTGAGCCAACTTTAGTTTCATCATTACCAAGGGGGAAGAGAGCTAACAGTTGATGAGCACTTGCTCTAGGCCAGTCCAGAGTGCTGGGCACCATACGCATTTTATCTCCCTCCCGCTATTCACAACAAATATGGGAGGTAGTTTATATTATAGCCATCTAATAAGATGGGGAAACTAAGACTCAAAGAGATTCAGAAACTTGTCCATGATTATAAATGTAAGAGAGTTGGAATTCAGATTTATGTATTTAGACCCCAAGCCTTTCTCATTACATCATTTTGCCTTCCAAATCTCTACCCTCTATCCTTCACCTCCCCACTGATCAAAACGAGATGATAGTTTGCCCTCTTCAAAAGAAATGTGTGCATGTATATATCTTTGATTTCTTTTGTAGTGGAAAGTTGGGGACAAATGTTCTGCCATTTGGTCAGAAGACGGTTGCATTTACCCAGCTACCATTGCTTCAATTGATTTTAAGAGAGAAACCTGTGTTGTGGTTTACACTGGATATGGAAATAGAGAGGAGCAAAATCTGTCCGATCTACTTTCCCCAATCTGTGAAGTAGCTAATAATATAGAACAGAATGCTCAAGAGGTAAGGATACAAAAAAAAAAAAATTCAATTTCTGGAAGCAGAGACTAGATGAGAAACTGTTAAACAGTATACACAGTTGTCAGTTTGATCCACCGAGGCATTAATTTTTTCTTAATCACACCCTTATAACAAAAACCTGCATATTTTTTCTTTTTAAAGAATGAAAATGAAAGCCAAGTTTCAACAGATGAAAGTGAGAACTCCAGGTCTCCTGGAAATAAATCAGATAACATCAAGCCCAAATCTGCTCCATGGAACTCTTTTCTCCCTCCACCACCCCCCATGCCAGGGCCAAGACTGGGACCAGGAAAGGTAAACCTTCTATGAAAGTTTTCCAGAAAATAGTTAATGTCGGGACATTTAACCTCTCTGTTAACTAATTTGTAGCTCTCCCATGAAACTTTTGTAGCTTAAATACACAAGAATTTTTTGAAAAGGAAATAAGATAATGATGCAAAATAGTTAATTTTTTAAAAAAATGTTAGACACTGCAGTGGATGCAACAAAATACTTTATATGAAAGATTTATCCAGTTAACTTTTGTGGAGTATTAGGTATTAGACTAATAATTAGCACACTTACTTAAGTTAGAAAGTATAATAATGCGCCGGACGCGGTAGCTCACGCCTGTAATCCCAGCACTTTGGGAGGCCAAGGTGGGCGGATCACAAGGTCAGGAGATCGAGACCATCCTGGCTAACACGGTGAAACCCCATCTCTACTGAAAATACAAAAAAATTTGCCGGGCGTGATGGTGGGCACCTGTAGTCCCAGCTACTCGGGAGGCTGAGGCAGGAGGATGGTGTGAACCCCGGAGGCAGAGCTTGCAGTGAGTCAAGATCGTGCCACTGCACTCCAACCTGGGCGACAGAATGAGACTCCATCTCAAACAAAAAAACAAAACAAAACAAAAAAAAGTGTAATAATAATTTATCATTAGCTGGATGATATGCTGTTGTTTCCCATGTCACCTGTATAAGATATGTAAAATAAGAACACATTATTTACATCTAATATAGATAAAATCCTGAGGCGCTCTCAGATTGTTTTGTAGAGTTCAAATGTAAATATTGTTTTCATTTATGGTCCTTTTGGTTATAAGTAACAGAAATCAACTCTAAAAAGATTTTTATTATAGGTTAGATTATGTCATGGAACCTTAAGGCTTGTCCCTTTCTAGTTCTTTTGTGTAAAGCGGTGATTTCTTCCATGGAGGGAATGGTATTTAGGCAATTTTTTTTTTTTTTCGAGATGGAGTCTTGCTCTGTCGCTCAGGCTGGAGTGCAGTGGCACCATTTCAGCTCACTGCAACTTCCACCTCCTGGGTTCAAGTGATTCTCCTGCTTCAGCCTCCCAAGTAGCTGAGATTACAGGCACCCGCCACCACACCC
The DNA here is from genome assembly GCF_000001405.40 of Homo sapiens. Lineage (NCBI taxonomy): Eukaryota > Metazoa > Chordata > Mammalia > Primates > Hominidae > Homo > Homo sapiens. The sequence goes on from NT_187651.1 coordinate 492,383, forward strand.
GGCTTATTTTGTATTTTTAGTAGAGATGGGGTTTCACCATGTTGGCCAGGCTGGTCTTGAACTCCTGACCTCAAGTGATCTCCCCACCTTGGCCTTCCAAAGTGCTAGGATTACAGGCGCCTAGCCTAGGCAGTCATTTTCAAAAAACAAGCATGACTCACCAAAAGTTTTAAGATTTTCTGTGATAATGTTCTTATTGAGGCTTACATTATATTACAGTTTCTTGAATCTAAAATGATGTACCCTCTTAGGATATATACATCATGCTTCATTGGTCTCAGGGGGCTGATTTTTATAAGGAGAGATTTGCTAGTTTTCACAATATGTCCTCTAAGTTGGCATGTATAGCTAAACAGGCTTTCATAAAAATATACAATTTAGTTAATGAAATTTGGGATATAGTCTTTTATGATTGAAATAATTTTGCTAAATAGACTGTCTCTGATTTATTAGGTAATCACCACTCTTATTTTGTTTTACTTCCTTAATGTCTACATAGAAAGGAAATGAGAAAAATCCAGAGGTTGTCATTTGACTTATGAGTCTGTTTGACTTCAGGATTTGGTACATGAAATTTCACTTAATCTTTTTGATATGTATAAAACAAATATTCTGGGTAATTATTTTTATCCTTTTGGTTTTGAGTCCTTTTTATTCCTATCATATTGAAATTGGTAAGTTAATTTTCCTTTGAAATATTCCTTATAGCCAGGTCTAAAATTCAATGGCCCACCACCGCCACCGCCACCACCACCACCCCACTTACTATCATGCTGGCTGCCTCCATTTCCTTCTGGACCACCAGTAAGTAAAAAAGAGTATAGGTTAGATTTTGCTTTCACATACAATTTGATAATTAGCAGAATAGAGGATTGTAAAATGTCATTGTAGAACATCCCTTGGGCCAGATTCTAATGGGTAGAAATTTGAACTAAACCTCTGGGTTTTGTTTGTTTTTAATGCCTTTCTGTTACCCAGATGCAGTGCTCTTGTAGTCCCAAGTCTAAGCTCTAGGTTGCCTTCTTTCCTGGCAGAAGTTGGTGTCTATGCCATAAGGAGGTAGTTCCTGTTAGAAGGGATTTAATTATACCTTATATAAGGAATTAGTGTTTGCCCTTCTAGGTATAGTTGGATGTTAGCTTCTGATGTAAACTGGATTTCTTTTTCTTTCTCTCTCTTTTTTTTTTTTTGTTTTGGAGGCAGAGTTTTGCCCTTGTACCCCAGGCTGGAGTGCAGTGGTGTGATCTCAGCTCACAGCAACCTCCGCCTCCTGGGTTCAAGCAATTCTGCCTCGGCCTCCCAAGTAGCTGGGATTACAGGCGACTGCCACCACACCCGGCTAATTTTTGTTTTATTAGTAGAGATGGGGTTTCACCATGTTGGCCAGACTGATCTTGAACTCCTGACCTCAGGTGATCCACCCGCCTTGGCCTCCCAAAGCGCTGGGATTACAGGCGTGAGCTGCCGCACCCAGCTGTAAACTGGATTTCTAATGGTAGATTTTTAGGTATTAACAATAGATAAAAAGATACTTTTTGGCATACTGTGTATTGGGATGGGGTTAGAACAGGTGTTCTACCCAAGACATTTACTTAAAATCGCCCTCGAAATGCTATGTGAGCTGTGTGTGTGTGTGTGTGTGTGTGTGTGTATTAAGGAAAAGCATGAAAGTATTTATGCTTGATTTTTTTTTTTTACTCATAGCTTCATAGTGGAACAGATACATAGTCTAAATCAAAATGTTTAAACTTTTTATGTCACTTGCTGTCTTTTCGTCCTCGTTAAATTTAATTTTGTTGGTCTTTTGTTGTTATTGGTTGGTTTTCTCCAAATGCTAGCTATGTTAAGAAATTTAAGGCCAGGTACAGTGGCTCATGCCTGTAATCCCGGCATTTTAGAAGGCTGAGGCAGGAGGATCACTTGAGCTCAGGAGTTTGAGACCAGTCTGGGCAACATAGCAAGACCTCGTCTTTGTTTAGGGGAAAAAAAAGAAATTTAAGTAGGAGATTATATAAGCAAAAATACAATTAATTTCCAGCATTCACTATATAATATAAATCTCCAGACTTTACTTTTTTGTTTACTGGATATAAACAATATCTTTTTCTGTCTCCAGATAATTCCCCCACCACCTCCCATATGTCCAGATTCTCTTGATGATGCTGATGCTTTGGGAAGTATGTTAATTTCATGGTACATGAGTGGCTATCATACTGGCTATTATATGGTAAGTAATCACTCAGCATCTTTTCCTGACAATTTTTTTGTAGTTATGTGACTTTGTTTTGTAAATTTATAAAATACTACTTGCTTCTCTCTTTATATTACTAAAAAATAAAAATAAAAAAATACAACTGTCTGAGGCTTAAATTACTCTTGCATTGTCCCTAAGTATAATTTTAGTTAATTTTAAAAAGCTTTCATGCTATTGTTAGATTATTTTGATTATACACTTTTGAATTGAAATTATACTTTTTCTAAATAATGTTTTAATCTCTGATTTGAAATTGATTGTAGGGAATGGAAAAGATGGGATAATTTTTCATAAATGAAAAATGAAATTCTTTTTTTTTTTTTTTTTTTTTGAGACGGAGTCTTGCTCTGTTGCCCAGGCTGGAGTGCAATGGCGTGATCTTGGCTCACAGCAAGCTCTGCCTCCTGGATTCACGCCATTCTCCTGCCTCAGCCTCAGAGGTAGCTGGGACTACAGGTGCCTGCCACCACGCCTGTCTAATTTTTTGTATTTTTTTGTAAAGACAGGGTTTCACTGTGTTAGCCAGGATGGTCTCAATCTCCTGACCCCGTGATCCACCCGCCTCGGCCTTCCAAGAGAAATGAAATTTTTTTAATGCACAAAGATCTGGGGTAATGTGTACCACATTGAACCTTGGGGAGTATGGCTTCAAACTTGTCACTTTATACGTTAGTCTCCTACGGACATGTTCTATTGTATTTTAGTCAGAACATTTAAAATTATTTTATTTTATTTTATTTTTTTTTTTTTTTTGAGACGGAGTCTCGCTCTGTCACCCAGGCTGGAGTACAGTGGCGCAGTCTCGGCTCACTGCAAGCTCCGCCTCCCGGGTTCACGCCATTCTCCTGCCTCAGCCTCTCCGAGTAGCTGGGACTACAGGCGCCCGCCACCACGCCCGGCTAATTTTTTTTTATTTTTAGTAGAGACGGGGTTTCACCGTGGTCTCGATCTCCTGACCTCGTGATCCACCCGCCTCGGCCTCCCAAAGTGCTGGGATTACAAGCGTGAGCCACCGCGCCCGGCCTAAAATTATTTTTAAAAGTAAGCTCTTGTGCCCTGCTAAAATTATGATGTGATATTGTAGGCACTTGTATTTTTAGTAAATTAATATAGAAGAAACAACTGACTTAAAGGTGTATGTTTTTAAATGTATCATCTGTGTGTGCCCCCATTAATATTCTTATTTAAAAGTTAAGGCCAGACATGGTGGCTTACAACTGTAATCCCAACAGTTTGTGAGGCCGAGGCAGGCAGATCACTTGAGGTCAGGAGTTTGAGACCAGCCTGGCCAACATGATGAAACCTTGTCTCTACTAAAAATACCAAAAAAAATTTAGCCAGGCATGGTGGCACATGCCTGTAATCCGAGCTACTTGGGAGGCTGTGGCAGGAAAATTGCTTTAATCTGGGAGGCAGAGGTTGCAGTGAGTTGAGATTGTGCCACTGCACTCCACCCTTGGTGACAGAGTGAGATTCCATCTCAAAAAAAGAAAAAGGCCTGGCACGGTGGCTCACACCTATAATCCCAGTACTTTGGGAGGTAGAGGCAGGTGGATCACTTGAGGTTAGGAGTTCAGGACCAGCCTGGCCAACATGGTGACTACTCCATTTCTACTAAATACACAAAACTTAGCCCAGTGGCGGGCAGTTGTAATCCCAGCTACTTGAGAGGTTGAGGCAGGAGAATCACTTGAACCTGGGAGGCAGAGGTTGCAGTGAGCCGAGATCACACCGCTGCACTCTAGCCTGGCCAACAGAGTGAGAATTTGCGGAGGGAAAAAAAAGTCACGCTTCAGTTGTTGTAGTATAACCTTGGTATATTGTATGTATCATGAATTCCTCATTTTAATGACCAAAAAGTAATAAATCAACAGCTTGTAATTTGTTTTGAGATCAGTTATCTGACTGTAACACTGTAGGCTTTTGTGTTTTTTAAATTATGAAATATTTGAAAAAAATACATAATGTATATATAAAGTATTGGTATAATTTATGTTCTAAATAACTTTCTTGAGAAATAATTCACATGGTGTGCAGTTTACCTTTGAAAGTATACAAGTTGGCTGGGCACAATGGCTCACGCCTGTAATCCCAGCACTTTGGGAGGCCAAGGCAGGTGGATCACGAGGTCAGGAGATCGAGACCATCCTGGCTAACATGGTGAAACCCCGTCTCTACTAAAAGTACAAAAACAAATTAGCCGGGCATGTTGGCGGGCACCTTTTGTCCCAGCTGCTCGGGAGGCTGAGGCAGGAGAGTGGCGTGAACCCAGGAGGTGGAGCTTGCAGTGAGCCGAGATTGTGCCAGTGCACTCCAGCCTGGGCGACAGAGCGAGACTCTGTCTCAAAAAATAAAATAAAAAAGAAAGTATACAAGTCAGTGGTTTTGGTTTTCAGTTATGCAACCATCACTACAATTTAAGAACATTTTCATCACCCCAAAAAGAAACCCTGTTACCTTCATTTTCCCCAGCCCTAGGCAGTCAGTACACTTTCTGTCTCTATGAATTTGTCTATTTTAGATATTATATATAAACGGAATTATACGATATGTGGTCTTTTGTGTCTGGCTTCTTTCACTTAGCATGCTATTTTCAAGATTCATCCATGCTGTAGAATGCACCAGTACTGCATTCCTTCTTATTGCTGAATATTCTGTTGTTTGGTTATATCACATTTTATCCATTCATCAGTTCATGGACATTTAGGTTGTTTTTATTTTTGGGCTATAATGAATAATGTTGCTATGAACATTCGTTTGTGTTCTTTTTGTTTTTTTGGTTTTTTGGGTTTTTTTTGTTTTGTTTTTGTTTTTGAGACAGTCTTGCTCTGTCTCCTAAGCTGGAGTGCAGTGGCATGATCTTGGCTTACTGCAAGCTCTGCCTCCCGGGTTCACACCATTCTCCTGCCTCAGCCCGACAAGTAGCTGGGACTACAGGCGTGTGCCACCATGCACGGCTAATTTTTTGTATTTTTAGTAGAGATGGGGTTTCACCGTGTTAGCCAGGATGGTCTCGATCTCCTGACCTCGTGATCTGCCTGCCTAGGCCTCCCAAAGTGCTGGGATTACAGGCGTGAGCCACTGCACCTGGCCTTAAGTGTTTTTAATACGTCATTGCCTTAAGCTAACAATTCTTAACCTTTGTTCTACTGAAGCCACGTGGTTGAGATAGGCTCTGAGTCTAGCTTTTAACCTCTATCTTTTTGTCTTAGAAATCTAAGCAGAATGCAAATGACTAAGAATAATGTTGTTGAAATAACATAAAATAGGTTATAACTTTGATACTCATTAGTAACAAATCTTTCAATACATCTTACGGTCTGTTAGGTGTAGATTAGTAATGAAGTGGGAAGCCACTGCAAGCTAGTATACATGTAGGGAAAGATAGAAAGCATTGAAGCCAGAAGAGAGACAGAGGACATTTGGGCTAGATCTGACAAGAAAAACAAATGTTTTAGTATTAATTTTTGACTTTAAATTTTTTTTTTATTTAGTGAATACTGGTGTTTAATGGTCTCATTTTAATAAGTATGACACAGGTAGTTTAAGGTCATATATTTTATTTGATGAAAATAAGGTATAGGCCGGGCACGGTGGCTCACACCTGTAATCCCAGCACTTTGGGAGGCCGAGGCAGGCGGATCACCTGAGGTCGGGAGTTAGAGACTAGCCTCAACATGGAGAAACCCCGTCTCTACTAAAAAAAATACAAAATTAGGCGGGCGTGGTGGTGCATGCCTGTAATCCCAGCTACTCAGGAGGCTGAGGCAGGAGAATTGCTTGAACCTGGGAGGTGGAGGTTGCGGTGAGCCGAGATCACCTCATTGCACTCCAGCCTGGGCAATAAGAGCAAAACTCCATCTCAAAAAAAAAAAAATAAGGTATAAGCGGGCTCAGGAACATCATTGGACATACTGAAAGAAGAAAAATCAGCTGGGCGCAGTGGCTCACGCCGGTAATCCCAACACTTTGGGAGGCCAAGGCGGGTGAATCACCTGAAGTCGGGAGTTCCAGATCAGCCTGACCAACATGGAGAAACCCTGTCTCTACTAAAAATACAAAACTAGCCGGGCATGGTGGCGCATGCCTGTAATCCCAGCTACTTGGGAGGCTGAGGCAGGAGAGTTGCTTGAACTGAGAAGGCGGAGGTTGCGGTGAGCCAAGATTGCACCATTGCACTCCAGCCTGGGCAACAAGAGCGAAACTCCGTCTCAAAAAAAAAAGGAAGAAAAATATTTTTTTAAATTAATTAGTTTATTTATTTTTTAAGATGGAGTTTTGCCCTGTCGCCCAGGCTGGGGTGCAATGGTGCAATCTCGGCTCACTGCAACCTCCGCCTCCTGGGTTCAAGTGATTCTCCTGCCTCAGCTTCCCGAGTAGCTGTGATTACAGCCATATGCCACCACGCCCAGCCAGTTTTGTGTTTTGTTTTGTTTTTTGTTTTTTTTTTTTGAGATGGTGTCTTGCTCTGTCCCCCAAGCTGGAGTGCAGCGGCGCGATCTTGGCTCACTGCAAGCTCTGCCTCCCAGGTTCACACCATTCTCTTGCCTCAGCCTCCCGAGTAGCTGGGACTACAGGTGCCCGCCACCACACCCGGCTAATTTTTTTGTGTTTTTAGTAGAGATGGGGTTTCACTGTGTTAGCCAGGATGGTCTCGATCTCCTGACCTTTTGATCCACCCGCCTCAGCCTCCCCAAGTGCTGGGATTATAGGCGTGAGCCACTGTGCCCGGCCTAGTCTTGTATTTTTAGTAGAGTCGGGGTTTCTCCATGTTGGTCAGGCTGTTCTCCAAATCCGACCTCAGGTGATCCGCCCGCCTTGGCCTCCAAAAGTGCAAGGCATTACAGGCATGAGCCACTGTGACCGGCAATGTTTTTAAATTTTTTAAATTTAAATTTTATTTTTTAGAGACCAGGTCTCACTCTATTGCTCAGGCTGGAGTGCAAGGGCACATTCACAGCTCACTGCAGCCTTGACCTCCAGGGCTCAAGCAGTCCTCTCACCTCAGTTTCCCGAGTAGCTGGGACTACAGTGATAATGCCACTGCACCTGGCTAATTTTTATTTTTATTTATTTATTTTTTTTTGAGACAGAGTCTTGCTCTGTCACCCAGGCTGGAGTGCAGTGGTGTAAATCTCAGCTCACTGCAGCCTCCGCCTCCTGGGTTCAAGTGATTCTCCTGCCTCAGCCTCCCAAGTAGCTGGGATTAGAGGTCCCCACCACCATGCCTGGCTAATTTTTTGTACTTTCAGTAGAAATGGGGTTTTGCCATGTTGGCCAGGCTGTTCTCGAACTCCTGAGCTCAGGTGATCCAACTGTCTCGGCCTCCCAAAGTGCTGGGATTACAGGCGTGAGCCACTGTGCCTAGCCTGAGCCACCACGCCGGCCTAATTTTTAAATTTTTTGTAGAGACAGGGTCTCATTATGTTGCCCAGGGTGGTGTCAAGCTCCAGGTCTCAAGTGATCCCCCTACCTCTGCCTCCCAAAGTTGTGGGATTGTAGGCATGAGCCACTGCAAGAAAACCTTAACTGCAGCCTAATAATTGTTTTCTTTGGGATAACTTTTAAAGTACATTAAAAGACTATCAACTTAATTTCTGATCATATTTTGTTGAATAAAATAAGTAAAATGTCTTGTGAAACAAAATGCTTTTTAACATCCATATAAAGCTATCTATATATAGCTATCTATGTCTATATAGCTATTTTTTTTAACTTCCTTTATTTTCCTTACAGGGTTTCAGACAAAATCAAAAAGAAGGAAGGTGCTCACATTCCTTAAATTAAGGAGTAAGTCTGCCAGCATTATGAAAGTGAATCTTACTTTTGTAAAACTTTATGGTTTGTGGAAAACAAATGTTTTTGAACATTTAAAAAGTTCAGATGTTAAAAAGTTGAAAGGTTAATGTAAAACAATCAATATTAAAGAATTTTGATGCCAAAACTATTAGATAAAAGGTTAATCTACATCCCTACTAGAATTCTCATACTTAACTGGTTGGTTATGTGGAAGAAACATACTTTCACAATAAAGAGCTTTAGGATATGATGCCATTTTATATCACTAGTAGGCAGACCAGCAGACTTTTTTTTATTGTGATATGGGATAACCTAGGCATACTGCACTGTACACTCTGACATATGAAGTGCTCTAGTCAAGTTTAACTGGTGTCCACAGAGGACATGGTTTAACTGGAATTCGTCAAGCCTCTGGTTCTAATTTCTCATTTGCAGGAAATGCTGGCATAGAGCAGCACTAAATGACACCACTAAAGAAACGATCAGACAGATCTGGAATGTGAAGCGTTATAGAAGATAACTGGCCTCATTTCTTCAAAATATCAAGTGTTGGGAAAGAAAAAAGGAAGTGGAATGGGTAACTCTTCTTGATTAAAAGTTATGTAATAACCAAATGCAATGTGAAATATTTTACTGGACTCTATTTTGAAAAACCATCTGTAAAAGACTGGGGTGGGGGTGGGAGGCCAGCACGGTGGTGAGGCAGTTGAGAAAATTTGAATGTGGATTAGATTTTGAATGATATTGGATAATTATTGGTAATTTTATGAGCTGTGAGAAGGGTGTTGTAGTTTATAAAAGACTGTCTTAATTTGCATACTTAAGCATTTAGGAATGAAGTGTTAGAGTGTCTTAAAATGTTTCAAATGGTTTAACAAAATGTATGTGAGGCGTATGTGGCAAAATGTTACAGAATCTAACTGGTGGACATGGCTGTTCATTGTACTGTTTTTTTCTATCTTCTATATGTTTAAAAGTATATAATAAAAATATTTAATTTTTTTTTAAATTAGCTGTATCTGTGATTGTATTTCTTTTTTGCATATTATTTTGCCCTTTGGCCCATATTTTGATATGGATGCCACCATAGCATTTTGTGTATGTGCATGTGTATTCCCACTTAATGTCACATTTTTCATGTCTTTACATATTCTTATTTTTGTTTGTTTTTGAGACAGAGTCTCGCTCTGCTGCCCACGCTGGAGTGCAGTGGTGCAATCTCAGCTCACTGCAACCTCTGCTATCCGGGTTCAAGCGGTTCTCGTGCCTCACCCACGTGAGTAGTTGGGATTACAGGCATGTGGCACCATGCCCCACTAAGTTTTGTATTTTTAGTAGAGATGGAGTTTCACCATGTTGGCCAGGCTGGTCTCAAACTCCTGCCCTCAAGTGATTCGACCACCCTGGCCTCCCAAAGTGCTGGGATTACAGCCGTGAGCCACCGCACACGGCCTCTCTATTTATTTCTATACATAGCTTTTCACATTATATTATGTTTATATATTGTTTATATCTGTATTTCCTCTTTCATTAGAGAAAAGGTAGTACATCTTATTCTTCATGGTGTCTACAATATCTGGCAGTTTTTGGAAGTCAAGCGTGAGCTTAGAGCATAGACTGGTGGGATTGTCAAAGAAGAGGGCAACTGGAAGAGAACTGTCAGTTATTTTTGGATCAGTCTTTAATTCATCATGACGGGTTAGGCATTAGTTGTATTTCTTGCTAATTTTGAAGAAGACTTATTAACAAATCCTACATTAGGTAAATGGTTTTGAAAGTTGAGTTAATCATAATGGTGTTTGACCTAGGACTATTTTTAGGCCCTATTTATCTTAATATCGAATAATGAAGCAGCTTCCCCCTTAGATATAGACAGAAAACATCAAAGCCACCACACTACCTGGCTGGATTTATCCTAGTAATAAAATCAAAACTGAGCTAGTTCTCTGGCTTTCATTGTAATAATTGTCCTTGTGGTTGTAAGGAATCTAGATGAAAATTACATGGTCTGTTCTACAGCCACAGCTGTACCTACGTTCAGAAGACAGACAAAAGTTGCTGTGTTTGAAGAGATCCTTCATTAAGGGATCAGACAGAGATTACTTTGAGACATATTCTAAGTTTAACTTTTCTGCAGGGTTGCCATTAACAGAAATAAACTACACAGTTAATTTCTTTTTGTTTTTGATACAGTCTAACTCTCACCCAAGCTGGAGTGCAGTGGCGCAATTTCAGCTCACTGCAACCTCTGCCTCCCAGGTTCAAGCAATTCTCCTGCCTCAGCCTCCCGAGCAGCTGGGACTACAGGCATGTGCCACTATGCCTGGCTAATTTTTGTATTTTTAGTAGTAGAGACGTGGTTTCGCCACGTTGGCCAGGCTGGTCTGGAACTCCTGACCCCAGGTAATCCACCTGCCTCGGCCTCCCAAAGTGCTGGGATTACAAGCTTGAGCCACTACGCCTGACCCAGAGTTAACTTTTTAAAAAAGTTTTTATGAACTTAAGTCTTGTGATGTTTGAAATAATGGATTCAATTTAGACATCAAATTCCAGAAGTTACTAAGAGCAGCTGGGCGCGGCAGCTCACACCTGTAATCCCAGCACTTTGGGAGGCCGAGGCGGGTGGATCACCTGAGATCAGGAGTTCCAGACCAGCCTGGCCAACATAGTAAAACCCTGTCTCTACTAAAAATACAAAAATTAGCCCGGCATGGTGGCACGCCCTGTAGTCCCAGCTACTTGGGAGGCTGAGGCAGGAGAATTGCTTGAACCCGGGAGGTGGAGGTTGTGGTGAGCCGAGATTGTGCCGCTGTACTCAAGCCTGGGCTAAAAAGCGAGACTCCGTCTCAAAAAAAAAAAAAAAAAAACACGTTACTAAGAGCAACTCTGGGCCAGGCACGGTGGCTTACACCTGTAATCCCAGCATTTTGGGAGGACGAGACAGGCGGATCACTTGAGCCCAGGAGTTCAAGACCAGCATAAGCAACAACGCAAAACCCCTGACTCTACAAAAAATGAAAGAATTAGCAAGGCATGGTGGTGCATGCCTGTAGTCCCAGCTACTGGAGAGGCTGAGGCAAAAGGATCACTTGAGTACAGGAGGTTGAGGCTGTATAATGAGCCATGTTCACACCATTGCACTTCAGCCTGGGCAACAGACTGAGACCCTGTCTCAAAAAAAAAAACCAAACCAAAGCAACAAACAAAAAACAAGAGCAACTCTGCTTCTGTACACTTTTTTTTTTTTTTTGGTAGTGACATGATCTATGTTGCCCAAGCTGGTCTCGAGTTCCTGGGTTCAAGCCATTCTCCCACCTCGGGCTCCCAAAGTGCTAGGATTACAGGCATGAATCACCATGCCCAGCCCTTCTGTACACTTTTCACAGTGTACCCTTTTGTGTTTTTTAAAATGTTTGTGTATACATTTATTGTGAATTTTTAAAAAACATGTAATTAAGGCCAGGCATGGTGGCTCATACCTGTAATCCTAGCACTTTGAGAGGCTGAGGTGGGTGGATCACCTGAGGTCGGTAGTTCGAGACCAGCCTGGCCCAACATGGTGAAACCCCATCTCTACTAAAAATACAAAAAAAAAATTAGCTCGGCATGGTGGTGGGCGCCTGTAATCCCAGCTACTGGAGAGGCTGAAGCATGAGAATCACTTGAACCCAGGAGGCGGAGGTTGCAGTGAGCCAAGATCATGCCACTACACTCCAGCCTGGGTGACTCAGTGACTGTCTCAAAAAGAAAAAAAGTAATTAAGTTCTGTCATGATATATCATCATTACCCTTTTTGAACTTTTAAAATTTTTTATCTTTAGAGGTAATTCATATAATGTTCTTCAATAGATAAGTGCTTTTCTGTCAATATATCTTGGAGAACACACCATATCAGTATTTAAAACTCTCATTCTTCCTATTTCTCCACATCCTCTCCAGCACCCGTTGTTTCCTGACTTTTTAATGATTGCCATTCTAACTGGTGTGAGATGGTATCTTATTGTGGTTTTGATTTGCATTTCTCTGATGGCCAGTGATGGTGAGCATTTTTTCATGTGTTTTTTAGCTGCATAAATGTCTTCTTTTGAGAAGTGTCTGTTCATGTCCTTCGCCCACTTTTTGATGGGGTTGTCTGTTTTTTTCTTGTAAATTTGTTTGAGTTCGTTGTAGATTCTGGATATTAGCCCTTTGTCAGATGAGTAGATTGCAAAAATTTTCTCCCATTTTGTAGGTTGCCTGTTCACTCTGATGGTAGTTTCTTTTGCTGTGCAGAAGCTCTTTAGTTTAATTAGATCCCAGTTTTGGCTTTTGTTGCCGTTGCTTTTGGTGTTTTAGACATGAAGTCCTTGCCCATGCCTATGTCCTGAATGGTAATGCCTAGGTTTTCTTCTAGGGTTTTTATGGTTTTAGGTCTAACATTTAAGTCTTTAATCCATCTTGAATTAATTTTTGTATAAGGTGTAAGGAAGGGATCCAGTTTCAGCTTTCTACATATGGCTAGCCAGTTTCCCAGCACCATTTATTAAATAGGGAATCCTTTCCCCATTGCTTGTTTTTCTCAGGTTTGTCAAAGATCAGATAGTTGTAGATATGCGGCGTTATTTCTGAGAGCTCTGTTCTGTTCCATTGGTCTATATCTCTGTTTTGGTACCAGTACCATGCTGTTTTGGTCACTGTAGCCTTGTAGTATAGTTTGAAGTCAGGTAGCGTGATGCCTCCAGCTTTGTTCTTTTGGCTTAGGATTGACTTGGCGATGCGGGCTTTTTTTTGGTTCCATATGAACTTTAAAGTAGTTTTTTCCAATTCTGTGAAGAAAGTCATTGGTAGCTTGATGGGGATGGCATTGAATCTGTAAATTACCTTGGGCAGTATGGCCATTTTCATGATATTGATTCTTCCTACCCATGAGCATGGAATGTTCTTCCATTTGTTTGTATCCTCTTTTATTTCATTGAGCAGTGGTTTGTAGTTCTCCTTGAAGAGGTCCTTCACATCCCTTGTAAGTTGGATTCCTAGGTATTTTATTCTCTTTGAAGCAATTGTGAATGGGAGTTCACTCATGATTTGGCTCTCTGTTTGTCTGTTATTGCTGTATAAGAATGCTTGTGATTTTTGTACATTGATTTTGTATCCTGAGACTTTGCTGAAGTTGCTTATCAGCTTAAGGAGATTTTGGGCTGAGACAATGGGGTTTTCTAGATATACAATCATGTAATCTGCAAACAGGGACAATTTGGCTTCCTCTTTTCCTAATTGAATACCCGTTATTTCTTTCTCCTGCCTAATTGCCCTGGCCAGAACTTCCAACACTATGTTGAATAGGAGTGGTGAGAGAGGGCATCCCTGTCTTGTGCGTGTTTTCAAAGGGAATGCTTCCAGTTTTTGCCCATTCAGTATGATATTGGCTGTGGGTTTGTCATAGATAGCTCTTATTATTTTGAGATACGTCCCATCAATACCTCATTTATTGAGAGTTTTTAGCATGAAGGATTGTTGAATTTTGTCAAAGGCCTTTTCTGCATCTATTGAGATAATCATGTGGTTTTTGTCTTTGGTTCTGTTTATATGCTGGATTACATTTATTGATTTGCGTATGTTGAACCAGCCTTGCATCCCAGGGATGAAGCCCACTTGATCATGCTGGATAAGCTTTTTGATGTGCTGCTGGATTCGGTTTGCCAGTATTTTATTGATGATTTTTGCATCAATGTTCATCAAGGATATTAGTCTAAAATTCTCTTTTTTGGTTGTGTCTCTGCCTGGCTTTGGTATCAGGATGATGCTGGCCTCATAAAATGAGTTAGGGAGGATTCCCTCTTTTTCTATTGATTGGAATAATTTCAGAAGGAATGGTACCAGTTCCTCCTTGTACCTCTGGTAGAATTCGGCTGTGAATCCATCTGGTCGTGGACTCTTTTTGGTTGGTAAGCTATTGATTATTGCCACAATTTCAGAGCCTGTTATTGGTCCATTTAGAGATTCAACTTCTTCCTGGTTTAGTCTTGGGAGGGTGTATGTGTCGAGGAATTTATCCATTTCTTCTAGATTTTCTAGTTTATTTGCGTAGAAGTGTTTATAGTATTCTCTGATGGTAGTTTGTATTTCTGTGGGATCGGTGGTGATATCCCCTTTATCATTTTTTATTGCGTCTATTTGATTCTTCTCTCTTTTCTTCTTTATTAGTCTTGCTAGCGGTCTATCAATTTTGTTGATCCTTTCCAAAAACCAGCTCCTGGATTAATTTTTTGAAGGGTTTTTTGTGTCTCTATTTCCTTCAGCTCTGCTCTGATTTTAGTTATTTCTTGCCTTCTGCTAGCTTTTGAATGTGTTTGCTCTTGCTTTTCTAGTTCTTTTAATTGTGATGTTAGGGTGTCAATTTTGGATCTTTCCTGCTTTCTCTTGTGGGCATTTAGTGCTATAAATTTCCCTCTACACACTGCTTTGAATGTGTCCCAGAAATTCTGGTATGTTGTGTCTTTGTTCTCGTTGGTTTCAAAGAACATCTTTATTTCTGCCTTCATTTCGTTATGTACCCAGTAGTCATTCAGGAGCAGGTTGTTCAGTTTCCATGTAGTTGAGTGGTTTTGAGTGAGTTTCTTATTCCTGAGTTCTAGTTTGATTGCACTGTGGTCTGAGAGACAGTTTGTTATAATTTCTGTTCTTTTACGTTTGCTGAGGAGAGCTTTACTTCCAACTATGTGGTCAATTTTGGAATAGGTGTGGTGTGGTGCTGAAAAAAATGTATATTCTGTTGATGTGGGGTGGAGAGTTCTGTAAACTGGTTCAACCATTGTGGAAGTCAGTGTGGTGATTCCTCAGGGATCTAGAACTAGAAATACCATTTGACCCAGCCATCCCATTACTGGGTATATACCCAAAGGACTATAAATCATGCTGCTATGAAGACACATGCACACGTATGTTTATTGCGGCACTATTCACAATAGCAAAGACTTGGAACGAACCCAAATGTCCAACAATGATAGACTGGATTAAGAAAATATGGCACATATACACCATGGAATACTGTGCAACCATAAGAAATGATGAGTTCATGTCCTTTGTAGGGACATGGATGAAATTGGAAATCATCATTCTCAGTAAACTATCGCAAGGACAAAAAACCAAACACCGCATGTTCTCACTCATAGGTGGGAATTGAACAATGAGAACACATGGACACAGGAAGGGGAACATCACACTCTGGGGACTGTTGTGGGGTGGGGGGAATGGGGAGGGATAGCATTAGGAGATATATCTAATGCTAAATGACGAGTTAATGGGTGCAGCACACCAGCATGGCACATGTATACATATGTAACTAACCTGCACATTGTGCACATGTACCCTAAAACTTAAAGTATAATAATAAAATAAAATAAGAAAAATGCAAAAATTAAAAATTTAAAAAAAAGCTCTCATTCTTTTAAGCACTTACAGGATATTCTTACAGATGTGTACCACGCTTAATGAATTGAGCTCTTGTGGATGAGAGTTTAATTTGTTTCTAATCATTTGTTATTTAATAGTACAGTCAGCATCTTTAGGATTAAGTATCTAGAATTAGAACTACTGTGTTGAAGAGGCTATTGCATTTAAATTGTTTTTTTTTTTTTTTGATACGGAGTCTTGCTCTGTTGCCCAGGCTGGAGTGCAATGGCGTGATCTCAGCTCACCGCAACCTCCGCCTCCCAGGTTCAAGCAGTGCTCCTGCCTCAGCCTCCTGAGTAGCTAGGATTACAGGCACACGCCACCATGCCCGGCTAATTTTTGTATTTTTTTAGTAGAGACGGGGTTTCACCATGTTGGCCAGGCTGATCTTGAACTCCTGACCTTGTGATCTGCTCGCCTTGGCCTCCCAAAGTGCTGGGATTACAGGCATGAGCCACCGTGCCCGACCTACATTTAAATTTTAAATAAAAGTTTGCTAAATTGTTTTCAGTAGAGGTTATATTAATCTATATTTATACCAACATGGAGAGTTTGTTTCCTGCAAAATAGCCAATAATTTATCAAACCTTTGAATCTTTGTCAATTGAATAGTTAAAAATGATTATCTCATATTTGTACATTTTTATTTTATTGTGAAGTTCAGCACCTTTTCATGTGTTTAAGAACTTTTAATTTTCTGTTGTTTATATCGTCTTCCCATTACCATTTTAACTATTTGTTTTTATTTTCAGAGTTTTTGCTTATAAAATTTTATTTACAGTCAATTCTCTTTATTTGTAGAATCTGTATTTGTAAAGGCACCTACTTGCTAAAATTTATTTGTAACCTAACATCAATACTCATGGCAGTTTCATGGTTTTTCATGGACATACACAGAGGTGAAAAATTTGAGAACCTTATCCAGATATTCCCAGCTGGGGTTGAACAGTGCTCAGTTTTTTGTGTAGCTTTCTTACTATAAACAAGTGTCCTTTTCGAAAGCAGTTTATATAGTTCTACATTTTTCACATTTTTGTGCCTTCTGTTTGTGATTTTACTGTTTAAAGTGATTCCCAAGCATTGTGCTGAAGTGCTATATAGTGGTATTCCAAGGTGCATGCGGGCTGTGAGGTGCCTTAGAGAATACATGTGTTAGATAACCTTTGTTTAGTCATGAGTTATAGTGCTGTTGAGTGGGAGTTAGATGATGATGAGTCATCACTATTTATTATTATATTTTTTGAGATGGAGTCTCACTCTGTCACCCAGGCTGGAGTGCAATGGCATAATCTCGGCTCACTGCAACCTCCTCCTCCCGGGTTCAAACGATTCTCCTGCCTCAGTCTTCTCAGTAGCTGGGATTATAGGCACCCGCCACTGCACCCAGCATAATTTTTGTATTTTTAGTAGAGGTGGGGTTTTACCATGTTGGGTAGGCCAGTCTTGAACTCCTGACCTCAAGTGATCCACCCACCTTGGCATCCCAGAGTGCTGGGATTACAGATATGAGCCACCATGCCAGGTCTATATTTATTAAATAATGTGTCTTTAAACAGAAACAGATATAAAACAAGCTTACGTATTTATAAGTTGGTGAAAATGTGACCAAAGGCTTACAAGAACCTAACCCTGTATTTCTGTTAGGAGCAATGGCTCAGTATTCACTAATTTGCGTGTTTGTGGCAACTTCATAGAACATAACTACCTCAAGTAATGAGAATTGACTGCATTCTTTTTCAAGTCATTTTATAAACAATTTACAGAAGAATAAAGGGATGGTGAAAATTAACTTTGTTAGCAATTTTAATGAGAATCCAAATATAGGAGACCCACATTTTTTCCCATATTTTCCCAGTTTTGAATGTTTATGTATACCTAAAAGGCATTACATCCTTTGAAAGCAGCTGTCATTATGCATGAATCTGGAACATACCTACCTTTAAATACGGATTTTGGATTTCAAATGCATCTCTACTATGTTCTACCTTATTATTTGTATTCTTCATGAACTCACTTTGTCAAAATGCAATACTTTTTGTTTTTTAATTTATTTTTATTTTTTGTAGAAATAGGGTCTCACTGTGTTGCCCAGGCTGGCCTTGAACACCTGGCCTCAAGTGATCTTCCTGCCTTCCAAAGTGCTGGGGACGGTAGGCATGAGCCACCACACCTGTCCAAACTGCAATACTTCTGAAAACTTTAGGGCTCATAGTTTTGTTGAAGTGATAGATGATGGCTATATTCTTTGTTACATAACAGCAAAACATTTTTGTTTTTACATTTATAAATACCAATTAGAATGACTTTCAGTGGATTGGTTTTCATTTTTCACATCATCTTTACCTTCCTGTTACTTTGTGTACATATCTGTCTTTCATACTTGTCCACTTACAAACTTTTTCAAGTAAATTCTGGTGTTACAAGCATAAAAGATGAAAGAACGTTGTCACATGGTCACTTGTCCTTTTAGCAATTATGCGATGATTCAACTGTTCTAGGTACAACTAGAGGGAGAGTATCCCAGGCAAGGGAGATAACAAATAGAAAGGCCCTAAGACACAAGTGTATTTAACATGTTTGGGGAACAACAAGGAGTTAATCGTGGCTGGAGTGGAAGTAAGGAGGAGAGATTAAGGAGATGGAGCTAAGAGAGGTAGTCAAGGGCCAGGCCATATGTCAGCGATAGTAAGGTCTTCAGCATTTACTTTTTTAAGCTGGGAGTCCATGGAAAGGTTTTGAACCCAAGGTATAGCATGATCTGACTTACAGAAAGAGACTTCTGATTGCTGTGTTGAAAATACACCATAGGTTTGAAGGGAGGAAACAGGCTGACTAGTTAGAGCCAGTGTGGGTAGTGGTGGTTGGATCTGAGTATATTTTCCAAGTGGAGCCACCAGGATTTTTCAGTAGATTGATTACATGTGGTGTATGAAAGAGGAGTGTCAAGTGTAACTCCGAGATTTTTGGCTTATGCAACTGGAAAAATAAAGTTAGAATTTAATGAGATGGAGGTCTGCATAAGGAGTACTTTTGTGGCAGGAAAGAAATTGGGTTTTGAACATGTGAAAATTGAGATGCCCATTAGTAGAAGTTGGATGTGAATAAAGAGTCCAGGCCAGGTGCAATGCCTCATGCCTGTAATCTCAGCACTTTGGGAGGCCAAGGCAGGAGAATCATGTGAGCCCAGGAGTTCAAGACCAGACTGGGCAACAAAGTGAGACCCCGTCTATATTATAAAATAAAAAAATAGTTCAGAGGAGAGGTCTGGGCTAGAGATGGAAATGTAGAAGTTAGTAAATTTAAAGCTGTTGAACTAGAGGAGATAGCTGAGGAAGTGCATTCAAATAGAGAAGATGTCAGAGGAGAACTTTGGGGTTCTCTCAGTGGTTAGAGATAGGATATGAGGAAAAACAGTGCAGGAGACTAAGGAGGAGCTCTCATTGAGTTAGGAAAATCAAGAGGGATGCCCTGGAAGCCAAATGAAGGCAGTGTTTTGAGGAAGAGGGGTGATGGGCCATGTGAAAGCCAATAGGTCACATGCTGCTAATGGGTCAACTAAAGTGAGGACTGAGAAGTATTCACCAATTTAGCAATGTGGAGCTCATTGGTGACCCTCATAAGAGCTGTGTTGGTGGAATGGAGGAGGTAAAATCCTGGAGGGAGAGAACATAAGAATGAGAGAACAGTTGACAGTGCATGTAAACAACTCTTTCACGGAACTTTGTATTTCTGAATTTTTGTTTATTTGGCTATTAATAAAATCATATCTGATATAGTTTTATTTTAGTAAGGTTTGTTTTTGTGGGACTTCAGTTGTGTATACACATATAATATGTGTGTGTATGTATGTGCGTATGGTGTTTTGATGTAAAATTTATTATTGTGGGTCATGGTTAAAAAAAAAGCTTGAGAATGAGGAGTTAGATCAAGAAATAGAAGGAAAGTTGACATAAGAAGTTGTGGATGTAGGAGATTCTACCATGTAGACACAGTGGAAGGATTTAGGGAGTTGGAGCAGGTTGGGATATGTGATCAGAAAGCGGGAGTTTAGCTCTCTCACTTGCCCCTGCTTTTACCATGTGATGTGTCTGCTACCCCTTCACCTTCCACCATGACTGTAAGCTTCCTGAGGTCTCCCTAGAAGCCAAGCAGATGCCAGCACCATGCTTCCTGTAAAGCCTGCAGAACCATGAGCCAATTAAACCTCTTTGTAAATTACCCAGTTTGAGGTATTTCTTTATAGCAGTGCAAGAATGCCCCAATACAGAAAATTGGTACCGAGAAGTTGGGCATTGCTATAAAGATACCTGAAAATGTGGAAACAGCTTTGGAACTGGGTAATGAGTAGTGGTTGGAAGAGTTTACAGGGCTCAGAAGAAGACAGGAAAATGAGGGTAAGTTTCAAACTTTTTTTTTTTTTTTTTTTTGAGACGGAGTCTTGCTCTGTCGCCCAGGCTGGAGTGCAGTGGCGTGATCTTGGCTCACTGCAACCTCTGCCTCCCGGGTTCAAGTGATTTTCTGCCTCAGCTTCCCAAGCAGCTGGGGTTACAGGCATGCACCACCATGCCTGGCTAATATTTTTGTATTTTTAGTAAGGATGGGGTTTCACCATGTTGGCCAGGCTGGTCTCGAACTCCTGACCTCAAGTGATTCACCCACCTCGACCTCCCAAAGTGCTAGGTTTACAGGCGTGAGCCACTGCTCCCGGCAAGTTTGGAACTTCTTAGAGACTAGATAAGTGGTTGTGACCAAAATGCTGATGGTGATAGGGACAGTGAAGTCCAGGTTGACAAGGTCTCAAAAGGAAACGAATTTATTGGGAACTGGAGCAAAAGTCACACGTTATGCCTTAGCAAATAACTTGGCTGCATTCTGCTTGTGTCCTAGGGATCTGTGGAAGTTTGAACTTAAAAACTATGACCTAGCGTATGTGGCAGAAGAAATTTCTAAGCAGCAAAGCATTCAAGATGTGGCCTTCTGCTACTAACAGCCTGTGCTCAGATGTGGGGGCAAATGAATGACTTAAATTTGGAACTTACATTTAAACAGGAAGCAGAGCCTAAAAGTTGGGAAATTTTGCAGCCTAGCCAGGTGGTAAAAAAAAAAACCATTTTCTCCAAGGAATTCAAGCAGGCTGTGGAGCAACCACTTGCTGATATTTGCATAACTGAAAGGGATCCAAGTGGTAATATCCAAGACAATGGGGAAAAGGCCTCAAAGGCATTTCAGAGACCTATGGGGCAGCCCCTCCTGTCATAGGCCCTGAAGCCAAGGAAGACTGAATATTTTCCTGGGCTGAGCCCAGGGCCCTGTTGCCCTGTGCAGCCTCAGAACACTGCTCCCTGCATCCAGATGGCTCCAACTCCAGCAGGGGCTCAAAGGGGCCTAGGTACAGCTTGGGCTGTTACTTTGGAGGGCATAAGCCATAGCCTTCACAGCTTCCATTAGGTGGTAAGCCTGCAGGCACACAGAATGCAAAAATGGTGAATTCTTGGTAGCCTCTGCCTGGATTTCAGAGGATGTATGGAAAAGCCTGGGTGTCCAAGCAGAACCCTGCTGCAGGAGCAGAGCCCTCACAGAGAGCCTCTACTAGGGCAGCGTGGAGGGGAAATGTGGGGTTAAAGGCCCCACGCAGAGTCCCTACTGGGGCACTGCCTAGTGGAGCTGTGAGAAGAGGGCTACTGTTCTCCAGAATGGTAGAGCCACTGGCAGCTTGTACCCTGCACTTGGAAAAGCCACAGACACTCAACCCAGCCTGTGACAGCAGGCTGAACTCTGCAAAGCTATAGGAGCAGAGCTGCCCAAGGCCTTGGGAGCCCAACCCTCATATCAGCGTGCCACATGGAAACCAAGGAGATCATTGTGGAGTTTCATGATTTAATGACTGCCATGCTGGGTTTTGAACTTGCATGGGGCCTATAGCCCCCTTTTTTGGCAGGTTTTTCCCTAATGGGAATATTTCCCCAATCCCTGAACCCTGATTGTATGTTGGAAGTAAATAATTTGTTTTTTATTTTATAGGCTCATAGGTGGCAGGGATTTGCCTTGTCTCAGATGAGACTTTGGATTCCTGAGTTAATGCTGGAATGAGTTAAGACTTTGCGGCACTGTTGGGAAGGCATGGTTGTATTTTGCATTGTGAAAAGGACATAAGATTTGGGAGGGGCCAGAGGTGGAATGATGTGGTTTGGATATTTATCTCTACTTATGTTGAATTTTATCCCGAGTGTTGGAGATGGGGCATGGTGGGAGGTGTTTGGATCATGGGGGCAGATCCCTCATGGCTTGGTGTTACCTTTGTGTTGCTACTGAGTTCTCGTGAGATCTGGTCATTTAAAAGTGTATGAAACCTGCCCCCTGCCCCCGCACTGTCTCTCACTTGTTTCTGCTTTCATCATGTGACATGTGTGCTCACCTTCTGCCATGATTTTAGTTTCCTGAGGCCTCCCTAAAAGCCGAGCAGATGCCAGCACCATGCTTCCTGTAAAGCCTGCAGAACCGTGAGTCAACTAAACCTCTTTTCTTTATGAAAGAAAAGGAAGGAAGGGAGAGAGGGAAGGAGAAAAAGAGAGAGGGAGAGATGGATGGAGGAAGGGAGGGAGGGCTTACAACCATGAGGACAGTTTTTAGGTCAATGAGGGATGACTTGGGAGTCCTATGAAGACTGATGTAAACTAGAATAAAGGGCATGATGAGCTTATGATTCAAAAGTATTTTGTCATAGAAATAGTTTGTTTTCTGTAAAAGAACACAGTAAATATTTTAGCTTTGTAGGCCACTGAGTCTCTGTTGCTTTAAAAAATGTGAAAACCATTCTTAGCTTGAGGGCTGGACAGTCCAGGGCCATACTTTACTGACCGCTGCTTGAACTAAACGCTGTTAGAAGCAGCTCTGGAAAAATAATTTGCATGGAATCTTATGATTTTTTTTTTTTTTTTTTTTTTTTTGAGGCAGAATTTTGCTCTTGTTGCCCAGGCTAGAGTGCAATAGCGCGTTCTTGGCTCACTGCAACCTCCGCCTCCTGGGTTCAAGCAATTCTCCTGCCTCAGCCTCCCGAGTAGCTGGGATTACAGGAAGGCACCACCATGCGTGGCTAATTTTGTATTTTTAGTAGAGACAAGGTTTCTCCATGTTGGTCAGGCTGGTCTCGAACTCCCAACCTCAGGTGATCCACCCGCCTCGGCCTCCCAAAGTGCTGGGATTACCAGCGTGAGCCACTGCACCTGGTCAAGTATCATGGTTTTTTAATAGTATGCACACATGGGACAAAACTCAACTGGTATAAAAGGGTATGCAGGAGAAAAAAAGCAAACTTCCCTCTCTCCCTTTTCTGTCCACCAGCCATCCTGTTCTCCTCCCTAAACTCAATTATGGTTGCCTGTTTTTTATATAAGTTTTCCATGAATTTATAAATACATCACGTGCATATATCCTGTCAGTCAATATTAAGAAATTACTAGGTTATTTTGTGTTTATGTGTGCACTATTAGATTTAATGAGTTATGCTAGTTGTTGCCTCTTATATCCACATTCAGTCTTCATTGTCTGTTCTGTAATAATAGATCTGGGCCCTGTAAATACCTCTCCCATGACAGTAAGCACAGAGTGAAACTTTGTCAATCGAGGGTGCTGCTGACACACTGAAGGGGCAAGGGCTGCTTTTCCTGGTTCCATTGTGCTCCTCTAGGCAGACACCTGCAACACCTGTGCCATCTGCAATACCAGCTCCTGTAGCACATACACTCTGCCTCTGCAGCACCTCGTTCTGGCTGCACACTTCTTGGGCGGTGCCTAACTTCAGCAGCACCCAATGGTCAGCAGCGCACAGTACCCCCACATGAATGGCTTCCCTTGACATGCACAAGGTCCCTTCTCTGCAAAGTGCCCCAAGCCCAGCACCTTCTCCAGCTGCAACTCCACAGCCTCAGCAAACCTCTGTCTTTCACAGCTGTGTCCTCTCACACGAAGTCTGGATCTCAGCCCGGATCTCAGCCCTGAGCTTTCTTCTTTGAGTTGTTCTGTCTCAGCCTGGGGTGAAAAGCCCATATCGGCTGTTCCCTGCATCTGCCCAGGCTTCTCTTTATTCCTTACTACCCAATCCCCATTCCAGTCCTCTGTTAATAACTCTTACGGACAGTCCCCAACTCATGATGACTTGACTTAGGATTTTTCTACTTTGCAATGGTGCAAAAGTGATCCGCATTCAGTAGAAACTGTTCCTCAAGTACTCATACGACCTCTATTTTTCACTTTCTGTACAGTATTCAATAAATTGCGTGAGATTTTCAATACTTTATTATAAAATAGGCTTTGTGTTTATGATTTTGCCCAACTGTAAGCTAATATAAGTGTTCTCAGCGTGTTTAAGGTAGGTCAGGTTAAGCGATGATGTTTGGTAGTTTAGGTATATTAAATGCATTTCTGACATACAATATTTTCTACTTACAATGGGTTTTTCAGGATATAACCCTGTTGTAAGTTGAGGAGCATCTTATTTTATTTATTTATTTATTTATTTGAAATGGAGTCTTGCTCTGTCACCCAGGCTGGAGTGCAGTGGCACGATCTTGGCTCACTGCAACCTCTGCCTCCTGGGTTCAAGCAATTCTCCTGCCTCAGCCTCCCAAGTAGCTGAGACTACAGGTGCACACCACCATGCCTGGCTTTTTTTTTTTTTTTTTAATTTTTTTTTGTATTTTTAGTAGAGACAGGATTTCACCATGTTGGCCAGGCTGGTCTCGAACTCCTGACCTCAAGTGATCTGCCCACCTCGGCCTCCCAAAGTGCTGGAATTACAGGCGTGAGCCACTGCGTCAGGCCGAGCATCTGTATATTAAACTTTCCCCATTCAAATTTCTGTGTGGTTTCTGTCTCCTGACTGGATTCTGATATAATGCTTAACAACCTTTCTAATTACAAAGGTATTACATATAAAATCAGACAAGCAAGAAGACAATCCATCCCACCTTCTAGTACTCTTGCCCTCCAGAGGTAGCTCCAGTTAATATTTTAGTGCTAAACTAGATTTATTTTTGTTTTAAATAGAAAAATAATGCAGGCACGAAAGTAAAACAAAAAACAGTACAGAATGGGAGAGACTGAAAAGTAAGAATGGCTTCCAGGCCCACTTCCTAGAGGTACGCACTATTAACATTTTTAGATATAAACTTCCAGAAATTTTTTTCCAGTTTTATTTAGGTATAATTGACAAAATTATTTATATTTCAGTTGTACAACATGGATGTTCAACATGTTTTGGTGTACATATACTTTCTGATATTATAAATGGTTACCACAAGCAAGCTCAGTAACATATTCAGAAATTCTTAATGTAGCTAGCAATATAAGTGGTTTTGTTTTTTGTTTTGAGACAGACAGGGTCTTGCTCTGTTGCCCAGGCTGGAATGCAGTGGCGCCATCTTGGCTCACTGCAACCTCTGCCTCCCGGGTTCAAGCAAGTCTTGCGTCTCAGCCGCCCTAGTGGCTGGGACTACAGGCATGTGCCACCACACCTGGCTAATTTTTGTATTTTTAGTAGAGATGGGGTTTCACCATGCTGGCCAGGCTGGTCTCGAATTCCTCACCTCAAATGATTCGCCCGCCTCAGCCTCCCAAAGTGCTGGGATTACAGGTGTGAGCCACCGCACCCAGTCATAAGTGGTTTTCTAAACAAATGAGACCACACCATACATACTGTCCCTATATTTCATACTTGGGCAAGGGGAGGGGAGTTGACTTTTTTCTTAGTGAGAATAAAAATGAGGATAAAAGTATGGTTGTTTACCAACTTATAGTAGTATCATGAATTTCGAATGGTCTTCTGGCCGTTCAGAAAACTACTTAACTGGTAGGAACGAAATTCTGGACACTGACATTGATATAGACACTCATATCAAATATAATACTATGAAATACTATGATATGGAAATAATATGCAATCACTAGAGATAAAATATTTTCTACCCAAGTAGAGTGGATTCATAAGAAAATTCTAAATTATAGCATATGTTGAACTCTGAGAAGCCTCTGGAATGAAGTCATTTTTCCCTAACCCCTGTTTCCTCTTTATATTGGCAGTGGATAAATGGAAAGTAAGTTAACTCTACTGTACCAAAGCTAGTTCAATATAGAAAACAGGTTCTACAAGGATTAAGGAACATCTCTTGGCCCACAGAAGATTCATGTGGATCCTGTGTTAAACCCGTTTCATCCATGTATGAAAGTGATTCAACCGTTAAGTTAGCCATTTATTATATAAATTGAATACTTCTTCCATATTGTGGCTTTTAGATAGATTGGCAGACCTGTCCCCAACCCCTTCCCTGTTGACCATGGACAATGGAGGGTTTGCTGTATAAACTTGATTGAAGGGTTTGCCTTTAGCTGGGGTGGATTACTCAGGGACCTCAAAGGTATTGGTGATGATTTATTTCTTGAGCTTGGTGGTGAGTATGCAGGACTGTGTTTTGTTTTGTTTTGTTTTTTAGCAAGCCTTACACATTTTCTTTTGTATGCAATATTTAATAAAATAATTTTGGATAATTTGGTTTTTAGCATTAATCAACAACTTTTTTTACATCCTCAATATGCCCCAAGACAAATTATTGATTCAGCAGTTTTTAGCTGAATCTTTTATTTCTGAATGATTGGAGAGAACGGCAGTATCCATTTCTGGAGAATAGTTAAGTACTTAGATTGAGGATGTCTTTCTTTCATGACATTAAGCAATGCAATATCATCTGCATCCAAGAGCCAACTTAACATGTTCAGTCTAATGAGCCTTGGTAGTCGTAACACACATTGACTCAAAGACTTGACTGTTGTGGCCTGAGCTTTGATACACTCTGTGAAATGCCTGGAGATGTCCAACTCCTGCAAGTTTGGCATGTTGTCCAGTGCTTGAAAGAAATTTCTGTATCCTTCCTCTGTAATCTTGTGATTGATTGAAAGCTTTAGGTTCTCAAGTTTCTGGAAACCTCCACTGATTGCTACTTTGGCTACAAGAACAAAACATTCATGAAAATAGAATCATAAGGACTTCCATTTCAATAATGGTAGACAAGGTTATTTGAACCAGCCTCCTCTCCCACCACTACTGCTAGTAGGAAGTACTCAATATAATTTTGTTTTTTGAAATGGGGTCTTGCTATGTTAACACAGGCTGGTCTCTTTTTCTTTCTTTCTTTTTTTTTTTTTTTTTTTTTTTTTTTTGAGATGGAGTCTCGCTCTGTTACCCAGGCTGCAGTGCAGTGGCATGATCTCAGCTCACTGCAACCTCCGCCTCCCAGGTTCATGCCATTCTCCTGCCTCAGCCTCCCGAGTAGCTGGGACTACAGGCGCCCGCCACCATGCCCAGCTAATTTTTTGTATTTTTAGTAGAGACGGGGTTTCACTGTGTTAGCCAGGATGGTCTCGATCTCCTGACCTTGTGATCCACCCGCCTTGGCCTCCCAAAGTGCTGGGATTACAGGCGTGAGCCACCGCGCCTGGCCATCACAGGCTGGTCTCAAACTCGTGGACTCAAGTGATCCTCCTGCCTCAGCTTCCCAAGTAGGTGGGATTACAAGCACGTGTCACTGTGCCCAGCTTAATATAATATTTTGAAAATATCTCCTTAAAAACCCCAAAGAGCTGATGGGTTAATAAAGAACCACCTGGCAAAAATCTAAGGGAGAAGCAGAAACCAAAGAAGTACAGCCAAGCCTAAAGCACTGACGCCATTGTGCTGAGAGTTTCACCATCCTGGACAAATATGAGCTTCTCTTTTGGTCTCACAGGAGGTCACATGCCAAGGTACATCATGCCTACAAACCAGACTAAATTGGCAAGTCACAGTGGCTCACGCTTGTAATCCCAGCATTTTGGGAGGCCGAGGTGGGTAGATCACTTGAAGTCAGGAGTTCGAGACCAGGCTGGCCAACATGGTGAAACCCCATCTCTACTAAAAATACAAGAATCAGCCGGATATGGTGGTACATGCCTGTAATCCCAGCTACTCGGGAGGCTGAGGCAGGAGAATCAGCTTGAACCTGGGAGGTAGAGGTTGCAGTGAGCCAAAATCCCACCACTGCACTCCAGCCTGGGTGACAGAGCAAGACTCCGTCTAAAAAACAAAAAGAGAAAACAAAAAAAAAAAAATCCAGACTAAATTACAAGGGACTTCAAAGAGTGTAGCAATTATGTCTTCCCCTTTTATAGAGAAGGGGGTGTGACATTCCTAAAGCCATGTCATCCGACTGTCCACTGCTATGCCCTATTTCTGTTGCCCAGAAGGGACCCTCCTGTTTTTGAGACTAAGGGCTCTGAAGGAAATGGAAGCCGGGCACACCCTGTGTTCTCAATGAACACAGGCTGACTAGACTTTGGAATGGGTACCAAGCAGAGTTCTTGTTGTTTGGTTTAGGGGTTTTTAAAAAAAAAAAAATTTTTTTTTTTGAGACAGGGTGTCACTTGGTTGCCTAGGCTGGAGTGCAATGGTTCAGTTATAACTCACTGCAGCCTAGAATTTCTGGGCTCAAGCAATCCTCCCGCCTCAGCCTCCTGAGTCCTAGCTACTCAGGACTAGCCACCGTGCTTGGCTAATTTTTCAATTTTTTATGGAGACAAGGTCTTGCTATGTTGCCCAATCTTGTCTCAAACTCCTGGCCTCAAGCAGTCCTTCTATCTTGGCCTCCCAACGTGTTGGGATTACAGGCATGAGCCACCATGCCCAGCCTTGTTTTTAATTGCTAAACCTCTTTTTTTTTCTAACTTGGGCAAAGGTTAAGTTTGGTTTCAATCTAGAATCCATGGCTGTAGCTTGACTGAGGTTAAACAACAGAGGTACTGAGAAAATGTCTTCAGCTATGTCCTGAATAGGTATCTTCAGTAACATTCAAGAGATATTTCTCATTCCCCCACATGAAAGACACTTCTGGAGGGACTTGAAGAAAGACTCAGGTCTTTCACATCCATTCCCTTCTTTCCCCTGTTTCAGCATAACTCCCACTTCATATTGTGTGATTAGCCGGTTCTGTGATGTGTCTGAATGCTGTCTCCTACAGGTAAAGTTTAAGCATTACTGACTATAGGCAAACAATGGCCTCTCAGCTGTCCATCAGAAGAAGCTACAGAAAAGTAAGTTTTCTTTATTCAGTCAACAAATATTTACTGAGTTCCCACTATAGGCCAGGCATACTCTGCTGGGCGCCGGGAAGAGAAAACACCTGCTCTCAGGAGGGAGAGCGACAGGGGTTACTGGCTCAAATCTGTGTGTGAGATTGAAGTTCTAAGGAAGGCTTTGACCTAATGTAGTGAGAAGAATAAAACACAAATAATTTATAGTAAATGAGGATGAGAGAGACCACAAAATTTAATGTTATTAAATTCTTCCTCATAAGGAGGAAGAAACAAGGCCTTTAAGAAAAACGTTGTAAGTTGTCATTGTTTTTTGTTTTTTGTTTTTTTTTTTGAGACGGAGTCTCGTTCTGTTGCCCAGGCTGGAGTGCAGTGGCATGATCTTGGCTCACTTCAAGCTCCACCTCCCGGGTTCACACCATTCTCCTGCCTCAGCCTCCCGAGTAGCTGGGACTACAGGTGCCCGCCATCACGCCTGGCTAATTTTTTGTATTTTTAGTAGAGACGGGGTTTCACCATGTTAGCCAGGATGGTCTCGATCTCCTGACCTCGTGATCCATCCGCCTCGGCCTCCCAAAGTGCTGGGATTACAAGCTTGAGCCACCGCTCCCAGCTGTTTTAAATAACGTAAAATAACAGTGCTGAGCAGTAAGAAAATGAGATCCAGCCCTTGTAACACACCCGACAAAGCCTCTCCAATTGGGCTTTTACTTTCCTCTCCAGTCTTCTTCTCACAACTCACTCCTGCCTCTTGCTCCAGACATTCCTTTTTTTCCCCCAAGTTCTTCAAATATATCTGGTTCTCTTTAACTCCAGGCTATGACACAAGTGATTACCTCTGTTTGAAATGATGTCTCAATTCCTCCTCTACCAACTATGCCTGGGCCATTCTCCCTTCAGGTCTCGACAGAAATCTCAGTTCCTCAGGCCAGGCACTGTGGCTCACTTGAGGTCAGGAGTTCGAGACTAGCCTGGCCAACATGGTGAAACCCTGTGTTTACTAAAAATACAAAATTAGCCAGGTGTGGTGGCGTTCACCTGTAATCCTAGCTACTTGGGAGGCTGAGGCAGGAGAATCGCTTGAACCCAGGAGGCAGAGTTTGCAGTGACCCGAGATCGTGCCATTGTACTCCAGCCTGGGCAACACGAGCGAAACTCTGTCTCAAAAAAAAAAAAAAGAAGAAAATAAGAAAATAAAATTCAGTGAGCAGTACACATGATTTTTGTACTTTTCTGTGTGTATATTCATCTTCAGTTTTAAAAAGGAGTACTTAGGAGAGTATGTGGCCAGGTGTCTAAAACACCAGGTGGCAAGAACGCAGATTTGAGGGCTTGTATATCCACAAATGGGAGACCTTTTTGTACTTCCAAATCTGACCAGAATGCGCCTAAATCCACAGAAGGACACTAGAAGGAACAGTATGATAGTGAAAATGAGGAAGCGGGTTGAAAATTTCTAGAGGGGCAAATGTTTACATAGACATGTTGCAGCAGAAAGCTTGGCTATACCACTGGCTTCCATGCAAGCTGAAACACTAGCTCACCAATTTCCACCACGCTGTCATCATTCAAAGTCTTGAAAAATGAGAGGACTCGGAGACAATGAAGCTGCTGACACTGCTGGATGATCAGTTTGGCCACTCGATAAATTCCATCCCCAGTAGGAAGGATCAATTCTTCCAGGTTACTAAGAGAACCTAAAATGTAGGCTGTCAGAAAAGACCAAAAAGCTATTCTCTTTGTACTTTTTGTTCCTATGCAACAGTAATCTGAAAATCATGTATGGTCTAAACATCATGCACAGTCCAGGAAGCAAGAGAAGGGCCAGCACATGCTTCCGTCTTCCTCGCTCCTCCAGACAATTCCTCCACCACACCCTACCAACCAATCTCTCCTGCACTAAAGTCCAGGCTGCCAATTAAATCTCCATTCCTCGTTTAGAATGAAGCTTTTCCTGACCTGCAGGTTCCTTTCCCAGCTCTGCAATGCCTTCAGCCACCTCCTTTCCCATTCCACCTCCCGCTGTCATGCTCAGTGATTCTGCACCGGCCTCCTGGCCCTAAAGCCTCACAGTCCACCACTCTTAGAACCTTCCTTTTCACTTCGACTCCTTCCTAGCATGGCACACGATAGATCATTTGATCATTAGAAAGGTAACTTCTGAGGCCTCACACATGGAAATATATTGAATAATTTCTAGCATAAATCAATGTCCCAGGCTTATCATTTTCTTTCCCTGTCTCAGTTCTTGAATCAGCCAATTTTGCAAGGACCCTGGTTCCTTTACGGAAGGACAGGATTTAGAAATCAGTATCTAGGCACTTGGTGTGTTCATTATTACTGCAGTGCCTTCTAGTCTCTCCACTGAGCTGAGAAATATGTATGTGTGTATCTATAGACATGTGGAGATCAATGTATATATATGGAGATCTCTATGTATGTTCATAGGTTAGAAAAAACCATGAGGCCAGACCAATATTTCCAATTCTAATCCAACACCTCAAAGCTCTTTCTAGCCTCACCTTTCAATATTTGTAAGTTCCTTTTCCAACTGTGAGGAAACGTGGCTCTCATTATACTCACTGTTTTGTTCGTTTGTTTGTTTTTGAGACAGAGTCTTGCTCTGCCACCCAGGCTGGAGTACAGTGACCTGATCTTGGCTCACTGCAATCTCTGCCTCCGAGGTTCGAGAGATTCTCCTGCCTCAGCCTCCCAAGTAGCTGGGACTACAGGCATGTGCCACCACGCCCAGCAAATTTTTGTATTTTTTAGTAGAGATGGGGTTTCACCATGTTGGCCAGGCTGGTCTTGAACTCCTGACCTCAGGTGATCCACCCACCTCGGCCTCCCAAAGTGCTGGGATTACAGGTGTGAGCCACTGCATCTGGCTATACTCACTGTATTATTTGCTTAATCAA
Organism: Homo sapiens; assembly: GCF_000001405.40. NCBI lineage: Eukaryota > Metazoa > Chordata > Mammalia > Primates > Hominidae > Homo > Homo sapiens. The sequence goes on from NT_187651.1 coordinate 523,901, forward strand.
CCTATGATGTATGCCAGCCATCCCCTTGGCCCTGATCCTACCTCTGCCACCTCAGCCCCCACCCACCTAGCTGCCTCCAAGGAAGGGAAGAGGAGGATCCTGGCAATCTTTATGTACGCTTATGTTTGAGAAGCACTTTGAATAGCACAGCTCTACAGTCCCTATCTCCACTGCCTCCCTTTATTTTTTTTTTTTCCTGTTAGAATGTTTTCCATGAGCATACATTACTTTCATAATCGTTTTTTAAAAATCAAAAAGTATTTAAATTCTATAGCTATCATTTTATGAAATACACGTTTTCACGTATTGAGTTTTCCTAACCTTAAAAGATAGATTTTTACCTATATTCTAGTAACCTTTGAAACTATGAGGTCTTATATTTGGAACAGATACCTGACAATTATATTGCATAGTGCTATAATGACCAAATATGTACTCTAAGAAGTCATTCTGCTTTGAATGAGATCAAGTCTGCAGGTAAAACTGTAGTGAAGGCATTTGGTGGGTAGAAGTTGAGCATGACTATCACTTCGTTCTGGTAAGCAAGGGTAGCTAATGCATATCTTGCTTCCTTGTGGCTAATTCAGAATAGGAGAAAAAGGATTCTGGGCAGAAAGAGAATAAGAATACGTAAAAAGCACTATTTTGTAAACATACCAAATTTTTCTGATGTTTCCTCATCAGGAAATTGCTGGCCTTCAAGATTTAATATCTTCAGAGAAATAAAATTTGGCAAACTGGCAACTATGAAAGGGAAAATAAAAATTTAGTTATGTCAGCTACATCTCTCACAGCAAAGTGTAACATCTTTAAAATGAAGAAATTAGAAATTAATGTAATAATTCAGATTGAATTCATATGACTAAGTAGATAAAACAAATTTTTGCTCAGAAAATAATTCTGATAACTAGAAATGTTGTTAAAATTCTAGAAATTTCAAATCCAACTGAGCGTAAAGGTAAAAAAGAAAATTCTGGAAACACCTATACTTTATTATTTGAGAAACAATTTTTCTTTTCTTTCTTTCTTTTTTTAAAGAGACAAGGTCTGTGTCACCCAGGCTGGAGTGCAGTGATACCATCACAGCTCGCTGCAGCTTCAACCTTCTGGGCTCAAGTAATCTTCCTGCCTTAGCTTCCCTAGTAGCTGGGACTATAGGTACCACTGTGCCCGACTGATTTTTTTAAAGCTTTTTAGAGGTGGAGGGCTTGTTATGTTGCCCAGACTGGTCTCAAACCCCTGACCTCAAGCAAGCCTCCTGCCTCAGCTTCCCAAAGTGCTGGGATTACAGGCATGAGCCACCACACCCAGCCTCAAAATATGGCCCTTTTTAAAGAGTGCTTAATATGACTCTGTGTCCATAGAAACATTTTAAACCACCATTGTAATATTATAACTCTTACCAAATGGGACGGCTTGAAAAAATGAATCCGAAAACTTAATTTCTGTGAGTTTCTTACAGGAAACAAGCATAGTCATGAGAGACCCAAAATCCGAAAAGAAGTTACACTTCAGATGGAAAACATGAAGGTTTGGAGAATTTTGAATTAATTTTACTGTAAAAGATCAAGGATTTTCAGAAATTAGAAAATACTGCAAATTTCTATCAAAATTAGCCAAGTAGTTTATTATTTTGTTTCAATAATACTTAATTAAAACCAGGTACCACGATCTCATGATCTAAGAATCAGGTCACTGGGCTTGGGTTCAGGTTCTGCAACTAGCAAGTAATGTGAATTTTGACACATTATTGACCCTCTCTGGGTAACAGTTTTCTCTTCTATAAAATACAAGCATTGACTCAGTAGCATCACCTTCAGCTTTAACACCTAATAACTCTAAGTTTGTACATGACATTTACACAATAAGAATACAAAGAGGCCAGGTGCTGTGGCTCATGCCTGTAATCCCAGCACTTTGGGAGGCCGAGGCAGGTGGATCATCTGAGCTCAGGAGCTCGAGACCAGCCTGGCCAACATGGTGAAACCCTGTCTCTACTAAAAATACAAACATTTGCCAGGCGTGGGTGGCAGGCAGCTGTAATCCCAGCTACTCGGGAGGCCGAGGCAGGAGAATCGCTTGAACCCAGGAGGCAGAGGTTGCAGTGAGTGGATATTGCGCCACCAAACTCCAGCCTGGGCAACAGAGCAAGACTGCATCTCCAAAAAAAAAAAAAAAAAAAAAAAAAGAATACTATACAAAGAAACAGCTGGGCATAGTGGCTCACGCCTGTAATCCTAGTACTTTGGGAGGCTGAGGTGGGCGGATCACCTGAGGTCAGGAGTTTGAGACTGGCCTGGCCAACATGGTGAAACCCCGTCTCTACTAAAAATATTAAAAAATTAGCCGGGCATGGTGATGGGCGCCTGTAATCCCAGCTACTTGGGAGGCTGAGGCAGGAGAATTGCTTGAACCCAGGAGACGGAGGTTGCAGTGAGCTGACAACGGTGCCACTGCACTCCAGCCTGGGTGACAGATTGAGACTCTGTCTCAAAAAAAAAAAAGAAACATAAAAGGAATGACAACTCTGAAGCAAAACCTAAATTTGTTGCAAAATTTGCTGACAAATATAACTACCACCTCCAGCTTCGGTGTATATATGTATGCACACACACACACACACACATATATATATATATTTTTTTTTTTTTTTTTTTTTTGAGACAGGGTCTTGCTCTATCACCTAGGCTGGAGTGCAGTGGCATGATCATAGCTTATTGCAAGCTTGAACTTCTGGACTCAAGTGATCCTACCAGCCTCCTGAGTAGCTGGGGACTATAGGTGCACACCATCATACTTGGCTAATTTTTTATTTTTTTAGTAGAGACGATGTCTTGCTATATTGCCCAGCCTGGTGCTGAACTCCTGCTCTCAGGCGATCCTCCCGCCTCGGCCACCCAAAGTGCTAAGATTACAGGTGTGAGTCACTGTGCCTGGCCAACAATGAAGCTTTTGCATGCAAGTCTTTATGTCAATTCCATAGAGTTGTATATTTCTTCAATCTTTAGTGTTCAGTGTTTACTAAGTTAAGGAATGATGGTGCCTAAGTCATTTAGCTAAATGATGTATTTAAGAAAGATGGCTGCACCATTTTCCATGAACTATTAGGATAGGCTGGTGAGAAACAGGGAAATACTTCCAATGACTACGGATTAGCAGATTTCCTTCCTGCTGAGCTGCCAGATCTGTAAGTTGCAATGTAAGACCAGCCTAACCAAAAACAAAATAAAATAACCCTACAAATTATTTTGGAGTGGCAACATTATATTAGGGATTTCTTTCTTTTTTTTTTTTTTTTTCTGAGATGGAGTTTTGCTCTTGTTCCCCATGGAGTTTTGCTCTTGTTCCCCATGGAGTTTTACTCTTGTTCCCCAGGCTGGAGTACAATGGCGCGATCTCGGCTCACATTGCAATCTCTGCCTCCCAGGTTCAGGTAATTCTCCTGCTTCAGCCTCTCAAGTAGCTGGGATTACAGGCATATGCCACCATGCCAGCAAATTTTTGCATTTTTAGTAGAGGCAGGGTTTCACCATGTTGGTCAGGCTGGTCTCGAACTCCTGACCTCAGGTGATCTGCCCTTCTCGGCCTCCCAAAGTGCTGGGATTACAGGTGTGAGTCACCAGGCCCGGCCTATATTAGGGATTAAGAACTCAGATTTTGGAGTCAAAATTCCTGTATTTGAGTCACAGATATACATTTCCTTAGCTGGATATTACGAATTACTTTATCTCTTTATGTCTCAGTTTTCCCAGCTACAAAATAGCATTAATAATAGTACTTTACTTTGGCCAGGCACGGTGGCTCATGCCTGTAATCCCAGCACTTTGGGAGGCCGAGGCGGGAAGATCATGAGGTCAGGAGATCGAGACCATCCTGGCTAACACGGTGAAACGCCGTCTCTACTAAAAATACAAAAAATTAGCTGGGCGTGGTGGCAGGCACCTGTAGTCCCAGCTACTTGGGAGGCTGAGGCAGGAGAATGGTGAACCTGAGAGGAGGAGCTTGCAGTGAGCCGAGATCGTGCCACTGCACTCCAGCCTGGGCGACAGCGCGAGACTGTCTCAAAAAAAAAAAAAAAATAATAATAATAATAATAATAATAATAGTACTTCATAGAGTGGGTATGAAGACTGAGTTCATATTTGTGAAGTGCTTAGGATACTTCCTAGTGTGTAGTAAAGGCTCAATAATTACAAACAGCACTCTGCTTTCTTAATGAGAAAGAGTGCTATTCCTCACAATTTACCATGGATACAGGCTACACCCTTAGAACCACAGGCACTTTAACTCTTAAATAAATTATTGGCCAAGTAGCTTTTCCAACTTACGTAAAAACAAGTATATTAAAGTGCCATCCTTACCTAGTTTGGAAGGATCATACTCAGCTGAAATTTGGATCAATAATTTCTCCATATGGTGGAAGTTTGGAAATTCTTCAGGAATGACTGAAAAAACATTTATATTGCCCTCCAGATCCACAGACAGTTCTTTCAGGCACAGGAACTTATCCAGATTAGGAAAGATTTGGTCTGGAAAGCAGCACAGTTTCCCATTATTAATCTAAAGAGTTCTGAATGGACATTTTAAAACTGTCATTTTGATTCATCCAGCTATTTTCACATGCAAACCTTCCACATACCATAAAACATTCTTTTTTTTTTTTAAAGAATACATATATGAAGATATTGCTTTTTGCAGCTTATGCACTGTATGGGAAGCCCTGTGCTACTCTTCAGACTCACAAAAAGAAATACAGCATCTCGGCTAGGCGCAGTGGCTCATGCCTGTAATCCCAGCACTTTGGGAGGCTGAGGCGGGCGGATCACGAGGTCAGGAGTTTGAGACCAGTCTGGCCAACATAGTGAAACCCCGTCTCTACTAAAAATACAAAAAAAAAAATTAGCTGGGTATGGTGGTGTGCATCTGTAATCCCAGCTACTCAGGAGGCTGAGGCAGGAGAATCACATAAACCTGGGAGACGGAGGTTGCAGTGAGCCAAGATCGCGCCATTGCACTCCAGCCCAGGCTACAGTGTGAGACTCCGTCTCAAAAAAAAAAAAAAAAAGAAGAGAAAAGAAATATAGCATCTCTTCAACAAACGGTTGGGGACAACTGGATTTGCACATGCGAAAGAATGAAGTTGGATTCCTATCCCTCACCATGTAAAAAAAATCAACTCAAAATGGATCAACGACCTAAATATAAAAGCTGAAATCACACAACTCTTAGAAAAAACATAGGAGTTAATCTTCATGACCTTGGATTTGGCAATGGATTCTTAGATAGGACACCAAAAGGACCAGCAATAAAAGAAAAAAACAGATAAATTGGACTTCGTCAAAATTTAAAACTTTCGTGCACAAAGGACATTATAAATAAAGTAAAATGACAACCTATGGAATGGGAAAAATATTTTCAAACTGTGTATCTGATAACAGGTTGAAATCCAGAATATACAAATAACTCTTACAATGCAACAAAAACAACAACAATTTTTAAATGAGCAAACATATTTTTTCAAAAAGTGAAAAGATACTTAACATCATTTTCATGATTTGCATTAGAGAAATGCAAATCAAAACCACAATGAGATACCACTTCACAACTACTAGAATGGCTTTATGATAATCACAAAACAAAATGGGCTGGGTGAGGTGGCTCATACCTGTAATCCCAGCACTTTGGAAGGCCAAGGTGGGTGGATCATTTGAGCCCAGGAGTTCAAGACCAGACTAGGGGCCAGGCACGGTGGCTCATGCCTGTAATCCCAGCACTTTGGGAGGCCGAGGTGGGTGGATCACCTGAGGTCAGGAGTTCAAGACCAGCCTGGCCAACATGGTGAAACCCCATCTCTACTAAAAATACAAAAATTAGCTGGGTGTGGTGGCGGGAGCTTGTAATCCCAGCTACTTGGGAGGCTGAGGCAAGAGAATGGCGTGAACCCAGGAGGCAGAGCTTGCAGTGAGCCGAGATTGCGCCACTGCACTCCAGCCTGGGGGACAGAGCGAGGCTCCATCTCAAAAAAAAAAAAGAAAGAAAAAGAAAAAAGACCAGACTAGGCAACATAGCAAGAATCTGTCTCTACAAAAAATAAAAAATTATCCAGGCACGGTGGTGCATGCTGGTAGTCTCAGCTACTCAGGAGGCTGAGGCAGGAGGATCACCTGAGCTCAAGAGGTTGAGGCTGCAGTGAGCCATGATTGCACCACAGCACTCCAGCTTGGGCAATAGAGCAAGACACTGTCTGAAAAACAACAATGAAAACAAAAACAGGTCGGGCACTGTGGCTCATGCCTGTAATCCTAGCACTTCGGGAGGCCAAGGTGGCTGGACTGCCTGAGCTCAGGAGTTCGAGACCGGCTTGGGCAACATGGCGAAACCCCATCTCTACTAAAAATACAAAAGTTAGCCAGGTATGGTGGTGCACACCTGTAGTCCCAGCTACTCAGGAGGCTGAGACAGGAGAATTGCTTGAACCCGAGAGGTGGAGGTTGCAGTGAGCCAAGATCTCGCCACTGCACTCCAGCCTGGGTGACAGAATTAGACTCTGTCTCCACAAAAACAAAAATTAACAAGTGCTGAAGAGGATGTGGAGTAATTGGAACCTTTGTACATGGATAGTGGGAATGTAAGATGGTGCAGCTACTGTGCAAGTTCCTCAAAAAGTTAAACATAGAACTACCATATGAATCAGCAATTCTGCTTCTAGGTATATACCCAAAATGATTAAAAGCAAGAACTTAAACCGATACTTATAATGCCAGTGTTCATTGCAGCATTATTTATGATAGCCAGAAGGTAGAAACAACCCAAGTGTCTCTCAGCAGCAGAATGGATAAACAAAATGTACTATATACATACCATGGAATATTAGCTATAAAAAGGATGAAGTTCCTTTTCAAAGTTGATACATAATAATTGTACATATTTATGGAGTACATGTGAAGGAATGAAATTCCAATATAGGCTACAACATGATGTACCTTGAACAGTATGCAAAGTGAAATAAGCCAGACAAGTGATAATGCTTATAAACAATATCTAGAAGAGGCAAATTCATAGAGACAGAAAATAGAAGAGAAGTTATCAGGGGCTGGTGGGAGGGAAGATTTTTTTTTTTTTTTTTTTTTTTTTTTTTTTTGAGACGGAGTCTCACTCGGTAGCCCAAGCTGGAGTGCAGTGGCATGATCTGGGCTCACTGCAACCTCTGCCTCCCAGGCTTAAGTGATTCTCATGCCTCAGCCTCCCGAATAGCTGGGACTACAGGCGCATGCCACCACGCCCAGCTAATTTTTTGTATTTTAGTAGAGATGTGGTTTCACCATGTTGCCCAGGGTGGTCTCAAACTCCTGAGCTCTGGCGATCCACCCTCTTCGGCCTCCCAAAGTGCTGGGATTACAGGCGTGAGCCCCCGCGCCCGGCCCAATTTATTGTTTAATTGGGATGATGAAAAGGTTCTGGAGATGGATAGTGGTGATGGTTGTACAACATAGTGAATGCTTAATGCCACTGAGTTGTACACTTAAAATGATTAAAATGTAAGCTTTGTTACATGTATTTTACCATAATAAAACAGTACTTGAAAAAAGATGAAAAATTTTCTAAATTTGGTAAATGTCAACCCACACATTCCAAAAAAGTTCAGTGCACCTCAAGCAAGATACATACAAAGCAAAGCACACCTAGGCATATAACAGTCAAACTGCTTAAGACCAAAGCAATACTAGCAACAATTAGAAAATGAAAAAATATTTTTAATGACATTTACAATACTTTCAAAAGATATGAGTATCTAGGAATAAATTTAATGAAAGATGGGTTAAGTCTACACTGAAAACTATCAAATAGTGCTTAGAGGAGTTAAGACACAAATAGATGAAGATATTATTTCCCATTAATTTATTTATTTCCCAGGGACTACAGGCCTTTCTTCCTTTAGGCAGCTAGGGTGAAGGTAATTTCTAAGCATCATCTTACATATAGCTAATTCTTTTACTAATAACAGATAATTCATGTCTTTATTAAGAACCTTCAATAATTTAATATAAATATTTTATTCATTTTGTCTGAGTTATTTGAAAACCATTCTATTATTCAAGGACTTTTCACTAATTCATGCTACTGTCAAAAAAAATTAGTGAAGGTTTATTTTATATCTGTTCTATCAATGAGCATGCATGCTTTCATGGCCTCAGAAGTTTTCAACCACTTAAAGTAAGAAAAAGAAATTATACATCAGAATAGTCATCCAAAATATATACAGGTATACCTTGTGACTGGATTGTCCCTGAGACTTCAAGAGATTCCAGGGAAGGCAGGGTGAGAAGCAGTTCCTGTTCGGCTGCGCTGAGTTCCAACTTGCTTATGGAGCACTTGGTGACAGAGGCCTTAGACAGCTCAAGAGCTGGGCGGATGCTTTCTATAAAGCCTCTGCTGTGGTTTAAATGGAGTTCGATGCGCTGTGAAGCTGAGAAAACTGTCATTAGAATCTCAAGCATATCCTGGCCTACAACATCAATATCATTCACATCGACTTCTAGACAGGGAATCTTGTACTGCTTTGGAGAAAGTTTCCAATAGCCAGTACTAAGGTCTGGTGATGCCCTGCGCTGCATATCCATATAGCTCTTTACATTATCCTCTTTTTCAGCTAAATTTCGCTCCCATTCATTCATAGGTTCAAAGGCAGAAGCATAGTCCTGATCTATAGTTGGCACCTGTGATTTGTCAAAACATGTTTCCAGAACTGAAAAATGTGCTCTGGGTGATGTCTTATTTCCTCGTATTGGGAAGTGGATGCTCCTCAACAATGACAAGCTTTCTGGGTGGTCGAAAAAGTACTGTAAGTTAAGCGCACCCAAAGTCAGTGTTCTCCCTTGAAGGAATTGCAAAACAAATGGAGAACACGCAGCAACAGTGTTGCTTTGATAAGCAGTTTTCAGGGCAAGAACCAGTAAATGTTCTGAAACCATTGAAAAGTAAGCTTGTGGACAAATTTGCCACAATCCCCTAAGTAACTGCATCTGCAGTGAAATTTCTGGCTGGTGCTTTAAGTAGTCATCATTTTCAGATATATTCTCCAATGACTCTTTGTTATCCACTAAATGGAGCAAATGAGACACAATTTTGGGCCCTGCTTTTGTTGAAGGGAGGCTGGAGACATAGTTCAAAAAATTGTTGTAGGCGCTTACAGTCATCATGGGTGAGTTGATTTGTTTCAAATGATACAGTCCCAAATCTTGATGTTCCTGCCTATCTGAATCCAGGAGTTCAATCAGCCTCATCCCCGCAAGAAATTCTTGGAAGGCAGGACTTAAAAACCGGTAGAATGGTCTTAGTCTCTGGGCTGTAAATTTGCTCATCAAGCACATGGTTAGATCTTCATCTTCATCAACCCCTGCTTCTGCGAGATCATCATCATTAAACTCAAAGCAACATGAAAAAAACCCTTTCAAGGCCAGCTCACCACAGGAGGACACAGTTGCTTTGAGAATTTCAGCTGTCGCTTTGTTCCTTAAGGAAAGGCGTTCCATATAGGACTTGAAAACAGCCACATCATCAAAGGATGGGTCAAAAGGATACTGAAACCAATGAGCACAGATCGCCGCCACAAAGAGAGGAGTTTTCTGTATCTTCTGCAAACTTTGGTTCTTTCCAAAGTAAACCATAAACTTTCGCAGACGAGTCATATTATGTGAAAAGAGCTTCCGTAATATACAGACAGTATTATAAAAGGGAAATGCTTTGATCTCTAGAATGGTCTCTAGGTATCGGCGGATGTCCCTGGCCCTGTTTGTACGGACAGCAATCAATAGGCAGGTCCGGGATAAGTGGTTTTTTTGAATCAGTTTTCCTATGACTTGAGGGATTGAACATATTTCTTTGTAGTCATCTAAAAGGAATAAGACCTGATTCTTTAACTGCTGGATAATGTTCCTCATGCACATTTCAGTAACAGATCCTTCTTTCTCTAGGAGCTGGTCACAGATGATACTGGCCAGCCCCTCGTCTGGTCTGGTGGAACTAAGGGAGAGGTAGAAAACCAGCTGGAACCTGTTTAACAGGGGACAGCATCCAGATGCCCACAGAAAAGCTATTTTCTTCAGGAGGACCGTCTTTCCACTTCCAGCTTCACCCTCCACACACATGACAGAGTTCAAGTTGCCAAAGACCTCAGGCAGCACCAGAGGTTCTTGCACAGGTTTGCTGATGTGTTTTGAAGCAATAGACAGATCACAGCCCAGCAAGTGGTCCGTGGCCAGATCGGAAGAGATATCAAGCAAAGACATGTGGCGGAAACTGGCGCTGGTATAAGCTGCTCTCAGCTGCTCATTCAGATTCTTTGCCTCTTGAAACCACTGGGCTTCACCCTGTGCCATTTCTGTGGAGAGAAAGAAAGGGGGGCACAACAGGGATTCATAGTCACATCTCCCTCAGTCTGAACGCCATGCCTTTTCATTCCATGATTCTGCCTGTCTACTACGAATGTGTTAGGATTTTCCACAGCCATCCATGATTCCCACATTGCGATCATCTCATAGGTTTTGGCACAAAATCGGAATGTGGAAAGCATGTGTCCAAAGTGCCACACTTGAAGCAGGGACCTAGACATAATGTGTGCTTATCATAAGCACCATGCATCTCAGGAAAGAGGCCAGGCAAAGTGACTCATGCCTGTAATCCCAGCACTGTGGGAGACCGAGGCAGGCGAATTGCTTGAGCCTAGGAGTTCAAGACCAGCCTGGCCAACATGGCAAAACCCTGTCTCTACAAAAAATACAAAAATTAGCCAGGTGTGGTGGCACATGCTTGTGGTCCCAGCTACTGGGGAGGCTGAGATGGGAGGATCACTTGAGCCTGGGAGGTCGACGCTGCAGTGAGCCATGATCTTGCCATTGCATTCCAGCCTGGGTGACAAAGTAAGACCCTGTCTCAAATAAAATAAAATAAAATAAAATGAATAAAAATAAAAATCTCAGGAAAGAAGTTTACTGATTGGTGCTTCTAAGGACTGGTTTGCTTGTACCTGAGACACGTTGCCTACTATCAGTTTGGTCCTGCCTGCACTCTGGAGAAGCCACAAGAATCTTGACTTTTGCTCATACACGACACTGTTGCAATGCTGCTCCTCTTTGGAAGCTCTTTGGACAATTATAAATACTCTTTTTTTTGCAACTGCCCTGTATACAAATATATTTACAAATACATATAATCCCACGTGCTACTTCAAAGTTCTTACCTGGCACTATAGGACCAACTGCTATTGAATCTTCAAGATTGCTTTCACTTGTGGTTTCCTTTGAAAAATAAAATCTTTTCTTAAATCAAAATTTGTATAGGAGAGTGGTGCATCATGTTGTAATCATTGGAGACTAAACATCTTCTAAACACAGCCCACCCTCAAATATTTATGCTGATTGAAGGGAGGGGTGCTCCAAATATAAAGCAATTAATAATCTGCAAACATCTGCAGGAATGTGTGTTCCTCAGTGGTTCATATATGATACAATCCATGGGTGATACTATCCAGGTAACGAGAATCATAGTGTCTTGAGCAAGAAGGTTCCTCCAAAAGTCATTAGGTGCAGCCTCTGTCCTTGGTTAACTACATTTTTAATATTACACATCCAGTACTTAGAAAGGTTATGTTTCTTCCTTAAAAAATAAGCTATTTCTATATCCCCAAACTTTTTTCTTTAGTGCCATTTTTCAATTCATATAGAAAATGAATCACGTGAATAGCAAGTTGGTTTTTGTGTGTGTTGGGGGTGGGGGGATGACAAACATAACATACCTAACACACAGCCTCAAAATAAGGTGGTATATGTGTGCATTAAATTAGTAGTGGCTTATATCCCAGAGAACTAGGTAGGATTTCTCAGCTTAAAGTGGTCAGCCTATTACCTGGGTTTATGATTTTGTTGGGCACTTGCTTTTGTTAAAGTAACATCTTCTCAACCCCTAAAAAGGCCAAGTAGCAAATCCAGCCTTATTGCCCTCCACATGAAGATCCAGAGAGGATCCATTTAGCCTGGATGCTAATCAACAAAGTCTAAGAGAGTCTGGGCCTTGAAGTAGAAGAGATTGACTATACATTTCATGAAGCTAGGTATTGTGCCCGACTGGTTTATTGTGATTTCCCCAATCTGTACCTAGAACATAACAGATGTTTAGTAGATGTTTGTAGAATTTATTAACTTATTTATGATGAGACATTCCTGTTCAAAACAGTTTTCAATTATATGATCATGTGCTGGTAAAACAGACAAGATGACGGTGTTCATTACCAGTAATTCACAAAGTTCACCACGGCTCTGAAGGTCTGGAGTCACTTCCGCAGAGGACTTCATATTTTGGAGAAATGGACAACTAAGTGTAAAAGTTAAAAGTTATAAAAATAGTTGTATGCATTTAAGTATTTGTGTTAGGTATTTTTGTTGTTGTTGTTGCTGTTGTTGTTTGTTTTGTTTTTTCAGAGACAGGGTCTCACTATGTTGCCCAGGCTGTTCTGGTTTCAAACTTCTGGCCTTGAGCAATTCTCCTCCCTAGGCATCCCAAAGTGCTGGGATGATAGGTGTGAGCCGCCAGGCCTGGCCTTGTATTAGGTTTTTAAAAACACTATTAGAGTTTTAGTGACAAGAATTAAGTATAAAACTATCATTTCCAGTGATTCTCTCTGTCAGTGTCATCAGGTAAGGCACTTAGGTTGTGGCTCTCTGCAAGAGAAATGTAAATGGTTTATAAAGTAATGGTAAAGGATATCAAGGGAATTTGGTGGAATGAGTGCGTATATGACACTCCTCCATGCAACCAACAAAAATGAACTTAAAGAATCAAAAATAGGAAAAAAAAAACCCTCTATTTATGAATTCTGGAACAAAAAACAACATAGTGGAAAAACTGGTGAAATCCAAATAAACTCTGGATTTTAGTAAATAGTAATGTACAGTATATGAATTGGTACACTGATGATTTTGACAAATATGCTAGTGTAAGATGTTAGCATTAGGGTAAATTGGGTATGGCAATATATAGGAACTCTTTGTATTACTTTGCACTTTCTGCAAATCTAAATAATTTCAAATAAAAATTTATTAAAAAAAGAAAAAAACTCTGTGAGTGCGGTGGTTCACACCCAAAATCCCAGCACTTTGGGAGGCCGAGGCGGGCAGATCACTTGAGGCCAGAAGTTTGAGACCAGCCTGGCCAACATGGCAAAACCCTGTCTCTATTAAAAAGAAAATTCCAAAATTAACCAGGCAGTGGTGGCGCACACCTGTAGTCCTAGCTACTTAGGAGGCTGGGGCACAAGAATCGCTTGAACCTGGGAGGCGGAGGTTGCAGTGAGCTGAGATTGTGCCACTGCACTCTAGTCTGGGCAATGGAGTGAGACTCTGTCTCAAAACAAAACAAAAAACAAACAAGGCCAGGCATGGTGGCTCACGCCTGTAATCCCAGCAGTTCGGGAGGCTGAGGCGGGTGGATCACTTGAGGTCAGGAGTTTGAGACCAACCTGACCAACATGGTGAAACCTCACCTCTACTAAAAATACAAAAATTAGCCGGGCGTTGTGGCGGACGCCTGTAATCCCAGCGACTTGGGAGGCTGAGGCAGGAGAATTGCTTGAACCCAAGAGGCAGAAGTTGAAGTAAGCCGAGATCGCACCATTGCACTCTAGCCTGGGCAACAGGAGTGAAACTCTGTCTCAAAAACAAACAAACAAACAAACAAAAAACTAACCAACCACAAACCACTCCATTGCCAGGTGCAATGGCTCATGCCTGTAATCCCAGCACTTTGGGAAGCCAAAGTAGGAGTTTCACTTGAGGCCAGAAGTTCAAGACCAGACCAACCTGTGCAACATAGAGAGACCTCCTCTAAAAATTAGCTAGCAGGGTGGCATGCATGTATAGTCCCAGCTACTTGGGGGTGCTGAGGCAAGAAGATCACTTGAGGCCAGGAGGTTGGGGCTACAGTGAGCCGTGATTGCATCACTGCACTCCAGCCTGGGTGACAGAGTAAGACCCTGTCTTAAACAAACAAAAAATTAAAAAAGAAACCCTCCGTCAGTATCAAAAGAAAAGAATGGCCACAAACATACTCTCTAAAAACTACTTGCCAATCTCGTGAAACTAGGACGCAAATACCCTCTAAACTCAGGTTTGATGTATGCTTGAAGAACGAGAGAAAGTTCAAAAAGAGCTCTAGTTGCAATTATTAAAATGGACAGATGAGAACTATACATGTGAGTAAGTCAGTGGCCTATTCCATGCTGTAGAATCACTGGAGAGCAGGAGTAAAGCAAAGGGACACTTTTTTTTTTTTTTTTTTTTTTTGAGACAAGGTCTCACTCTTTTGTCCAGGCTTGAGGGTAGTGACACGACCAAGGATCAATGTAGCCTCCAACTCCCAGGCTCAAGTGATCCTCCCACCTCAGCCTCCCAAGTAACTGGGACTACAGGCACGTGCCACCATGCCAGGCTAATTTTTTTTTTTTCTGGGCTCAAGGTATCCTCCCACCTCAGTTTCCCAAAGTGCTGGGATTACAGGCGTGAGCCACTGCATGTGGCCCAGATACTTCATTTGTATTGCCTTCAGGTGACTTGGCGATGAGTCCAGAAATAGAAGCATAGCTTCAGGAAAACAACAAGTAGAACTTTTAACGTTTCTGTCCAAAGTCAGCCATGTAGAGGTAAATAAAAACAAACCCATAGGGAAGGGGTGAAGTGGCTTACAAAAGAAAAAAAATATTTTAATAGGCCCATCAAGGAAAAGAACTATGAAGGAAGGTAAAATATAAACTTATTCATACAAACAAATGCCAAATAAAGTCAGTTGCCAGCATAACTGCACTACAAAAAATGTGAAAGGGACCAGGCACAGTGGTTCACCCCTGTAATCCCAGCACTTTGGGAGGCTGAGGCAGGCAGATCATGAGGTCAGGAGTTCAAGACCAGCCTGGCCAACATGGTGAAACTCTATCTCTACTAAAAATACAAAAATTAGCCTGGCATGGTGGTGGGCACCTGTAATCCTAGCTACTCAGGAGGTTGAGGCAGGAGAATCACTTGAACCCGGGAGGCAGAGGTTGCAGTCAGCCGAGATCGTGGCGCTGAACTCCAGCCTAGGAGACAGAGCAAGACTCCATCTCAAAAAAAAAAAAAAAAAAAAAAAAAAAAAGTGAAAGGAAGCACATCATTTAAAAGGAAAATGATAGCAGATGGAAATTTGGTTCTACTCAAAGGAATGAAAAGTACCAGGAATGATAAGATAACTAAGAGGGCAAATATGAAAGACTTTTGCCGTTGTAAAAATGTACTTAAATTGTTTAAAGCAAAGATATAACATTATATTGTAAGATTTATTAAAGTACATGGAAATAAAATGTATGACAATAGCACAAAGGATGAGAGGGGAGAAATGGAAATATACTATTGTATGGTTCATACATTTTATGTCAAGTGTTATATATTTTTTTGACCCAGAGTCTCACTGTGTCACCCAGGCTGGAGTGCAGTGGCACGATCTCAGCTTTCTGCAGCGTCTGCTTCCTGGGTTCAAGCAATTCTCGTGCCTCAGCCTCCCAAGCAGCTGGGATTACAGGTGTGCGCCACCACACCCAGCTAATTTTTTTGTATTTTTAGTAGAGACGGGGTTTCACCATGTTGCCCAGGTTGCTCTGGAACTCTTGACCTCAAGTGATCTGCCTGCCTCAGCCTCCCAAATTACCGGGATTACAGGCATGAGCCACTGCACCCAGCTGTTATAATATTTTTGAAGATTACTATGATATGTTAAATAGGCATATGGTAAACTCTAGAGCAAGTAGTAAAAAGGTAAAATAAGGATTAATAGCTAATAAGCTGACAGAAATAAAATGGAGTACAAAAAAAAATACTCAAGGAGGGGGTAGAAAAAAGAAAAAAAAAAAAACCCTAAACCCTAGGAAGTCAGGAAAAGAAAAAGAAACAAAGAAGTGATGAAATAAATAGAAAGCAAATGGTAAAATAGGTTTAAATCCAACCATATTCATAATTGCATTAAATTTAAACGTTCTAAACATTCCAATTAGAAAGCAGTTATTGTCAGACTCTTAAAAAGCAAGACCTGGCCAGGCGTGGTGGCTTACGCCTGTAATCCCAGCACTTTGGGAGGCCAAGGCAGGTGGATCATGAGGTCAGGAGATCGAGACCATCCTGGCTAACACGGTGAAACCCCGTCTCTACTAAAAATACAAAAAATTAGCCAGGTGTGGTGGCGGGGTGCCTGTAGTCCCAGCTACTCGCGAGGCTGAGGCAGGAGAATGGTGTGAACCCAGGAGGCGGAGCTTGCAGTGAGCCAAGATCGTGCCACTGCACTCCAGCCTGGGCGACAGAGCAAGACTCCGTCTCAAAAAAAAAAAAAAAGAGAAAACCTGGCTGGATGTGGTGGCTCACACCTCCATCTCAAAAAAAAAGCAAGACCTGCTGGGTTCAGTGGTCCACACCTGTAATCCCAGCACTCTGGGAAGACAAGGCAGGAGAATTGCTTGTGGCTAGGTGTTCGAGATCAGACTGGGCAACATAGTGAGACCTTGTCTCTATAAAAAACTAACAAACTTAGCCAGGCTTGGTGGCATGTGCCTGTAGTCCCAGCTACTCAGGAGTCTGAGGTGGGAGGATTGCTTGAGCCTGGGAAGTCCAGGCTGCAGTGAGTCAAGACTGCACCACTGCACTCCAGCGTAGGCAACAGAGCGAGTCTGTCTCATAAACAAATAAAAAATAAAATAAAAGACCCCACTGTGTTGTTGCCTATAACAATTCACTTTAAGGCTGGGTGCAGTGGCTCATGCCTGTAATCTCAACACTTAGGGTGGCAGAGGTGGGAGGACAGCTTGAGCCCAGGAGTTTGAGATCTGCCTGGGCAACATAGTGAGACCCCGTTACCCACAAAAAGGAAAAGGAAAAAACAAGAATTGACTTTAAATATAGTCACAGATAGATTAAAAAGAAAATAATCTAAAAGATGTAACATGAAAAAACTAATAAAGGCCTAAAAAATACTATCAAGGATAAAGAGGGATATTTCTGTTTTTTAGAGACAAAGTTTTACTCTGTCACCCAGGCCACAGTACAGTGGCACAATCATAGCTCATTGCAACCTATACTCCTGAGCTCAAGCGATTCTCCTGCCTCTGCCTCCCAGGTAGCTGGGACTACAGATGCATGCTACCACACCCTGTTTGTTTTAAAAATTTTTTGTAGAAATGGAGTCTAGCTATGTTGCAAAGGCTAGTCTCAAACTCCTCGCCTTGTGCACTCCTCCCACCTCAGCCTCCCAAAGTGCTGGGATTATAGGTGTGAACCACCATGCCTGCTTGGGATATTTAATATATTCTCTGGAATATGAAAGACCAAAGGGCAAAAAAATAGCTAAGACACACTCTTGAAGAGAAAGAACAAGACTATTCTGCAGGAAAATATGAAAATAAGCTCAACTGCCGGGCGCGGTGGCTCACACCTGTAATCCCAGCACTTTGGGAGGCTGAGGTGGGTGGATCACCTGAGGTTGGGAGTCCGAGACCAGCCTGACCAACATGGAGAAACCCCATCTCTACTAAAAATACAAAATTAGCTGGGCGTGGTGGCACATGCCTGTAATCCCAGCTACTCGGGAGGCTGAGGCAGGAGAATCACTTGAACCTGGGAGGCGGAGGTTGTGGTGAGCCGAGATCGTGCCATTGCACTCCAGCCTGGGCAACAAGAGTGAAACTCCGTCTCAAAAAAAAAAAAAGAAAGAAAAAAAGAAGAAGAAAATAAGCTTAACATTATTAGTAATTACACTGACAAAAATTAAAATTTGGGCAATACCAAGTTAGTGAGGAAGCAAATCAATAGAAACGCATCTAGGCCAATGGGAATGTAAATCAGTGCAACCACTTGGGAAAAAGCTTTGCATTATCTAGTGGAGTTGAACACCCGCAAAGTTCTATGACTCTGCAATTCTTTACTTTGTTATGTATCCTAGAGAAACACACATGAGCACTGGAAAATATGTACAAGAATGTTCATAGGGCATTATTTGAATTTGCAACACTCTGAAAACGACCCACGAGGTTAATCAACAGTAAAATAAGTTATTATATATTCATAAAATAATACACTATTTACCAATGAAAACAAGTGAACTACAACTGTGTAGTACATATAAATATGGATGAATCTCAAAAACATCGTGGAGTAAAACCAGCCAATTACAAGAAGAATCATGCAGTATGCTTCTTATTTGAACTTCAAGAATAGACAAAGCTAAATATGTTTAAGGATGTATATGTAGTTGGTAAAACCACAAAGAGAAGCAAGGGAATAATTAACCCAAACTGAGCATCACATTTACCTCTGGATTGGAGGGACAGGGATATAATCAGAATTAGGGGGTGGTTGGCATGCAGAGTTGTTTTTTGTTTTTTGATTTTTTTTTTTTGAGACAGAGTCACGCTCTGTCGCCCAGGAGTGCAATGGCGCCATCTTGGCTCACTGCAACTTCCGCCTCCCAGGTTCAAGCCATTCTCCTGCCTCAGCCTCCCTAATAGCTGGGACTACAGGCGTGTGTCACCAGGCCCGGTTAAATTTTTCTGTTTTTTAACAGAGATGGGGTTTCACCATGTTGCCCAGGCTGGTCTCGAACTCTTGAGCTCAGACAATCTGCCCACATCGGCCTCCCAAAGTGCTGAGATTACAGGCGTGAGTCACTGCACCCGGCCGCAGGGGTCTTTTAAGGCATTGATAATGTCCAATTTCTTGACTTTACTAGGAGGTTCATAGGTTGCTTTTTATTCATTCTTTAAAGCATACATAAAAATTTTAGGTAATCATTTGGAGACATACTGGTTTGCAGTTTTTTTAAGAGGCAAAGGAAGAGTAAAAATCCAAAAAGGAGTTGGCTGGGAGCAGTGGCTCATGCCTGTAATCCAAGTACTTTGGGAGGCTGAAGCAGAAGGATCATTTGGAGCCAGGAGTTTGAGACCAGCCTGGGCAACAAAGCAAGACCCCATCTCTACAAAAAAAAACTTTAAAAAATTAGTCGGGCATGGTGACACATGCTTGTAGTCCTAGCTACTTGGGAGGCTGAGGTGGGAGGATCACTTGAGCCCAGGAATTTGAGGCTACAGTCAGCTAGGATTGTACCACTGCACTTGCTCCAGCCTGGGTGACAGAGCCGAGACCCAGTCTCTTAACAAAAAAACACTAAAGGCCAGGTGTGGCGGCTCACACCTGTAATCCCAGCACTTTGGGAGGCTGAGGCAGGAGGATCACTTGAGGTCAGGAGTTCAAGACCAGCCTGGCCAACATGGTGAAACCCCGTCTCTACTAAAAGTACAAAAAATTAGCCAGGCATGGTGGGGAGGTACCTGTAATCCCAGCTACTTGGGAGGCTGAGGCAGGAGAATCGCTTGAACCCGGGAGGCGGAGGTTGCAGTGAGCCGAGATCACGCCACTGCACTCCAGCCTGGGTGACAGAGTGAGACTCCATCTCAAAAACAACAACAACAAAACACTAAAACTAATAATAATAATAATAGTATAAAAGGGAGTTGATCGATTCCAGAGTAAGTTCTAAATAAGACTAGACTGCATCCTAGCTTATCCTTCCAAGAATTAAGTAGAATGTCCCCATTGTTCTCAATAATTTATTATACACTAAGCCCAAATAAGAAAGAAAAATGAGGTAACTACTGCTATCAAAATACCTTCAAGGCAATAAAATTAGATAGAAGTATTCATTTTGTTTTATTTTTGTTTTTACCACTATACAAATGAGCAGGAAGCATTCATTTTAAAATCTGTATGTGTTCATATTCATTTCTAAAAAAAAAACTCTTACTAATTACATAGTGAAAACACAAATTTCTTCTTGCAATTAAACATTTCTAAAGAGTTTGATGGGTAAAAAAAAATTAAGTTTAAAGATTCATAGAAAAGAAATATTTCTTCATAAAATTTTAGAACAGATATTTTTCTGAAAGCTTCCAGCACAGGAAAAAAAAAAATTTTGTTTGCAGTAAAAGGATTGACAAGCAGAAAGGCATGGAACTTCTCGACAGCACATTAGGAACCAGTAGAAATGTAGCAGTGCCTCTACAATTTAGAATTAAAATGACTTCCAACCTATAATTCTACACCTAGCTAAACTATCAAATAAGTGTGAGAATACAGGAAAAACATATATCTAGATAGATCTATATGTCTGTATATGCATTATATGCAACTAAAAGTGTGTATTTCTTATGCAGTCTTTCCCAGGGAACTCCGATGAAGTGTTCCAACAAAATGAGCGAGTGAACCAAGAAGAGGATGACATTAGATCCAGGAGATACAACAGAGGAGATAATCTCCAGGATGCCTGTGAAGAAAGATCCCTGGATCCCAGGATGATTATAGGACAAGTTGTTCATAATCCAGCAGGCCAGAAGACTTCCAGGGAAACTCATTTCAAGATGAAAATGGACCAGCCGCAGTGGCTCACGCCTGTAATACCAGCACTTTGGGAGGCTGAGGCAGGCGGATCACTTGAGGTCAGGAGTTTGAAACTAGCCTGGCCAACGTGGCAAAACTCCATCTCTATTAAAAATACAAAAATTAGCCAGGCATAGTGGTGCATGCCTGTAGTCCCAGCTACTTGGGATGCTGAGGCAGGAAGAATTGCTTGAACCTGGGAGGCAGAGTCTGCAGTGAGCCGAGATCATGCCACTGCACTCCAGCCTGGGTGACAGAGCCAGACTCCGTCTCAAAAAAAAAAGAAAAAGAAAAAAAAAATGATGACTCTTTCAAGAAATGAAAATGATGAGATATCTGGTAGGTCTGAATGACTTAAGAGGAGATTTAAACATTTGGGATAAGTTGAAGATGAGCTGGTGTTCGTCTTCATTTATTTCATTTAAATAAATAAAATTATTAATACATGAATTTTATCTCAAGAAACAAAAATAAGCAATGTACATAAAAATTAAGCAGATGGCTGGCCGGGCGCGGTGGCTCACGCCTGTAATCAGAGCACTTTGGGAGGCTGAGGCGGGTGGATCACAAGGTCAGGAGATGGAGACCATCCTGGCTAACACGGTGAAACCCCGTCTCTACTAAAAAAATAAATAAAAAATAAATTAGCCGGGCATGATGGCAGGTGCCTGTAGTCCCAGCTACTCGGGAGGCTGAGGCAGGAGAATGGCATGAACCCAGGAGGCGGAGGTTGCAGTGAGTGAGATCACGCCATTGCACTCCAGCCTGGGCGACAAAGTGAGACTCCATCTCAAAAAAAAAAAAAAAAAAAAAAAAAAAATTAAGCAGATGGCTATAATTTTTTTAAAAATAGAAAAGTGTTGATGAGAAATGGGAAACCTCATACATTGTTGGTCAAACTGTATGCTTCCATTTAGAGGAAATAGTCAGAACAAATAAATCCATAGACACCAATTAGGTTGGTGTATCCCAGGGGCTGGGCATGGAGTGGGGTGGAGAGAGAAGGAGGGCCTGCTTAGTGGATACAGAGTTTTCTTTGGGGGCGATGAAAGTGTTTTGGAACTAGATAGAGGGGGTGGTTGCACAACATTGTTGTTGGTGGGAATTTAAAATGGTGCAAGCACTGTGGAAAAAACAGTTTAGCATTTCCTCAAAAAGTTAAAACAGGCCAGGCGCTGTGGCTCACGCTTGTAATTCCAGCACTTTGGGAGGCCAAGCCAGGTGGATCACTTGAGGTCAGGAGTTTGAGACCAGCCTAGCCAACATGGTGAAACCCTAAAAATACAAAAAATTAGCCGGGCATGGTGGCAGACACCTGTAATCCCAGCTACTCAGGAGACTGAGGCAGGAAAATTGCTTGAACCTGGGAGGCGGAGGTTGCAGTGAGCTGAGATCGCACCGCTGCACTCCAGCCTGAGCGACAGAGTGAGACTCTGTGTGAGAAAAAAAAAAAAAAAGTAAAAACATAGAATTACTATACAGCTAGCAATATCGTTGTTAGGTATATGCCCCAGAGACTTGAATACAGTTACATGCTCCATCAGATACCTGTACCCAAATGTTCCTATCGGTATTACTCATGGTAGCCAAAAGGTAGAAACAACCCAAATATCTACAAATAGATGAATGGATAAATAAAATGCAGTGTATCCATATGGAATATTACTTGGTCTCAAAAGGAAGGAAGTACTTATGCAAGCTACAACATGGATAAACTTCAAAACAATATGCCAAGTGAAAGAATCCAAATGCAAAAGGTCAAACGGTATGCTTCCATTTAGAGGAAATAGTCAGAACAAATAAATCCATAGACACCAATTAGGTTGGTGTATCCCAGGGGCTGGGCATGGAGTGGGGTGGAGAGAGGAGGGGGGCCTGCTTGATGGATACAGAGTTTTCTTTGGGGGCGATGAAAGTGTTTTGGAACTAGATAGAGGGGGTGGTTGCACAACATTGTGAATGTACTATAATAAATGCCACAGAATTGTGTACTCTAAAATGGTTTAATTGCTGTGCATGGTGGCTCACGCCTATAATCCCAGCACTTTGGGAAGCCAGGATGGGAAGACTGCTTGAGCCTAGAAGTCTGAGAGCAGCCTGGGCAACATAGAGAGACCCTGTCTCTTAAAAAAAAAAAAAAAAAATTAGCTGGGTGTGAAGACATGTGCCTGTAGTCCCAGCTACTTGGGAGGCTGAGCGAGGAAGATTGCTTGAGCCAGAGAGGTCAAGGCTGCAGTGAGCCATGATTGCACCACTGCACTCCAACCTGGGCAAGAGAGAGAACCTGTCACAAAAAATAATAAATAAATAAATAAAATGGTTACTACCTGAATTTTACCTCAGGAAAAAAAAATAAGCTAACATACCAACAGGACAGTTATTACTTCCTAAAAAAATAAAAGGATATACAGGAAGGGAAAATAAATAAAAATTTACCACAAGCTTCAGCTCCACATAGCATTTGTATAGTCATGATAATGTAAACATGTAATGTGAATATATGAATCTAGCCAAAACTATGCCATAACTATAAAGAGGGGAAGGCTAGTACAGGAAGGGGGTCATGGAGCAAAGGGATGAAAGACATGAAGACTCATCCTTCATAGCCTGAATCCGAGGAGTGGATAAAGACTCAATCTAAAGATAAAATAAGGCAGGAAATGAGGAAAAAGAAAAAAACTGTTGAAGTGCATCCAAAGTTGCAGATGGTTAACATTCATTCCACTCACTTGGGAAAACATCTGGTGTGATCGTCTAATGGGTCATCACCTTCCTGCCATTTCTCTAAACACCCTCCACAGGAAAAGCACTGGACGATGTCCTTTATACCTAAAAGTAAGGAAACTTGATCAGTGCCACTGGCATGGGCATCTGTCCATTAACATGCAGATAATAACCACCAGACCTGTAATAGTGAAAGCCTATTCAGTCTCCAGTTGGGTTTTGTGACAGTCAGAAGTTGGTTACCAGTGAGGCAATTTTCTATATAAGACTCTGTCCACCAATGGGGTAACTGGCAAGTAGTCATTGAATGCTCCTACACACCATGCACTTTGATGCACACCATCCCTCTGCCCCATTCTCCTTTGATCAACAAACAGATTGGCAACCAGAATCTGGAATTGAAGCTCCATGAGGGGGCTGGGCGCAGTGGCTCATGCCTGTAATCCCAGCACTTTGGGAGGCCAAGGCCAGCGGATCTCCTGAGGTCAGGAGTCTGAGACCAGCCTGGCCAACACGGTGAAACCCTGTCTCTACTAAAAATACAAAAATTAGCTGGGCATGGTGGCACATGCCTGTAATGCCAGCTACTCAGGAGGCTGAGGCACAAGAATCGCTTGAACCCAGGAGACGGAGGTTGCAGTGAACCAAGATAACGCCATTGCACTCCAGCCTGGGCAACAAGAGTGAAACTCTGTCTCAAAAAATAAAAATAAAAATAAGCTCTATGAGGGTAGAGGTTTTTGCTCACTAATGAATGACATGAACCTAGAAAAGTGCTTGACACTCATGTGGCACTCAATTAGTATTCGTTTAATGAATGAATCAGAAAGAATATATTTAGAGCTCACGGAAAAAAAAATACCAGCAAATCTAGCAGCCCTTATGTAAGTGAATGCATGAAGAATTAATTGCCTCTTACCACATTATTGCCATGTTTATTACACCAGAAATAGGATTAAGTCTCTTTGTGAAATTATATTTCTTTGGAAAGAAATTGGTATTTAGCTCTGCAAAAGGATCAAACTAGAAACAGAGCATTTCTCATCTTCCTTCCACTCTGGGAAAGCTGGGGCAGAGGAAAGCCTCCCAGAAATATGAGATCCTAGAGCTTGCAAGATCTGAAAACAGTCAGAGATGATTAGGATTTGTGTGGAGTGGTGGAGGATTGGAAAGGAAGAGGGGGAGCACACTGGTCAGAGGGGTCTTGCGGAAGGCTGACAAGAGGAAGACACAGTAGAGTAGGGAGAAATGGCAAACACTCTTTCCAAAGGCTTAAGATTGTGAGGCAGTCAGATTTTTTTTTTCCAATGGCACATGTCTGTTAGGTAGAGTGACAACTATATTCTGCTTCTCTGTGTTGCTCTATGGTATTTGTGACAACTACTTGATCTCTCAGTTAAAGATCTGCATTAACCTCCACTGTAACTTATGCATGTGTTCGGTTTGAGCAAGACCAGCAAGGTACCTAGGAACCTTTCCCTGATCATCTTGTATTTCAGGCAGAGATTTAGCTGACAGGAACCAGCCCATCATTTATAGATTGCAGAGGTGCTTCCTAATGACCAGCAGCTAAAGAGAAAATGCCACAATCTGGTGGAAGGCTCTACATGTTTAGGAATCATGAAAATTAATTTCCTGATTTTCTCCTGCAGGCAGAATGTGGCAAAGATTGCTATCCATGTTCCTATTATCTCAAATCCTTCCATACTAATAGAAATCCCAATATTTAGCTGGGCACATTGTCACCCAGGAAAAAGATTAGGTTTCCCAGCTCCTCTTACAGCTAGGTATGGTCATCTGACTAATAATAATAATAATAATAATAATAATTATTATTATTATTATTATTTTTGAGACAGAGTTTCACTCTTGTTGCCCAGGCTGGAGTGCAATAGCATGATCTTGACTCCCCGCAACCTCCACGTCCCAGGTTCAAGCGATTCTCCTGCCTCAGCCTCCCAAGTAGCTGGGATTACAGGCACCCGCCACCATGCCTGGCTAATTCTTTGTATTTTTAGTAGAGACAGAGTTTCACCATATTGGCCAGGCTGGTCTCAAACTCCTGACCTCAGGTGATCCACCCACCTCGGCCTCCCAAAGTGCTGGGATTACAGGCGTGAGCCACCATGCCCGGCCCATCCAACTAAGTTCTGATTAAAGAAATATAAGCAGAAGTGTCCTGTGACAGTTTCTAGGAGCACTTTGTCAGGGGACAAGAGGTGAGGAGAGTAATGTGTAGAAAGAAAAGACATGATAATTATCACAAATAGAATACTTGTATTCATTGTTAGTCCAGACCTTAAGGTTTCAAATTTGAAGGTTTACCACCTAAGGGAGGAATAGAAAACTGGGAGAGGATTTATGATGCAGGAAAGAAAAGAGATGTATGCCAGGTGCAGTGGCTCACACCTGTAATCCCAGCATTTTGGGAGGCCAAGGCAGGAGGATTACTTGAGCCCAGGAGGTTGAGGCTGCAGTGAGCCATGATCTCGCCACTGCCCTCCAGCCTGGATGACCATGTCTCAAAAAAAATAGAAAGAAAAGAAAACGAATCTATAAGAAATGCTGAAGAGAGGCCTGGCGCGATGGCTCACACCTGTAATCCCAGCATTTGGGAGGCCAAGGCGGGCAGATCACGAGATCAGGAGATCAAGAGCATTCTGACTAGCATGGTGAAACCCTGTCTCTACTAAAAATACAAAAAAGTAGCTGGGCGTGGTGGCAGGCGCCTGTGGTTCCAGCTACTCCAGAGGCTGAGGAAGGAGAATCTCTTGAACCCAGGAGGTGGAGGTTGCAGTGAGCCAAGATCTGCATTCCAGCCTGGGCAACTCTGTCTCCAAGGGGGAAAAAAAAAGAAAAGAAAAAGAAACGCTGAAGCTAGTGGACATTGCTGAGTGTAGCTAAACGTAAGCCCAGGAGCATAAAGTCTATGTGGGAATTAAAGGTCAAGCAAGCAAGTGGGCACAACCTACTGACTCACCTGTGTAGAAAAGACCTGCTTTGGCCAGTGCTGCAACTCCCACAGCTGATTCCCGGGGCCAGTCCTTAAAAGAGTCCAGCCGTAGTTCTTCGTAAGCAAAGATGCTGTCATTGCAATAAGCTTGAATAAAAAGCACAAGGTGAGACCAGCAGGCTTTAGTCTTTTTTTTTTCTATATCTTTATTGCTGCTGCACAAATTAAAGAGACCAGTAGGCTTTGATATTGCAAGTATCAGCGTTCAAGTTGTCCCTTCACAGTTACAGATGGAATGATGTCTAGAGTTTGCTTCAAAATAAACGGGGCGGGGCGGGGGGGACGACAAAAAGAGATAGGGACAAAAAATCAAAAGAAGAAATAAACAAGCAAAGCCTTTGGAAAATGTTTGAGTTTTTACCTGATGCCATAGGTAATTCTCTCTGGACCCAGGAATTCACAAAATGTTCTCCCTGAGGGAAATTAAAATTCAAGTTGTTGATTATCTGACTTTTTTTTTTTTTTTTTTTTTTGAGGCAGAGTCTCACTCTGTTGCCCAGGCTGAAGTGCAGTGGCAGGTTCTCGTCTCACTGCAACCTCCGCCTCCTGGGTTCAAGTGATTCTCCTGCCTCAGCCTCCCGAGTAGTACAGGCATGTGCCACCACACCCGGCTAATTTTTTTTTTTTTTTTTGTATTTTTAGTAGAGACAGACACGATGTTGGAGGTCTTTTTTTTTTTTTTTTTTTTTTTTGAGACAGAGTCTCGCTCTGTCGTCCAGGCTGGAGCACAGTGGCACGACCTTGGCTCACTACAAGCTCCGCCTCCCAGGTTCACGCCATTCTCCTGCCTCAGCCTCCCGAGTAGCTGGGACCACAGGCGCCTGCCACCATGCCGGGCTAATTTTTTTTTTTTTTTGTATTTTTAGTAGAGATGGGGTTTCACCATGTTAGCCAGGATGGTCTCTATCTCCTGACCTCATCATCCGTCCGTCTCGGCCTCCCAAAGTGCTGGGATTACAGACGTGAGCCACTGCACCCGGCCCATGTTGGAGGTCTTGAGGCTGGTCTCGAACACCTGATCTCAAGTGATCTGCCCAGCTCGGCCTCCCAAAGGGCTGGGATTACAGGCATGAGCTACTGCACCCAGCCTGATTGTTTGACTTATGAAGTATATACCTATCTATGAACAAGAACTGAAGGAACTTTACCCCAGAATGAAGAGTTTCACTGGATGGAACGGCAGAGTCGGAGGAGAATTATTCCTTTAATTTTTATTTCTGTTGATGTTGCAATTGTTTTTATGCAGTGCAAGCAAACATACACACACACACACACACACACACGCATGCAAGCTGTGAATGTTTATGCATACTCAGGAGGAAGCCTTCTCAGGGTCACTGTTTCCGGAAACTGACCTTGAAAACAGACCTGCATTTAAATATCACAGATGTACTTTGAAGAATGAGGAAGTAAGAGACATAGAATGGTAACTAAATTCATCAGGGTATTATATATTGAGCAACTGATTCTTCTGGGAAAGCTGCACCCAATTTCTTTTTGAGGAAACACCTCTCTTCCCCCACTGTCAGGCCATGTTCTCTATAGAGTTCTGGTCTCCTGAGTCATGTTAATCAATAAATTCTCATTTTTGTTTAAGCCAGTTTGGATTCGATTTCCCATCACTCTCCACTAGGAAATTTTTACTGATTCAGGATAGTTAGCCAGCTAGGAAGAGCCAGCTCTGCAGCCCACTGTGGGTGACAGCGCCTAGGTCAGGAGATCTTAGCAAGCCTGCAGATAGGGGCAGCAGAGGGAAGCTGGGGCAAGTGGCTTCATTCATAAAGGGGAAGACTATCAGGAAGGCAAGCAGAGCCCGTCAGAAGCCAGCCCTGGAAAAAGAAAAAGGCTCTAGGTCAGCAAGTGAATGTGATATTTTTCACTTTGAAGATGGGAGCCAGGGGAATGAAAGGAGAAAGGAAGAAAGAAATCAAACCCATGACATAAAAAGAATGCCTATGCCCTTCTGAGTCAGACACTTACAGGTAATCCAAAAACTTGAGAAAAAAATTGCTGTTATACATTACCGTTATGTCAACAAATCCCTTGTAGCTTTGAATATACTGGGTAATTTCCTCTGAGGATTTCTTACTCCGAAGAAATTCACATCTGTAATTAATAAATATAATTAAAATTTACCCCAGTACTGTGATAGAGCTGTCCTATATCACAATGAACATTTATAAAGACGTATTGAATTGTTGAATTTTATTATACTTCAATAAAATTGCCAAAAAATTTACCACAAAACTTAGGAGAATTACCATTATTCTCATATAATTATTTGTTATTTCTATTAGTGACAACATGTGTAGTTATTTAAAATTAAATCTTCAGGTTAACTTTTTTCTTGAAATAAAACATGCAATACAATCAAAGAGACTGATTTACAGTAAATATAGGATGGAGCTTTTGTTTTTTGGAATTAAGCAGTGGTGACTAAATCTAGTCGCTAGGGTTATATGAAAGCTACTGGCAGTAAAGAGAACTATATTTAAAATAATAGGCCAGACGCAGTGGCTCACATCCAGGAGTTCAAGACTAGCCTGGGCAACATGGCAAAACCCCATCTCCACAAAAAATACAAAAATTAGCCGGGCATGGTGCCACACCTCTGTAGTCCCAGCTACTCAGGAGGCTGAAGGGGGAGGATCACCTGAGCCCGGGGAGGTAGAGGCTGCACTGAGCCATGATCAGGCTGCTACACTCCAGCCTGGGCAACAGACTGAGACCCAGTCTCAAAAGTAAATACAAAAAATCTTTTTAAGATAACAATATATTTATCTACTGAACAAAAAATTACCATGCATTAAAAAGTAATGGCTATTAGGCCAGGCGTGATGGCTCACGCCTGGAATCCCAGCACTTTGGGAGGCCGAGACAGGTGGATCACGAGGTCAGGAGTTCGAGACCAGCCTGGCCAAGATGGTGAAACCCTGTCTCTACTAAAAGTACAAAAATTAGCTGGGTGTGGTGGCAGGCGCCTGTAATCCCAGCTACTTGGGAGGCTGAGGCAGGAGAATCGCTTGAACCTGGGAGGTGGAGGTTGCAGTGAGCTGAAATCATGCCACTGCACTCTAGCCTGGGCAACAGAGCAAGACTCAATCTCAAAAAAAACCAAAAACAAAAAAAGTAACGGATGTTAATGGATAATTTTTGATTTTTTTAAAAAAGAGCACACTGAATACCATTTAAAAACATATTCCTTTCCCATAAAAGAGAAGCAGTTTTAAAATTAACTTTTAAAATTTCCTCCAATTCAGCTGGGCATGGGGGATCATGCCTGTAATCCCAGCACTTTTGGAGGCTGAGGCGGGTGGATCACTTGAGGCCTGGAGTTTGAGACCAGCCTGGTCAACATGGTGAAACCCCATCTCTACTGAAAATACAAAAATTAGCCAGGCATGGTGGCGGGCGCCTGTAATCCCAGCTGCTTGGGAGGCTGAGGCGGGAGGATCACTTGAACCTGGGAAGCAGAGTTTGCAGTGAGTCATGATTGTACCACTACACTCCAGCCTGGGCAACAGAGAGAGACTCTGTCTCAAAAAAAATAAAAATAAAAATAAAAATCCCTCCAATTCAAATTTAAGTTTTCTTTCTATGGTGCTGTAGCAAAGAATGGGCTGGGAACCCAAAGGCTGGAGCATTAGTACCCGCTCTTCCACCAGTGGGGATGTGACCAACCTTGCCATGTTCTCTTATAATCACAGGAGAACATGGATGCCATCAGATGATCTGCATATTTCCCCAGGGCCATGATTCTATGTGATAGGCAGCCAGGGTTCCCAGTTTTCAGGTGTATAAATGTTTCCAAGGATTGCCGTAAGTCTGCACATAACCTACATGGCACACAATGCACGGGGTGGTTCCCTGTCCTCATGATTTATATGGATTGAGGAGGAACTCAGTACCTTAAAAAGTTACCATAAAATCATCTTACATTTATGGAGTGCCACATTTTAAAAAGTGTAAGGGTATACTCATTTTGTTGACAGTTGATAAAAAGAAGCAACAAATTGAAGTCCAGAAAGCTAAAGACAGAGTAACCCAACAAGAAACTTGGGGATTCTTGCTCTAATTCCAGCTCTTAGATTTTATTGACTGACCATGTGCTTATGACGACAAACAAATGAAAGGCAAAACAGTTGGTCATCTGTCATCCTCACATTATACATGGTAATTTTTACAAAGCATTTGATCCATATACTTTGTTTCTCATCCTTACAACCACCAGACAAGCTGTACATTATTATCTGCTGTGGAAGTCGCAGATACCAAGATGAAATCACTTTTATCAGACCCACACAAAATAGGGCTGGGAAGGCACGAAGGAGTGGGGTTCAGGCTTTCATGTCCAAGACAGGAACGGTTCCAAAGACTTTCTAAGAATCCCATAAGAAATCCCTTCACGCCTGTCACGCATCTCCTGCTTTGCATTGCTTGCATGTACGCACATATTTCTATGGCAAGGTTTATCACTGCACATTCTTTTGGACTGCAGCAATTCAGATAAGATAACATGAGATGAGATGCTGTCAAAAGAACACCTGCCCAGGAACAGCATCTCCACCAATGAACACACAAGAACTCTGGCTTTGAGCCTTCAGAACCAAGGAATTCTCTTCTGCCCTCTCTCCTCTCCCCTCTCCCCCGTCCCCTGTCTTCTCTCTCCTCTCCCCTCTCCCCTCTCTCCTCTCTCTCTAAAGAAACTGGAGCCTCATCACATTGCCCAGGCTGGTCTCAAACTCCTGGCCTCCAAAGACCCTCCCGCCTCAGCCTCCCACATAGCTGTGATTACACGTATGAGCTACCATGCCCAGCTATGAACTCTGTTTCTAAGCAGCTTATGTGAACTTCTCCCTTTTGCCAAGAAAAATTCCCTTTACTCTTCCCTCACTGCACGTGCCTGTGGTTTACAGTAGTGCATTCCAAATCATAACCCTCTTTTCTTATTCCTGAATAAATTTGACATATTTGGGGATATCTGTCTCTAATTTTTTTGTTGTTGTTGACACTGCATTTTACATATGAGATTCAGACAAGGTCAGTCACCTGCCTAGGGTCTGGTAGTCAGGTAGCAGCAGATTCAAGCCTGGCTCTATCTCCTAAGCCTCTGCACTACCCCCTGCCCTTGTTTGCTGGCCTGAACTCCTTCCTCTCTAGGAGTGGTTGCTGGACTGCTGTCTCCCCTCCCTGTGCTTATTACCTTACCCTCTGACTATGTTAGAGAAGGCATATGAAGGCCCCTGCAGACAGGATGTGCGGCTCTAGTAGGTGCTAGTCACATGATAATGTGATCATGTGTGAGTGGTGCCACTGGTACTTGTCCAGTGTATAACCCAGCGACACTAAACACAGTGACCCTGAGGCTAAGTGAAGCCTGAGCTGAGGCTAGAGCTGAGACAGGTGCCCACGAGCAGCGGCTTGTGCTCCAGCCGGGGCTGCTGTTCCCTGTTACATATGCATATATGGTGCACTGTCAGCATGGACAAGGACTGCCTGGGTGGCTGTTTTGATTCGTCAGGGAGCCAGAGTGACTGTCAAATGATTTCACAATTCTAGCTTCATTCGTCCCTATAACCATCTCATCTACTTGTCTAACTTTCTCTCTCTCCTCTTCCTGCCTTTCTCCTCTCCTCCCTTGTTTACTTCCTCCCTCCTAATCTCCTCACTTTCTTTTCAACTATGAAAGTAATATATACTTGTTTCCAAAAATTTAAACAAGACAGCAATGAACAAAATAAATGTGAAAATCCATCACTACTTCACCCCCTGACAAATCCAGATCCAGAAGTATCTACAGTTTGGTTTACATATTTTCATAAGGTTTTCTATATATTTTCAAGCAACTCCATATATAGTTTGAGTGGTTTTAAACATTTTCAAAGTCTCACACTGCACTTATTGTGCATATTGCTTTCCCACACAACGTATCAAAACATATCAAAGATATCCATTCACTTTTTTTTTCTTTTGAGATGGAGTCTCACTCTGTTGCCCAGGCTGCTGTGCAGTGGAGTGATCTTGGCTCACTGCAACCTCCGCCTCCCAGGTTCAAGCAATTTCTTGCCTCAGCCTCCCGAGTAGCTGGAACCATAGGCACGCACCACCACGCTCGGCTCATTTTTGTATTTTTAGTAGAGATGGGGTTTCACCATGTTGGCCAGGGAAGAGGGGAGATAGGAGAGGAGAGAGGAGAGAGGGAAGAGGGGAGAGGAGAGTTCATCACTTGAATGAACTCCTGGCCTCAAGTGATTTGCCCGCCTTGGCCTCCCAAAGTGCTGGGATCACAGGTGTGAGCCACTGTGCCCAGCCTTTTTTTTTTTTTTTTTTTTTTTTGAGATGGAGTCTCGCTGTGTTGACCAGGCTGGAGTGCAGTGGTGCAATCTCAGCTCACTGCAACCTCTGCCTCCCGGGCTCAAGCAATTCTCCTGCCTCAGCCTCCCAAGTAGCTGGGGTTACAGGTGCCTGCCACCACGCCTGGCCAATTTTTGTATTTTTAATAGAGACAGGGTTTTACCATGTTAGCCAGGCTGGTCTTGAACTACTGACATCAAATGATCCGCCTACCTTAGCCTCCCAAAGTGCTGGGATTACAGGCATGAGCCACCATGCCGGGCCTCCATTCACTTTTGTGGGCATGGCTGTCCATGTGCAAGATGACTTATAAATGTAAATAACTGTGTCCAGTTTTGTAGTTAATTTAGTATCCAACCAACAACTTTGCATGTAGTAGGTGTGTGACAAATATTTGTTAAAGAAAATAGAATCTGAGGCTGGGCACGGTGGCTCATGCCTATAATCCCAGCACTTTGGGAGGCCGAGGCAGGTGGACTGCCTGAAGTCAGGAGTTCGAGACCAGCCTCGCAAATATGGAGAAACCCCGTCTCTACTAAAAATACAAAAACTAGTCAGGTGTGGCAGTGCGCACCTATAATCCCAGACCTGGGTGGGGTGAGGCAGGAGAATCGCTTGAACCCAGGAGGCAGAGGTTGCAGTGAGCCAAGATTGCACCGCTGCACTCAAGCCTGGGCAACAGAGTGAGACTGTCACAAAAAAAAAAAAAAAAAAAAAAGAAAGAAAGAAAATAGAATCTGAGCCTGACCAAACTGCTAGATCCAAGTGTCAGGTTCCTGGAAATGCAGAAGGTAGAGGAACATGTTAGACTATGCCAGAGGAACACATTCTGCCAAATCTAGAGTAGAGGGAATTTTACAGGACAGATTACATGGCTTCTTTAACAAATAAGTGACAAGAAAAAAGAGATGGATAAAGAGGAAATCTACGAATTAAAAATCTTAAGGGGCTGAGCACAGTGGCTCATGCCTGTAATCCCAGCACTTTGGGAGGCTGAGGTGGGAGGATCACTTGAGCCCAGGAGTTTGTAGAACCAGGAGTTCCAGACCAGCCTGGGCAACAAAGTGAAACCTTGTCGCTATAAAAGATATGAAAATTAGCTGGGCATGGTGGTAGGCACCTGTGGTCCCAGCTACTCAGGACGCTGAGGTGGGAGGATTGCTTGAGTCTGAGAGGTGGAGGTTGCAGTGAGCTGAGATTGCACCACTAAACTCCAGTCTGGGCTCCAGTCTGGGCAACAGAGCAAAACTCACTCTCAAAAAAAAAAAAAAAAAGAAAAGAAAGAAAGAAAACAACAAATCTTGGTCAGGCACAGGTGGCTCATGCTTGTAATCCTAGCACTTTGGGAATCCAAGGTGGGTGGATCACTTGAGGCCAGGAATTTCAGACCAGCCTGGGCAACATGATGAAACCGCATCTCTACTAAAATTACAAAAATTAGCCAGGTGTGGTGGTGCATGCCTGTAATCTCAGTTACTCGGAGGCTGAGGCACAAGAATCACTTGTACCTGAGAGGTGGAGGTTGCAGTGAGCCAAGATCGTACCACTGGGCAACAGGGCGAGACTCTGTCTCAAATAAAATAAAATAAAAATATAGTTATTGTTATTATTTCCAGGAAAAAAGGTGGGTAGGAGATGGATGAAATATGATTTGGCTATGTGTTGACAAGTATTTATTACACTATTCTATCTTTGTATGAAATTTTACACAGTGAAAGTTTAAAAACTTGTTAAAGGAATGAATCTGTACTTGGTAGAAACAAAGAAAGTCATGTAGAAAATACTAGTAAATATAGCATTAAAAATAATTAAAATGTACTTCCTTTTCTAAGCCAGGAACTAAAGACCACTGCAGTAATAAAAACTCTTTCTGAGGTTTAAAAATACAGTGTTTTCATTTGGTATATATTTAGCAGTACATGAAACCATTTGTAATAATGTTTAAATATTTTTTACCTTCCAGCATACACCATTTTACACCACCCCTATGGAAATTATTATTACTTATTTAATTAGTTTTAGAGACAGGGTCTCACTCTGTCACCCAGGCTGGAGCACAGTGGCTTGATCACGGCTCAATGCAGCCTTGACTACCTGGGCTCTAGCAATCTTCCTGCCTCAGCCTCGCAAGTAGCTAGGACTGCAGGTACACGCCACCATGCCTGGCTAACTTTTTTTTTTTGAGACGGAGTCTCACTCTGTCGCCCAGGCCGGAGTGCAGTGGCGCTATCTCGGCTCACTGCAAGCTCTGCCTCCCGGGTTCACACCATTCTTCTGCCTCAGCCTCCCAAGTAGCTGGGACTACAGGCACCCGCCACCGTTCCCGGCTAATTTTTTGTATTTTTAGTAGAGACATGGTTTCACCGTGTTAGCCAGGATGGTCTTGATTTCCTGACCTCGGATCCACCGGCCTCAGCCTCCCAAAGTGCTGGGATTACAGGTGTGAGCCACCGCGCCTGGCCAATTTTTTTTATTTTTGTAGAAACAGGGTCTCTACATGCCAGGCTGGTCTCAAACTCCTGATTTCAAGCAATCCTCCTGCCTTGGCCTCCCAAAGTGCTGGGGTTACAGGTGTGGGCCACCACTTCCAGCCTTATTTATTAATTAAGGCAGATCATGAAACTTCTACTGGGCAAAACCTATCTTAGAATTTGGGATAATGAAATACTTAAAAACTGTTTAAAATTCTATAATTCAAACTTTTCACAATGTAATTAGGCCTTTCCTGCTTGAATAAATCCTGGAGTGGTCCAATTTTGAATAGGGAAAGATCAAAACTGAAGGTGCTACTCCAGAAAGGTGGCTCTTTTGTCTTTCATTTTGTCTTTTAAAGAACTGAAAAATTTAGCCAGGCACAGTGGCTCACGCCTGTAATCCTAGCACTTCGGGAGGCCTAGGTGGGTGGACTGCCTGAGCTCAGGAGCTCAAGACCAGCCTGGGCAACATGGCAAAACCCCATCTCTGCTAAAAATACAAACATTAGCCCATCTTGGTGGTGCACACCTATAATCCCAGCTACTCAGAAGGCTGAGGCAGGAGAATCACCTGAACCAGGGAGGGAGAATTTGCACCGAGCTGAAGTCATGCCACTATACTCCAGCCTGGGTGGCAGAGCAAGACTGTCTCAAAAAAAAAAGAAAGAAACATTTAAGCAAAAATTATCTACTTACTTGGGGAACCATTTGGCATGTTCCTTCCAAGGATCATCTCCTTCTTCCCAATTTCCTAAACATCCACCACAGGAAAAACACTGTACCGTGTCCTGTTTACCTATATATGAAGGAAAATATTTAGATTGCCTGGCAGTGGCACCAGGGGGTATGTACACAGAGTTGATTGTTTTGTTCAGGAGCAAGACAAGCTCCAGCGTGGCTGTGCACTCCCGATCTCATTGGCCTGAGTCTCCATCCTCAATCCCACCACCCAAAATGGGCCCCTCCACCACAGCCGTGCTCTAGGTACAGAACCCTAAGCTGTGTAACTCAATATCCTGCCCCAGCTGCCCCCCAGAGCTGGTATGTTGCTCTTTGAGCTCTCAGGGTCAAAGTGATAGGGAAGCCGACTAACACCAGGACCAGCTGAAGTAACGTGCAATTAGAAAACCTACGTTTTAGCCTTGCCATGACATTTCGGTAGAAACATAGGCATGTTTCTTAAAGTCTCTGAGCCTCCATGAACTCAGCTGTGAAATGGGAGAGAAAGGGGTAAATTCATTGGATAAGAATTAGTACTCACTCTATGCCTAGCATAAAGTAGGTACAGTACTCAGTAAATGATCGTTGTTATTGTTAGAACTCTGATTTATATATCATAACCCCTATGGCGGGGCTAGGACAAACAAACAAAACCCTCCAATACTGCAGCAATGAGAAGAATCAAAGAAAGATCATGTAAGAGCAGTAGAAGGAGGGTGGGTGAGGAGACTGGGATCAGGATGACCGCATGAGTTATTTAATCTTTTCAGGACCTTAAGAATACAGCCAGTATTTTCTAAGGTCCAAGTTTAAGGAGACGTAACTTTCTTATTTTATATATATTTGACAAATTAACACAGGCTGTACTAAATAGAAAATGAAGCAAAAATAAAAATATTGATGTTGAATTTTAATAAACTAGACCTTATACCTAATATAACACATTTAACCAGTGAAGAAAGTTTAGCAAAATATTGCAAAAGCAATTGAAAAATAAAACCTAAACTTAAAACGCCAGAGAAACACTTCAGAGAATAATTTCAAGGTACCTGTAAAGACAAAGCCAGCCTCTGAGAGCACACAAGGGGATATCCCTTGGACATAAAATGGCCAGTTCCTGAAGGATGCAAGTCTAGCCTCCTCTTCTTGGTACCTCATTTTACCTCCTCTCAGCCTGCTCTTCAGATTCTTCACCCTTATGTCGTACTTGGCAATGTTACCAACATCCTTGTTCAAAAGGAACCCACAATCTGGATGAAACCTCTTGTGGTCTTCTATGGGGAGTCTCGTGAGGCCGGCACCAAAGAGGATTAGGCTACAGCAGAAGCACTGAATCCCAGATTTTACCCCAGTGAAGTAAAACCCAGCGGCCGCCATCTCCTGTGGTATCCATGAGCTGTACGGCTCATAAGTCACAAAAGTCTTTAACCTTTTTGCTTCACTGCGCATTTGAGAGTTGTAGCCTTTCTGCATTTTTGCTCGCTCCTTCTGCTCCTCTTCTTCTAGTTCCTTTGCCAACTGAACTGCATCTAGGCCCAGAAGAGCAGACAGCTCTGGCAGCAAATTGTGATCAAACTGGGAGATCCTCTCGTCAGAGGCTTTCTGCTGGGTGGCCATTTTCTGAAAAGGAAAATAAAGCAGGTTGATCCCTTATAGTAAGATTTTTCTTAGAAGAGCATTTCCCACTGTTTCCGAAGAAACCAGGAATTAAAGGAATGCCTGGAATTTCAACACAAAAGATAAATTGTTGGAAAATTATGAAACATCAGTATTCATCTACTTAATCAACAAATATTTACTAAGCACCTACTATATATCAGGTACAGTGCTAGACATTGGGGATCTAGCAACCAACAAGACAGACACCCATCTGCCTCCATTCATGAAGCTTTCCAGATATCAGTTATGGACACAATGTGGTAACATGAGCATATACTGAACATTTATATTAAAGAAAAACATAGACAAAATTGTATAGCCTGGCAGCAACAATTTGATCGAATTACTCAGTTTTAAAAAATCATTATTTTGTGTTCATGTTTTAAGTCTCGGTGCTCTGGCCGGGCGCGGTGGCTCACGCCTGTAATCCCAGCACTTTGGGAGGCCGAGGCAGGTGGATCACGAGGTCAGGAGATGGAGAACATCCTGGCTAACAAGGTGAAACCCCATCTCTACTAAAACTACAAAAAAAATTAGCCGGGCGTGGTGGCGGGCGCCTGTAGTCCCAGCTACTCGGGAGGCTGAGGCAGGAGAATGGCGTGAACCCAGGAGGTGGAGCTTGCAGCGAGCCGAGATCGCGCCACGGTACTCCAGCCTGGGTGACAGAGCAAGACTCCGTCTTAAAAAAAAAAAAAAAAAAAGAAGCTCAGTAACAGGCCAATGACTGTTTTTCAAAGGACATATACCTGCCAGAAGCCTCGGGTAACTTTCTAGTGTCAAATCCCCATGACCATCCCTGAGGGGCAGTCACGGGCTTTGGTAAGAAGCTCCATCAGCGTGAGTCGGTTGCTGACATTGCTAACATCATTTGAACACTGAGGTGCTATGGCCCCAAAGTAATCTCTTCGAAGTTCCCAAAAAGTCTCCCATTTGTTCATTTTTCAAAGCCCCATGTAAATTAGCTCCCCATTCCCTCTTAACTTCGAGAATAAGGGTTGATAAAATTCCCAAACATGGTATGTGATTTCTCCAGGAACCAAGAAATTGAACTAATTTTCGTGCCTTTTTCCTCTGTCTTGTAGCTAGCAACTTAATTTTGGTTGTTTGGGAATGTTTCTAGTGGCTCTAGCCCAAGTAATTCCTCCTTTTTTTTTTTTTTTAGACAGTCTCACTCTGTCACCCAGGCTGGAGTGCAGTGGCGTGGCCTCGGCTGACTGCAACCTCCGCCTCCTGGGTTCAAGCAATTCTCCTGCCTCAGCCTCCTGAGTAGCTGGGATTACAGGCACGTGCCACCAATTGCGGCTAATTTCTGTATTTTTAGTAGACACAAGGTTTTGCCATGTTGGCCAGCTTGGTCTCCAACTCCTGACCTCAAGTGATCCGCCTGCCTTGGCTTCCCACTCTTGTCCTTGTCGCCCAGGCTGAAGTGCAGTGGCGCAATCTCAGCTCCCACACCGGGATTACAGACGTGAGCCACCACACCCAGCCTAGCCCAAGTAATTTCTAAGAATTTTACCATTTATTCTAAGCCTTGCATTTTAGCCAGTTAATCATCCCTCCCTGGTGGTTATATGATTAACAAGCACTTCCAATTCAGTCTTAGCTGGATATTTGGATTGAGAGATTAACATTATTATCATCAATATAATAAGACATAGTATTAGCTGGGCGCAGTGGCTCATGCCTGTAATCCCAGCACTTTGGGAGGCTGAGGCGGGCAGATCACCTGAGGTCAGGAGTTCAAGACCAGCCTGGCCCACATGGTGAAACCCCATCTCTACAAAAATAAAAAAAATTAGCCGGGCATGATGGTGGGTGCCTGTAATCCCAGCTACTCAGGAGGCTGAGGCGGGAGAATCAGTTGAACCTGGGAGGCAGAGGTTGCAGTGAGCCAAGATCTCGCCATTGCACTCCAGCCTGGGTGACAGAGTGAGACTCCATCTCAAACAAACAAAAAAAAGATATAGTATTTTCCAGTGCAATCAAATCTAAGTTGTTCCTCATTAGGTTGTAGCAATAAGCAAGATAATTTAAATGTCCTGTGGGAGCAGCTTAAATGTGCATTGGTGGCCTTTCCACACAAATGCAAATTGATTATGATTTTCTCCTGAAATAGGAATCAAAAAGAAAGTAAGTGGCCAAGTGTGGAGGCTCACACCTGTAATCCCAGCATTTTGGGAGGCCAAGGTGGGAGGATTGTTTGTGGCTAGGAGTTTGAGGCCAGTTTAGGCAACTTAGTGAGATCCTTGTCTCTACAAAAAATTTTAAAAATTAGCCAGATGTGTTGGCACATGCCTGTAGTCCCAGCTACTCGGGGAGCAGAGGCAGAAGGATCACTTGAGCCCAAGAATTCAAGGTTACAGTGAGCCACAATTATGCCACTCACTGTACATTTCATGAAATCTCTTTCCTCAACAGCATCCCCATTCAGATGTCACATCCATTCCGATAATATATCAGGGAGAGATGATAACAATTATGCAATTATATTGCATAATTGAATTATATTGAAATATAATCCATCGGGAGCAGTGGCTCATGCCTGTAATCTCAGCACTTTAGGAGGCCGAGGTGGGTGGATCACCTGAGGTCAGGAGTTTGAGACCAGCCTGGCCAACATGGCAAAACCCCATCTCTACTAAAAATACAAAAAAAAAAAAAAAAAGAAATTAGTCAGGTGTGGTGGCACGTGCTTGTAGTCCCAGCTAGTTGGGGCTGGCTGTGGTGGCTTACACCTATAATCCCAGCACTTTGGGGGGCTGAGGCCAGGAGTTCAAGACTAGCCTTGCCAACATGGTGAAACCCCATCTCTACTAATAATACAAAAAAAATAGCTGGGCATGGTGGCGCATGCCTATAATCTCAGCTACTCGGGAGGCTGAGGCAGGAGAATTGCTTGAACCCACGAGGCAGAGGTTGCAGTGAGCCGAGATCGCACCACTGCACTCCAGCCTAGGCGACAAGAGTGAAACTCCATCTCAAAAAAAGAGAAAGAAATATAATTCACACATCATAAAATTCACCCATTTAAAATGAACAACTGAGGGTGCGGTGACTCATACCTATAACCCCAATGCTCTTGAGGCCAAGGCGGGAGGATTGCTTGAGACCAGGAGTTGAGATCAGCCTGGGCAACATAGCTAGACCCTGTCTCTAAAAAAACTTTTTTTTTAAGAAAACGAAAACTTAGCGGGGCATGGTGGCATGTGCCTGTAGTCCTAACTACGTGGGAGGCTGAGGTGGAAGGATCTCTTGAGCCCAGGAATATGAAGCTGCGGGGAGCTATGATTGCAGTACTATACTCCAGCCTGGACAACAGAGTGAGGCTCTGTCTCTAAAAAAAGTAAATAAAATGTACAGTTCAATAAATATCAGCATATTCATAAACATGCACAACCACCACCACAATCAATTTTAGAACATTTTCATCCCCCCAGAAAGAAACGCTGTGCCCATTAGCAGTTGCTTTCCATGTCCCCCGTTACCCTCCTAGCCCTAGGCAACTACTATGTTACTTTCTGTCTCTATAGATTTGCCTACTGGGGACATTTCATTTAAATTGAATCATACAGTACGTGGTCCTTTGTGTCTGGTTGCTTTCACTTTGCAAAATGTTCATGTTGGTAGAGGTGCTTAAAAAATAAAATAAAAAGAACAACAAAAAAAGGAAGCGAAATTCATCCATGTTGTATTGTTTTAGTACTTCATATTCCTTTTCATTGTCAAATAATATTTCATTATGTGGATATACCACACTTTATTATCACATATACCATATTTTATTCCTCAACCCAGTTGATGGATGTGTGGATTGTTTACGCTTTTTGGCTATTATAAATAGTACCGCTGTGCACATTAGTGTGCAAGTTTTTATATGGACATTTTTCACTTTTTTTTTTTCTTGAGACAGGGTCTTGCTCTGTCACCTAGGCTGGAGTGCAGTGGCTTGATCACCATCCATTGCAGCCTCAACCTCAAGGGCTGAAGCGATCCTCCCACCTCAGCTTCCCAAGCAGCTCGTACGACAGGAGCACACCACCATTTTTTATAGAGACAAGCGTGTTGGGGGTGTTGGTGGGGGGGGTCTCACTATGTTGCCAAGTTGGTCTCAAACCCCTGGGCTCAAGTGATCCTCCCACCTCAGCCTCCTAAAGTGCTGGGATTACAGGCCTGAGCCACCACACCTGGCCCATTTTTCACTCTTAAACTTACAGTTGTATTGTCATACTAAACTAAGTTAATTGCCGTTTAATTTTTTATTAGCAGGTATAACAATACATTATGCACCATGGTCCAACAATGACAATAAAGTTTTTCACCACTCCGGGCATTTTATCCACACCAATGTAAATGTCCTTGGGTCCCATAGCACCAAGAGACTCTGCCACCCTTTTCTTTACATCACACTGCTTTAAAGTGACTGTAGATTCTGCTTTTGCATCATCCTAAAGGTTTATTTGTTTAATTCATCAAGACTAGGATACATTAGAAATCTTGACTGGGCACAGTGGCTCACACCTGTAATCCCAGCACTTTGGGAGGCTAAGGTGGGAGGATTGCTTGAGCCCAGGAATTTGAAACCAGCCTGGGCAACAAAGTGAGATGGAGTCTTGCTCTGTTCACCCAGGCTGGAGTGCAGTGGCACAATTTTGACTCACCGCAACCTCTGCTTCCCAGGTTCAAGCAATTCTCCTGCCTCAGCCTCCTGAGTAGCTGGGATTACAGGCATGTGCCACCATGCCCGGCTAATTTTTTTATTTTTAGTAGAGACAGGGTTTCACCATGTTGGCCAGGCTGGTCTCGAACTCCTGACCTCAGGTGATCCACCCGCCTCGGCCTCCCAATGTGCTAGGATTACAGGTGTGAGCCACCATGCCCAGCCCTTTCCTTTTTTTTTTTTTTTTTTTTATAGGAGACAAGGGCTCACTCTGTTGCCAAGGCTGTAGTACAAGTGCAGTGGCATGATTCTAGCTCACTGCAGCCTCAGATTCCTGGGCTTAAGCAATCCTCTTGCCTCAGCCTCTCAAAGTGCTGGGATTACAGGTGTAAGCCAGGACACCCGGCCTCCTTTCTTTTGAATGATATTAATCTGTTCATCATTCAGCACAATTTGGAGCAAAGGAACTAGTAAGTCTTCAACAGGCTTTCACTTCATCCTGCTCCCCCAGTAGTAGGGTCATACAAAAAGTCTACGAAGGTAGAGGCCCTCTTATCACAGCAACAATCATCACTTAAGTCAAAGACATAAAATTAAGGGATACCTTAGTTTCATCACAGAACCAGTCCAAATGTGTTTGTTTGCATTCTCAACATTTCAGTAACCTCTAGGGAGTATTTCTTCTAACAATTATGGGTGGAATTGGGCAGTTCCCCTTTACAAGATATGTTTTATGTACTGCCACCTTTGTGCAGCTCAACCGATTTGGAATTTGCCCAGCTAACCACATTCCGGCAAAAGCTGCAGCTAATTGAAGATCTTCAACGAATTCAGCTAATTAAGACCAAACACACCCTTTCATTTGAAGGTACATTTGACAGTACCTAATACAAGGAAAAGAGCTCCTTTGTCATTCATGTATATCCAACCCAGCAGTGGTTCTGCAGGAAGCTCTGTCAGTCCACAGGCAACTTCACTCTTGTGTAGTTCCCTGTTTCAGTTGTCTCTTGATGCCCTCCCACTGTAGTTTCGTTGGTGATTATCTACCCGATGAGGGTCACATTCCCATCAGAAGAAATATCTGCCCAACTCCTCTTTGGCATCATGTTCCTTCCCTTTACAGAAGGAAATTGGTGGACTTGGCAACACAGGCTCTTTTTTAGTTACTTTCATTTTTGCCAAAGCAGCCTAACCAGCCAGGGAACTGTATTCTTGGCTGACTTCCTCTGTGTCTGGATTTCTTTTTAAATCTATTTAGCGATTTCCTCTTGCTCTGCATCAACCACCTTCAAGTTCCATTGTCATCCCTTTCTTCCCATTGAGAGTTGTAGCACTTCAGCAAATTCAAACAGGGATTCCCCAGCAACTAGCCTGGCACCAGTGGCTCTAAATCTTTCCCCACTTTTCATCTTTCTCCCAAACAAAGCCTTAGCTATCATTTAAATTATAAAGTAAAAAACTGGGGGGCCAGGCGCAGTGGCTCACACCTGTAATCCCAGAACTTCGGGAGGCTGGGACGGGCGGATCACTTGAGTTCAGGAGTTCAAGACCAGCCTGGCCAACATGGCGAAACCCCATCTCTACTAAAAATACAAACAAATTAGCCGGGCGTGGTGGTGCATGCCTGTAATCCCAGCTACTCGGGTGGCTGAGGCACAAGAACTGTTTGAACCCAGGAGGCAGAGGTTTCAGGCTTCAGTGCCACTGCACTACAGCCTGGGCAACAGTGTGAGACCCTGTCTCGAAAAAAAAAAAGAAAAAAAAAAACCTGGGGCCAGGCGCAGTTGCTCACACCTGTAATCCCACCACTTTGGGAGGCCAAGGCAGGCAAATCACTTGAGCCCAGGAGTTCGAGACCAGCCTGGGCAACATGGTAAGACTCCAGCTCTACAAAATAATTTTTTTAAAAGTTAGGCAGCCGTGATGGTGTGCGCCTATAGACCCAGCTACTCGGGAGGCTGAGGTGGGAGGATCTCTTGAGCCCAGGAGGTTGAGGCTATAGTGAGCTGTGATCAAGATACTGCACTCAACTTGGGTGACAGAGTGAGAGAGACCCTGTCTCAAAAACAAAAAAAAAGTAATGATCCTATTCACAGTACCCTCTTCATCAATTACACAGGTTTGGATCATTGAAAAGACTTAGAAGACTCCGCATAGTATCC
Organism: Homo sapiens; assembly: GCF_000001405.40. NCBI lineage: Eukaryota > Metazoa > Chordata > Mammalia > Primates > Hominidae > Homo > Homo sapiens. The sequence goes on from NT_187651.1 coordinate 568,159, forward strand.
TCACATAAGGCTTTAATAAAGGTAAAGGATAGATACAAAAAAAAAAAAAACCCAACAAACCAAAAGGCAAGTGAAACACCACACCCAGTTCCTAGGGTCCTTTTGCAGCCACAGAGGATGTGGAAGATGTGCTTCATCTTTAAGCAATGAACCAGCTAGATGATACATGCAAGACACCTTGGTCTCAAGAGAACTGTAACCTCATCTGAGGCTCTTTTATACTCCTCTGATCAGGTAGCCAACACTAGCTTGCATACCAGGGCTCAAAACCAGAAACAAGCTGGTATAGTCAAGCTGGGGCAGTGACATGCACCTGTAATCCCAGCTACTTGGGAGGCTGAAGTGGGAGGATCACTTGAGCCCAGAAGTTCAAAGCCAATGAGATTTCATCTCCAAAAAGAAAGAAAGAAGCAAGAAACAGGCTGCTCCCTGGTCTGTCTCCCACCCCAGCACAGGACTCTATTAATCACTGGCTAGTACATTTCATTTAGGTTTGGCCAAGGAACAGCACCAAGGCTTCAGGCCTCCCCAGAGATAAATGAGTACAGAGTTGCAGCAGACCAGCAGACATTGATCCTGTCTGACACAACGAAGTTTGGTGGTCAATCATGCCAGTCTAGAGGCTGTTTCTGGGGGAGGAGAAGTAATTTCCAAGGCCCTTTCCAGGTCTAATATTCTTTGACTACAGTGCTAAGAGTGCCATTGAGGCAACTGTGCCATGGAGCTAGGATTTAAACCCAAGTCTGTGTGACTCCAGTGTCTGTCCTCTTTCCTCCATACCATCCTGCCTCCAAAGAGAGAAACAATAGCAAGACAAAGAAGGGACCATAGGTTTAGGTGTGGAAGAAAAGCACCTTTGCCAGGGATAGTAATTTACTTACCTGAGGTTTATCCACAGTTCTAGTCTAATAGAGGAGAATGCTGGCCAGTGGAAGGAAAGTATGTGGCTGAAGAACAAATGCTCTGTCCGTCCTTTAGTAGGAAGCAGTGAGAAAATATTTAAGGAACTAAAATGCAAAAAAAAATCGCGCAGTCAGAGACTTTACCAGTAAATGCTCTAAGGTCTTGAGTCAACAGGATTTAATCAGGACCCAAAAGGAGTAATGAAACCTACAGAGTCTCACACCAGAAGTATTTTATTCTAGTTTTTTTGTTTCTGTTGTTTTTGAGACAGTGTCTCACTCTGTCGCCCAGGCTGGAGTACAGTGGCACGATCCTAGCTCACTGCAGCCTCAAGCTTCCAGGCTGAAGCGATCCTCCCATCTCGACCTCCCAAAGTGCTAGGATTATAGGCATGAACCACCACATCCGGCCTTTATTCTAGTTTGTTAAGATTGGTTAATAGTTAAGGTGCTAGTGTCTTATTTCTGTTATAGTAACAGTTTCTATCTTTCTGGTAGCTTTTAGGATCTTTTCTCCTAAGTGTAGACCTCTCTACATTCATTGGGCTGGGTATTCAATGGGCATTTTCAATCTGAGCTCTTGGGTCTCCCATCAAGCCTGGGAAATTACCTTCTATTATTTATTTGATAACTTCCTACTGTCTGTTACTCTCTTTTTACTCTTTTGGTATTCCCACTATTCAGGTGAGTAATTAATTGATCACTTATTTTTTTTTCATATATTCTTTTCCTACTTTCTAAGGGTCTCGCTCTGTCATCCAGGCTGGAGTGCAATGGCACAATCACAGCTCACTGCAGCCACCACCTCCTGGACTCAAGTGATCCTCCCACCTAGCCTCCCAAGTTTTGGGACTACAGACGTGTGCTACCATGCACAGCTGATTTTATATTTTATTTTGTGTAGAGATGGGGGTCTCACCTTGTTGCCCAGGCTGGTCTCAAACTCCCGGGCTCAAGTGATCTGCCGGCCTCAGCCTCCCAAAATGCTGGGATGACAGGTGTGAGCCACCGCACCCAGCTGTCCTCTCCTTTATATTCCGGCTCTCCAATCTAGTTTAAAATTTCAGCAATTATAATTTCCCACAGCTCTTTCTTTTCTCTGTGCCTTATTTTCATAGTGTCAATTTTTTTAACCAGTGCCATCTTCCTGAATCTGCTGTACGATACTAATGTTTAAGTTCCTGTTTCCTGAATTATGTTTCCTCAAAGGTTTTTACCACTTACCTTGGTGTTTACTTTTCATATTATCAACTTTCCTCAAATGTGTAGTGATCCTGGGTTTTCAACTCATGTTTAAAAATTAAGTCATTTAAAAACACATTGGTCAAACTAATCATTAAAAAATCAGGAGCCACAGGAGTGGGACTTGAACCTGAGCCTTTCACTCTATGGAGAACAAGAATTACCCTAATGTCAGAATGTCAGAGAAAGATTTCAGAAAATGATTTCAAGTTACTTGGGGTTTTTTTTGTTTTGTTTTGTTTTTGGAGATGGGGTCTCACTTTGTCACCCAGACTGGAGTGCAGTGGCACAATCTCGGTTCACTGCAGCCTCTACCTCCCAGGCTCAAGTGATCCTCTCATCTCAGCCCCACAATAGCTGGGACTACAGGCATGCACCACCACACCTGGCTAATTTTTGTATTTCTAGTAGAGACAGGGTTTCGCCATGTTGCCCAAGCTGGTCTTGAACTCTTGACCTCAAGCCATTTGCCCACCTCAGTCCCCCAAAATGCTGGGATTACAGTCATGAGCCACTGGGCCTGGCCCGTTACTTGTAAAGACAAAGCTAGCAGCCGAAAACTTACTTGGAACGTTCCTTGGACATAAAATCACCATTTCTTAAAAGGATTCTTAGTTTTGGGGTGCCAGTGCCCACACTGGTTCTCTAGGTCAGCTAAGAGAAAGCAATGTGTTCAATTTTGGGGGGAGCAGGGAAGACTCCTGTAATTTTTTGCCCCAGGGTAAACACTTGTGTGTCAAATATTCTGATCATGGGGTAGAGAGAGCTGACTGTCCCGTGCACGGGCTTCCAATTAGTCCCTCAATTTTCAGCCCTTCATGTCACTCCAGCCCTCCTTCCTATCTGGCATCCTGTGTCCGCAGTTACTCCAAGCTTCTCCATAGGGCAGATAGTCTCTCATAGGAGACTCCATATTCAGGAAGCGGTTTCCTTGAGCTGCTTCCTTCCTGACTACTAGTCCATATAGTTTCTACTTTCCAAGAATGTGTTAAAATATTCTATGTGCTACTGGTCCCATTTCTGTTCTATTTTATTTTTTTTTACCTTTAAACTCTGTTGGACTTGACATTCTTGTTTTCTTAATTTTCCTGGGTTTATACTTTTAAGAATCAGTAATATTGTGTATTTATTACCAAAAACATGAACTAAAATTTACATAGAGCCTATCAAGGAAAAACCATTTCTCTACTCACATTTCTGACATCAAATATATGGGTTTTCCACCAACCAATTCTCCAATTCTCCACAGACAGCAGCTGAGTGTCTTACAATTTTACTCAATTCTGATGCTAATTAACCAGAGTTAGTGCAGACCCCACGGGTTAGGGGCTCAGCCCCCAAGACTGCCCCCTACTTCAGATGCCAGCCACAACTATTAGGACCTCAGGGTACCCACACTTCTGTCTGAGTTCACTACAAATCATGGGTATCTGCAACCCCCTCAGGTTCGATAATTTCTTTCTTGGGGGTTGGGGGAGTTTAGGAGCAGAGGTTTAATAGGCAAAAGAAAGAAAAACGAGAACAGATCTCTCCCTTGTGAGGGGCTTCCGAAAGGAAAATCCGGCCTGCGGTGGACTGCACCAGATTTTATAGGTAGGCCTGAGGAGGCGGCGTCTGATTTGCGCAGAGCCCACAGGTTGGTTTGAACAGGTGTGACGTTTACATAGCACGCGGGGAAGGTTGGGCGCCCCACCCTAATCTTACTGTGACAAAGGGCAGAGTGACCTTGACATGCCATGTGCTTTCCAGAACAAGGGCAGAGAGTGACGCTCACTGTGGTGGGAGAGGAGACCCTCTGTTCCTAGAAAATCACAACAGCATGCCCCTGTGCTATATCCCTGGTTACTACAGCAGTCTTTGTTCTTGCCTAACAAGATTACTTCCCTGAACTGTAAAACTCCCTCAGTACTGCATACAGAGAGAGGTTAGGAGACATGGTGGTCGTGGATAGGAAATGAGGGAATTATGATAGGAAAGTTGGAGGTCCTGTTGCCGACACCCCTTAGGGTGGTCGGAGGCTGGGGTCAGTCCAGAAGCCTTCGGATGGCACCAGGAGGTAGCCCCAGCCAGAAATCCTCAGTTGCTCCAGGACCTCTTCCAGCCCCACACGACAGCTTGGTCCTCCGTGAAAGGAAACTGGTTCAAACATGGCCAATATGCCCAGCAGCCCGTGGGTATTGGGGGGTTCTCCATGTTCTCCCCAGCAAGCCTGTCCCCCAAAACTTGTAAGGCTGGCAGCCACGCTCATAATTTTTAAATGGCTAATTGGTGAAGGCAGAGTTTTCTCATTCACAGAAGCAGAAGGGGGCCCAGTATTTGGTTTGGTTTGATTCTAAAATGGAGGCCAAGAGCCTCGAAATCAAAGGACAGAGTTGAGGTCCGCCCCTTTACTCACCTTTGCAATGAATGCACCTTGGAATCCCAGACGAAGTCCCCAATATGAAGTGGCATTGTTGTCTGGGGTCAATACCCGGGGTTCGTCGTCTCGCACCAACAAGGTTAAGGACACGATACACACGAAGAGTGGGTTTAGGAGCGGAGGTTTAACACGCAAAAGAAAAAGGAGAACAGCTCTCTCCCTTGTGAGAGAGAGCGGCTTCCGAAAGGAAAATCCCAGGTTCGATCGTTTCTTATAATGGCTCACAGAACTCAGAAACTTTACTTATGTTTACTGCTTTATTATAAAGGATACAGATGAACAGGCAGTCGAAGAGGTACACAGGGCAACGTCCAGAAGGGTCCCAGGTGAGCACAGGACCTTTTGTCTTCATGCAGTTTGAGGTGCATCGCCTTCTTGGTATGTGGTTGGGGTTAACCAAACCGAAAGCTCTCCAAACCTGTGGTTTATTTTTTAATGGAGGTGCCATCACTTAGGCATGATTGGCTAAATCACTGGCAATTGGTGGTTAATCAATCGCCAGCCCTTTTACCCTCTCTGGAGGTCGAGGCGTGGGGCTGCAAATCCCAGACCTCTAATCATGCCTTAGTCTTTCAGGGGATAGCCCCCATCCTGAAGTTGTCTAAAGGATCCCAGCCACCAGTTAGCTCACTGTCATACACTCTTATCACTTGGAGATTCCAAAGGTCTTAGAAGCTCTTGTGTCAGGAACCAAGACCAAGTATTCTAATAAAAGATGTTTCTATCACCCCTGTCACTCAGGAAATTACAAGGGTTTCTGGAGATCTGTGCCAGGAACTGGATGAAGATCAAATATATATATTTATTATATCACAATATTGCAGCCTACTACTTGCCAGGCACAATTCTAAGCACTTTACATGTGTCCACTTAATTCCTTTAACAGTCCAAAATCAGCTATTGCTATATCATCTCCATATTACAGATAAGGAAACTCAAGCACATAGGGGTTAAGGTTAACCAGTGATCTGGCTAGTCTGTACTTTTACCTGATGTTGTGCTGCCATACAGACTAGATTTTTTTTTTTTTTTTTAGACTGAGTCTTGCTCTGTTGCCAGGCTGGAGTGCAATGGCGTGATCTCAGCTCACTGCAAACCCCGCCTCCCGGGTTCAAGTGATTCTCCTTCCTCAGCCTCCCCAGCAGCTGGGACTACAGGCACATGCCACCTCGCCCAGCTAATTTTTGTATTTTCAGTAGAGACAGGGTTTCACCATGTTGACCAGGATGGTCTCGATCTCTTGACCTCGTGATCCGCCCACTTCAGCCTCACCAAATGCTGGGATTACAGGCGTGAACCACAGCACCCAGCCAAGACTAGATTTTTAAGAAAAGGCAATCCAGATGTCCTAGAAGGTTCATTTCCTCTTTTTGGTGGTTTAGCAAATTTCTTAGTAAGGCTTCTAGCTGTTATAGCAGCATTAGTATGTGAACCACAGTTAAGCTCTAGTCCAACAAGGCCATTTCTTCAGCAGAGAAGCAATTGTTAAATAATCGACCAAGTATTCATTGGCTCCCTCTTTTTGTATCAACATACACAATTGTTACAGTGCCAGTGTTTATTGGAACCACTTTCCATGGTGCATCCAGCTGTGCCTAGACCAGCAGGTCTTTTTCCAGAAGTCCAGATGGCAGGGGAACCTCTTCACGTTGTTGACCCTTCTCCCTGTAATTTTTTCCCCAATAAACCTTTTCATTATGTTGCTGTATTTATACCCAAATACACATTACATTTATTTTAGTACCTTGTACATTTTGTTGCCCTTATAAATTGGAGGGGTTTTAAAAACTATTTTTTATTCTCAATATTCATTGATGATGTATAGGACTCCTTCTGGACTGTTTAATATATGACTGTAAATCCCCCTGAATTTTCTTAGATGTTTGTAGTATCTGATTATGACAGTTTTGTCTTTTATTTATTGCCTTGTTGCATTGATTAGGTCCTCTAATATAATGTTGCTTAATAATGAAGATAGATATCCTATCTTATTCTTGACTTTTGGTATAAATTCTTCTAAAGTTTGAGCATTAAACATGATGTTTGTTGTAGATTCTTAGTGGATACTCTTTAGCAGTTAAAGTAACTTCTCTTTTACTTCCAGTGACACTACTACCTAATTTGAAGAGAGGATTTGGAATTTTGAGTTTCAAAATAATACTGTTTTCAAACACTTTTTTAGCTAAAAAGTACACACACATAGGGCAGTGTTTTAAAGTTTAGCTACTTCAGGGCATATGTGTATACTCACTGAAGTTTTAATTTAATGGCTTATTGGTCATTCATGTATCTTCTTTGGTAAGGTAATTAAATTTTTTTCTTTTTTTTTAAAAGACAGAGTCTCGCTCTGTCGCCCAGGCTGGAGTGCAGTGGCACAATCTCAGCTCACTGCAACCTCCGCCTCCTGGGTTCAAGCGATTCCCCTGCCTCAGCCTCCCGAGTAGCTGGGATTACAGGCGCCCACCACCACGCCCAGCTAATTTTTGTATTTTTAGTAGAGACAGGGTTTCACCATGTTAGCCAGGCTGGTCTCGAACCCCTGACCTCGTGATCCACCCACCTCGGCCTCCCAAAGTGCTGAGATTACAGGTGTGAGCCACTGCACCTGGCCGTAATTAAATTCTTGACCCATTTAAAAAGTGCGTGTTTTCCTTTTTATTACTAAATTATAAGGATTCTTTATATATTTTGCATACTAGTCCTTTGTTAGATATTTACATTGCACATATATTCTCTCAGTCTGTTAACCATCTTTTCATTTTCTTAATGGTGTCTTTCAAAAAGAAGTTTTTAATTTTGATGAAGTCCAATTTTAATTTTTGTTATGATTGATAGTTTTTGTGTCCTAAGAAATCACTATCTACTCTAAAGTTGTGAAGATATTCTAAAAGTTAACATTTGTATTGTACAATATCAACTGTTAGTTGAGGATATGGAGCAACTGGAAGCTCATACATTAGTTGTGGGAATGTAAAATGGTATTAATACAATGTCTTTGGAAAAACAGTTCACTGGTGTCATGGAAAGCTAAGTATACTCTTGCCATACAATCTAGCAATTCCATTCCTACATATTTACCCAAGAAAAATGAAAACACATGAACACACAAAGATTTATACAATAATGTTCATAGCAACTTTATTCATAATAATAACCAAAAAATCAGAAACAACCCAATGTCCATTGGGGATAAACACATGGATAAACAACGTATCCATAAATGAAGTACAGGTGGTAAAAAGAAGCAAAGTATTGATATATGCAACAAATGAATAAGCTCAAAAACATTATGCTAAGCAAAAGAAGCCATACATATCATTTAATTTTTAAAAATTGTATATAACAGACAAATCTCATCTACAGTGACAGAAAACAGATCAATGTCACCGGCCGCTGGAACTCCTAGGGAGTACTCACTGCAAAGGAGCCCTTCTGGAGTGATGAAGATGTTCTCTCTCGATTGTGGTGGTCGTGGCATGGGTACAGAACACTTGTCAAAAGGCATGGAATTACTCAAGATGGGAGCATTTTTACTGTATGTTAATTATAACTCAATAAAATTGATTTTTTAAAATTCTAAATACATATATAAATACATTAATGTTTACAGAGCATTAAGAGAAGTGAAAAAGGTCGGGCGCAGTGGCTCACGCCTGTAATCCCAGCACTTTGGGAGGCCGAGGCGGGCGGATCACGAGGTCAGGAGATCGAGACCATCCTGGCTAACACGGTGAAACCCCGTCTCTACTAAAAATACAAAAAAACAATTAGCCGGGCGTGGTGGCGGGCACCTGTAGTCCCAGCTACTCGGGAGGCTGAGGCAGGAGAATGGTGTGAACCCGGGAGGCAGAAATTGCAGTGTGAGCCGAGATCGCGCCACTGCACTCCAGCCTGGGTGACAGAGCGAGACTCTGTCTCAAAAAAAAAAAAAAAAACAAAACAAAAGAGAGAAGTGAAAAAATAATTCCATGTTTGAGATTTGTTTTTTTTGTTTGTTTGTTTTCAGACGGAGTCTTGCTCTGTCACCCAGGCTGGAGTGCAGTGGCGCGATCTCGGCTCACTGCAATTTCTGCCTCCCGGGTTCACGCCATTCTCCTGCCTCAGCCTCCCGAGTAGCTGGGACTACAGGCGCCCGCCACCACGCCCGGCTAATTTTTTGTATTTTTAGTAGAGACGGGGTTTCACCGTGTTAGCCAGGATGGTCTCGATCTCCTGACCTCGTGATCCGCCCGCCTCGGCCTCCCAAAGTGCTGGGATTACAGGCGTGAGCCACCGCGCCCGGCCGAGATTTGTTTGTTTATAAAGTTACCTGAATTTGTTTTTTAAGTTTAGTAGAATTCTTTTATCAGGACCTGTTTTTAAGTTACCTATGTACCTCTCTAAATGGGATTACAGGCAGTAGCTCTCACACTTCAACATTTATGGTAACCACCTGGAGGATTTGTTAAAGCGGACTGCTAGACCCATCCTCAGAGTTTCTGATTCAACAGGCCTGTGATGGGGCTCAAGAATTTGCTTTTTTTTTTTTTTTTGAGATGGAGTCTCATTCTGTTGCCCAGGCTGCAGTGCAGTGGTGCGATCTTGGCTCACAGCAACCTCCGCCTCCTGGATTCAAGTGATTCTCCTGCCTCATCCTCCTGAGTAGCTGGGATTACAGATGCCCTTCACCACGGCCGGCTAATTTTTGTATTTTTAGTAGAGACAGGGTTTCACCATGTTGGTCAAGCTGGTCTCGAACTCGTGACCTCGTGATCTACCCACCTCAGCCTCCCAAAGTGCTGGGATTACAGGCATGAGGCACCGCGCCTGGCCAAGAATTTGCATTTCTAATGACTTCTTGGGTGATGCTAATGCTACTTACTGGTCCAAACACTACATTTAGAGTCACTGACTGTAGAGATCCTTAAAAGATCCCTATTCCTCCAAAGAGTCAATTCTTAATGCTTAAAACTTGAACTAGGCTGGGTACAGTGGCTAACGTCTGTAATCCCAGCACTTTGGAAGGCCTAGGAGAGAGGATCATTTGAGGCCAGGAGTTGACACGAGCCTGGACAGCACAGCAAGAGTCCATCTCTTAAAAAAAAAATTCAGCCAGGCATGGTGGTGCACACCTGTAGTCCTAGCTACTTGAGAAGCTGAATTGGGAGGATCACTTGTGCCCAGGAATTCAAGGCTGCAGTGAGTTGATTGTGCCATTGCACTCCAGCCTGAGAGACAGAGTGATACTGCCTCAAAAAAATAAAAATTTAAATTTAAAACAGAAACACAAAAAACCTAAATTATCCCCTAAGGCTGGCCACGGTGGCTCACACCTGTAATCCCAGCACTTTGGAAGGCCAAGGTGGGTGGATCACTTGAGGTCAGGAGTTCCGAGACCAGCCTGGTCAACATGGTGTGAAACCACGTCACTACTAAAAATACAAAAATCAGCCAGGCATGGTGGCACATGACTGTAGTCCCAGCTACTCGGGAGGCTGAGGCAGGAGAATCACTTGAACCCGGGAGGCAGATGTTGCAGTGATCCAAGATCATGCCACTGCACTCTAGCCTGGTTGACAGAGCAAGACTCTGTCACAAAAACAAAAACAAAAAGTAAATAAATTACCCCCTAGGAGGAGTATATCCCAGGAAAGTGTAACACCTGAAACTTAAAAGATTATCTGCCCTGATGATAAACGATAGAAAAGAGACAGGCCAGGCCAAAGTTTGTCAACTGGTGGACTGAAGATAAGTTTTATTTAGCCTCTGTGTTTTTCTAAATTAGAGGCTAACATCTCAAACTTGGGAGAATTCACTTTAAAAATCCAGTTTTTACGGCTGGGCATGGTGGCTCACGCTTGTGATTCCAATACTTTGGAAGACTGAGGTGTGCAGATTACTTAAGCTCAGGAGTTCAAGACCAGCCTAGGCAACATAGGAAGACACTGTCTCTACAAAAAAAAACTTTTTAAAAATTAGCCAGGCACAATGGCACACACCTGTGGTCCCAGCTACTAGGGAGTCTGAAGTGGGACCATCACTTGAGTCTGGAAGGTCGAGACTGCAGTGAGCCATGATTGCACCAATGCACTCCAGCCTGGGGAACAGAGCAAGGCTTTGTCTCAAAAAAAAAAAAAAAAAAAAAAAAAAAAAAAAAAAAAAAAAAATCCAGATTTAGTTTCTCTTTAAGTATCATTCCCAGAAGAAAAAAATAGGCTGGGGCCAAATAATGGTTACCTCACTTTATTTTTACATTTTTTTGAATTAAGTAACAAAATTTAAAAAATACAAAAGGATGTACAGTGAAAAGTACATCTCCCTTCTATCCCTGATCCCCAGACTCTCAGAGGCTGCCTCCTTTAGATGGGGCGGGTGCTTTCCAGATGTCCCCACTCTGCATCAACTGGCCCTCTTTCACTTATCTGCATTGTCTGCCTGACCCCTTTAGACATCTGAGCTGCCTCCCAACCCATTTTACCACGCCTCTCCTGCATCCCCTTAACACTTGGCATGTCTGTCGTTAGCACTTTCACACAAGCTTCTTTACAAGGCTGTGTCTTTTTAGATGGGGAGATTCACAGATGCATGAGGTTAGGTTTACATCTTCTTTTGACTATCTACATCCCTGATAACTAGGATGGTGTCAGACTTATGGCAGATGTACAAGTTTGTTGAGTGAATTAATAAATTAATGAATGGGCAAATTGTGTATTGTTTCCAGGGTCCTGAGGTGTGACGCAAATAGCAATTCAGTCAGGTGAAATCAATAATTTAGATCCCATCAGGATCCCAGCCGAGTCCCCAGTCCATCTTGTAACACTTCTCCCCAGAACATACTTAAATTACCTGGAAATAATGAATCCTCTGCCCTTACAGAACTGGATCCAAAGCAGGCACTAGGGCACTCTAAGACTACTTCTCAGAAGTGTGACAACCTCCTGTACCCTTTTTCTCCTTACTACAGGGCCCAAGGACTGAAACTTCTTACCTTTTCTCCTAAACTCTGCCACCCACTAATGGCCTCAGGACTGGGATTCCACTAACCCACTCCCCAAGGGCTGATTGCACCCTTTCTTTGTCACCACTCATGAAATCATTTCATGCTATGAATTGGCCAACCGTTCTAGAGATATAGCTGAACACAAACATGACCAGAAACATGAGGAAGTTATAAAGTATTGAGAAATCCTTCTAGAAGTAGATGCAATGCCACACCACTGAGCACGAGATCTGGCTTCCTGAGCAGTTACCAAAGGACGAGATGACACAGCCCTGTGGGCAAACTAGGATCAACGGGAAATGGAAGAACTTAGGAAACTAAGTTACTTCTCCTTCCTCCCTTCAATGGACTGCTCAGAGGGGCAGTTTCTCCTTATAAACCTTCTGGAGAAGCCCCACACTCTAAGTGAACACACTTGCTGGAAGGCTCCTGTATCTCGTCACAGCTTGTCATGAAGCCTGGTCACTGCAGTAACACAATGCATCACGTTTTTCCTTGCTTTGCTTTCCCTTTTCTTCCACACTCTCACCCCCCTAGATCTGTCCCTCCCTAATAAAGTAACAATACTTTCATCTTTGCCTCAGGTTCTACTTCCTAGGGGACCTAAGTTAAGAAATTCTTGTTGTTGACCAGGCGTGGTGGCTCACGCCTGTAATCCCAGCACTTTGGGAGGCCAAGGCAGATGGATCATGAGGTCAGGAGATCGAGACCATCCTGGCTAACACAGTGAAACCCCGTCTCCAGTAAAAATACAAAAAATTAGCCAGGCGTGGTGGCAGGCACCTGCAGTCCCAGCTACTCGGGAGGCTGAGGCAGGAGAATGGCATGAACCCGGGAGGTGGAGCTTGCAGTGAGCTGAGATCGCGCCACTGCACTCCAGCCTGGGCGACAGAGCGAGACTCTGTCTCAAAAAAAAAAAAAAAAATTCTTCTTGTTGTAATTTATTGTTGTTGCAATTTTTGTTTGTTGTAATTTCTAGGGTAACCACTGAAAGAATAAAAACAAAGTATACAATTTTCAAACTAGTGACGAAAAACATAGAATGGTAGAAAGTAAGTAATCAAAAAGAAGGCAAGAAGGAAAAGATCGTATCAAATATGTAGTTAAAAAAATTTAAAAAAACGAAAGATGGAATTGTTGGAACCAATAACACAAAGATAATAGACTTAAACCCAAATATATCAGTGGTAATCTTTTAATAAATATTTATATTTATTAGATATATTTATATATTTTAATATATAATATATTAAAATATATATTATATATAAATATATATAAATATATAAATATAAATATAAATAATATATTTATAAATATAATATTTATAATAAATAAAATATATCAGTGGTAATCTTTTAATAAGTAAATATATTTATTAAATATAAAAGGTACACAGTAAATATAAATGAACTAAATGCTTTAGTTAAAAGACAATAAAAATTATGAAATAAAAATGTATACACTTGAAAGTATTTAAAATAAATCTAATTTTCATAATGAATTTTAAGCATTAAGGAGTTTTGTAACTGAATAGTGGAACTCAGAAAGACATCCTATTCAGAAGGATCTCTCATGATAATAGTTTCCTTCACTATTGTAGTATACTGTAGAGTTTCAAGAAAAAAATTAAAGGCCAAAACTGTCTTACATTACCATTGCTGTTTCTGCAATCTTCAACAAACCAAAATTTTCTCTGTAATTGTGAAAAAAGAACTCCTCCTTAAGCATAACTAAAATTTTGCCTTAACCTTATCAAATACCCAAAACTGTAGAAAGAGATAAAGCTGTTAATAGAGACATGGGTATCCCTTTTTATCAGGTCAGGAGGGTAAGTCTCTAATAGAGAGTTCTAGTAACTTCTCAAAAGGTAACTAATGAAGGCCTTCCTTCTAAACCAGATAGGGGGAGATAGAATGCTCTGAGTATTAAAGGCATCTCCTGCAAGCCACTGATACCTTTGTTGACAGAGCACACAGAAGAAAATAGCAGTTACCAGGTTACCTATAGGTGAAATTTGTTTCCACATAAAGAACCACTGGGTCCAGGCTCATGGAGTATGACTCCTGAGAGAAACTCCCGTTACTCTGATCAGTGTGTGTGTGTGTGTGTGTGTGTGTGTGTGTGTGTGTGTATTAAAAATGAATATTCCTGGGCTCCCAATAAACTCTCCAGGGTGGGATTACGTTGTCTTTACTGATAATGTTCTTAACTAAAAATTCTTAGTTATAAAATCACAAATTTCGGCCGGGCACGGTGGCGGAGGTGGGTGGATGACCTGAGGTCAGGAGTTGGAGATCAGACTGATCAACAAGGTGAAACCCCGTCTCTACCAAAAATGCAAAAATTAGCCAGGCGTGGTGGCAGGCGCCTGTAGTCCCAGCTACTCAGGAGGCTGAGACAGGAGAATGGCTTGAGCCTGGGAGGCGGAGGTTGCAGTGAGCCAACAGCAGGCCACTGCACTCCAGCCTGGGCGATGGAGCAAGACTCCATCTCAAAAAAAAAAAAAAAAAATCACAAATTTCATAGTGAAACTCAAGTTAGAGTACCTGAAGTTTATATACATAAAATAGACATACCTTTGCTATGAAAGCCTGATTTACTCTTTTTTTTTTTTTTTTTCTTGAGACAGAGTCTAGCTCTGTCGCCCAGGCTGGAGTGCAGTGGAGCGATCTCGGTTCACTGCAAGCTCCGCCTCCTGGGTTCACACCATTCTCCTGCCCCAGCCTTCCGAATAGCTGGGACTACAGGCGCCCGCCACCAGGCCCAGCTAATTTTTTGTATGTTTAGTAGAGACGGGGTTTCACCGTGTTAGCCAGGATGGTCTCGATCTCCTGACCTCGTGATCTGCCCGCCTCGGCCTCCCAAAGTGCTAGGATTACAGGCGTGAGCCACCGCGCCCGGCTGAAAGCCTGATTTACTCTTAACTGGATATAACCAGAAAGAGTTCTGCCCACAATGATATATCTGCATTGAATCTAAAACACAGACTTCATCATACATTCTCACCTAAATTTCTCTGATGACCCAGAGTAAGGCAAAAGGTTTAGCATATGAGAGTGAAAGGATTTGAATCTCACTTTCTGTCAAACTTTAGAGCTCTGTTAACCATGGTTAGTATCAACTATGATTTTAGGCAACTTTGCTTATAGTAAAAATAACTCGTTAATTGTTACGTATCTGGATTGGGATGCACTATAAATAAATGGAGTCTTCAAGCTTTAGGCTTTCCTGAGTGTAGTGACTCTTGAAATTGACACATCCCTTGTGGATACCTGGAAGCTGTGTTTATGGAATTGTTAAGAGATATTGGTTCCTTGATGCCTGTGGAGGATCTTATCTCCTTGCACCCAAATTGTACTAGTGGACTGCTACAAGGACTTCCACTGCTAATGAGGACTGCTTGATGCTGTGCTGGCAGGCTGTTGTTTCTGTTTAATATCCTTCTGAGTAAGCGGGTACCAAGTATGGCCATGGCAGTCTTGTGAGTTTGAATGTTTAATGTAAAGTGACTTCTGTTGGTCATAGCCACAAATAATTTCAGATGTACTAACTTGATAAACATATTCCAGATGTTTGGTTAAACCTAAAAAGACCTCTCTGGTGGATGTAGCAGTACATCATTTCATATGTATTAATTTCATAACTTTTTTTTTTTTTGAGAGGGAGTCTCACTCTAGGGTGGAGTGCAGTGGCACAATCTCGGCTCCCTGCAACCTCCGCCTCCTGGGTTCAAGCGATTCTCCTGCCTCAGCCTCCCAAGTAGCTGGGACTCCAGGCGTGAACCACCATGCCCGGCTAATTATTTTTTGTATTTTTAGTAGTGACGGGGTTTCACCATGTTGGCCAGGCTGGTCTCGAACTCCTGACCTCAAGTGATCTGCCCACCTCAGCCTCCCAAAGTGTTGGGATTACAGGTGTGAGCCACAGCGCCCAGCCTAATTTCATAAGTATTGATAAATTTTCATCTTACACTGAATTTACATTCAGACTTAACTTTCTTCTTACACTAAATTAATGAATTAACATAAATCATAAAGATTCTATATTTAATTATAAAAACATAAAATTATCACATCAATTTAATTCTTATAAGTTTATACATACTGCATAATGACTTTGAAAACAGTATAACTCAAAATAATAGAAAACAAAATTAATTGAATGAAGTACTACTGAATTTCAGGTATTTCTGTGACAACACAAATTTAAAATTTAATAAAATATTACCTTTTCTTAGCAAAAAGTTTCTTAAGTCAGATTATCCTTTCATGTTTTAAATGAAGCTTCTTCTAAAGAAGTCCTTTTATTCACAGTTGCAAATTTCTTTTTAACACATACAATGTATACTACATGCTGGAATCAAACACCTGAAGGAGCTGGAATCTTATGAATACAGCCAGGGCAACAGTGTAGAGAATCATGAACAAAAACATCACAGTCCACACAGAAAACATTTTGGCACACAGCACAAACATAAACCTGTAGTGAAAAGAAGAAAAGTGATAAACTAGTTTCCAAAAGTTAATTACAGCACAGCTAGATGACATTCAAGGTGTGCTTTGCTCTTTTATATCTCTACCAATTTTTTCCCACTACCTACTTTATTACTTCCAATGTACTCTATATTCTCAAATCTAAGGCAATTAATTTTTTCCCCAAAACTATCCCTTAGAAATGAGGGAATGGTTTTGTTTTTGAGTCTTTAAAGTCTATTCTATTACAGTTCGCTCTCAATTATTTCATTCTAAGGTTTAGGAAAGACATATGAGCTTCAAACCAGCGCTACTTTTGAATGCTTAGCAAGACCACCTGATTGATTCAATTAAAAAGAGAAGCATAAAAATTTAACATCGATTTAATTATTCTTAGGGAATGACCTCACAATTGCAAACATATTTCCCTTTCAAGTAAACCTTTAAAAAAATATGTCAAATGACACAGATAAGACAAGCAGAAAGGAAAAAACTACATTTGTTCTTTCAGCATTACATATATGAGTACTTGCTCCTTGGGATAAAATTTCCAGGGCAGCTTCATACACAGATTCAAAAATCACTAAATCTCAGAAGTATTTGGCTTTGAATAAAAAAAAAAAGAAAGAATGAATAAATAAATTTCAAACAACACAGACAATGACCTATTCTTAAAAACTCAAATGAGGCCGGGTGTAGTGACTCACGCCTGTAATCCCAGCACTTTGGGAGGCCAAGGCGGGTGGATTGCTTGAGCCCAGGAGTTCAAGACCAGCTGGTCAACATGGTGAAACCCAGTCTCTACTAAAAATACAAAAATTGGCTGGGCATGGTGGTGCACGCCTATAATCCCAGCTGCTTGGGAGGCTAGGCATGAGAATCACTTGAACTTGGGAGGCAGAGGTTGCAGTGAGCCAAGATTGCATCACTGCACTACAACCTGGGTGACAGAGCAAGAGTCTGTCTCAGAAAATAAAACCAAAAAACTGTCAAATGATTCAAAAAGTGGTTCCAGTTAAGAGTAAACTACTGATGTCAAAGAGGTATATAAAATTTAATAAAATTACTTTATAAATTGTGACAGTGGAAGAGCAATACTTCTAATTATTATTTTATATAATATATATAGTTTTAAATATGAACATGTAACTAAATTAAAAATTAAAGCTAGACAGTGATCCATATTATTTACATCTATACAAATTTATTTATTAAAGTTGGCCCTCTTCAAAATTTAAAAAAGTATTTTCTCATTGGCATAATGGAAGAATCACCTATTATCTGTGGCCACCTTAAACAATTTCAATGTGTTATCACACAGCTTAAAGTATAATATGAAGAAAATATTTTAAATACTTTCAGACTAAATGCAGTTTAGCTTGAAAGCTAAAGACAAATTACATGTTTTACAAGGGTGTACCAAAGTAGACAAAACAATCAAAGAATTTAAAAAAAGAGGAAAAAAATTAAAAAATTTTTAATAAAAAGTTTTAAAAAGATGAATTACAAAATACTTTATAGCAAAAATTAGAATGCAGAATAACAAAACTACTATTTAAACTATTTTGTTCCTATTTTACCTTCACCTATTGTCATTATCTTTACAAGAAATAAACTGATATGAGCCTGGTCTTTAACAACCTGTTGAAAACTTATAGTACCATTGATTTCAATATTTCTTGTACATTACTTAATATTTAGAAAGCCAAAGAACTTACATGTTGGTCTTTCAATTCCCCCTGACATCCATAACAAAATCTGAAAAAAAAGTTTAACAATGTTTTTTCTTAGAATTTACTCATTAAAATAGTTCAACAAAATCTCACTAACTAGAATCCTTTAATTAATATGTACTTGTCTTTACACATGACTTTCAGGAAAAAGAGTTAAGAATACCAATAGGCCAGGCACAGTGGCTCACGCCTATAATCCCAGCACTTTGGGAGGCCGAGGCAGGTGGATCACCTCAGGTCAGGAGTTCGTGACCAGCCTGGCCAACATGGCGAAACCCCGTCTCTACTAAAAATACAAAAATTAGCTGGGCGTGATGGCAGGCGCCTATAATCCCAGCTACTCAGGAGGCTGACGCAGGAGAATCGCTTGAACCCAGGACACGGAGGTTGCAGTGAGCCGAGATGGTGTCATTGCACTCCACACTGAGCAACGGGAGCAAAACTCTGACTCACAAAAAAAAAAAAAAAAAAAGAATAGCAATAATTTAAAAAAAAATTCCACAGTATATACAAGGTCATCTGACAGCCCAAAATTTAGTTTTTATTTTCATTAAGGTTAACTGTGAGCATGCTTTATTTTTCTTTGTTTTCGAGTCAGGGTCTTGCTTTGTCTCAAAGGCTGGAGTGCTGAGGTGCTATCACAGCTCACTGCAGCCTCAACCTCCTGGGCTCAAGTGATCCTCCTGCCTCAGCCTCCTGAGTAGCTGGGACTACAGGCATGTATCTCCATGCCTGGCTAATTTTTTATTGAGGCAGGGTCTCACTATATTGCCCAGGCTGGTCTCGAATGCCTGGGCTCAAGCAATCCTCCTATCTTGGCTTCCCAAAGTGTTAGGATTACAGGCATGAGCCACCATGCCCAGCCAGAAGCACTTTCTAACGTTTGTTTGATAGTCACTTATTCTAATAAGTGCTACTTTGTGATTCTTCACAGTTATTGGCTATAAATCTCCAACTATGAAAGAAGAGAATTTAATTATCTTTCAATCATCTTGAACCCAGTAATGCATAAATATTTAACTAGTGTCATTCTCAATTCTTTCTACATAGTGAAGTCTTCCTTTTGGATAGAACAATAATCAATGTTTAGTTTACTATGCCTATAAAAATATTCTCAGCTAAGCCATAAGTTTTCCCCTATTTAAAACATTTTTTTTTTCCTGGAAATACTGTGTTGCTATTCCCAAGGTTAGTTTCCTATATAATTGACACTAATTCAGGCCCAATCTTCTCCGGAATAGTCTAACTGTCCTCTCGATATGTTCAAATACATCAGGAGTTCTGCAGTTTTCATCCCCTTGGTGATCTCTCTCCTGGAGCATCCTGACTGTCTCCAAACTGGACGGTTCCCCATATGTGACACACAGGTATCATTCTGGAATTTCTCCTTACCATCATCCTAGGCCGTTCTTCAGCCTGTTTTGAATTAGATACATATTACTAGATCCCATGTCATTCTCCTTCTCAGTTCCTTTGAATCACCTACCTCTTCCAGACCTTCCCCAGAAAAATCTCTTTTTGAGACCTTACAAGTCTGAAAATGTCTTTATTCTACCTACACTTAACTGACAGTTTGGCTGGGTATCTAAGTTGGTAACAATTTTCACCACAAACTTTGAAGGTGACTGCTCCCTCTCTGCATCCGGTGTTGCTAATGAGAAGCCAAACAATTTTAATTCCAGATCCTTTGTGTGTGACCTAGTTTTTCCTCTCTGGAAATGTTTAGGGTTAATGGTTTATTGTGTATTCTGAAATTTCACAATTATGGGGTCTGCCTTCCTTCAATACGTTAGGCACTTGGCAGTCCCTTTCTTTTATCTTCGTTGCAGAGATGAGGTCTTGCTGTGTGACCCAGGCTGGCCTGGAACTCCTGGCCTCAAGTGATCCCCCAGTCTCAGCCTCCCAAAGTGCAAGGATTAGAGCTATGAGCCACCCTTCCCAGCCAACAGGCCCTTTCAATCTAGAAAGTTCTGTCCTTCAATATAAAATTTCTTTGAACTATGTCTTTGATGATTTTCTATCCTACTTTTTTTCTTTTTTTCTCGTATCATTCTCATATTGGACCTTCTGGATAATTCCACCAGTGAATATTCTTATCTTTACTCTCCTATTTGAACCTCTTTATTTTACTCCTTTTATTGTACTTTCTGGAATATTTCTTCAACTCTATCTTCTATAGTACTGGGTTTTTCATTTTTACTACATTTAACCTCAACCATAAGCAAATAAATACCAAGCTAAAACAATGAGACTTTTTTCTTTTTCTTTTGCCTGTGAGTTTTGGCCAATATAAAAAAGTTTCATAATACCTAATGTTGGCTAAATGTGGGAAAACAATAAATGAAACTTCTTTGAAGAACAACTTTACAATATCTATCAAAATTCACAAAACATGTAAAACTCTTGACTCAGTAATTTTACCTCTAGGAATTTACCATGCATTTATACTTGTACAAATGTTCAAAAATATAGATATAAGCATTATTTGTTAATAGCAAAAAAAGAAAATCTTAAATATCCAACAGGAAGCAATTGATTATATAAACCATAATTATACCTGAAATATGCAACAATTTCAAAAACAACATTGATCTAGATATGGTGATATTGAATGACTTCTAAATGACTTAAGTGTGAAAAGCAAGATGGATACATAATTGTTTTTGGCTAGCCAGTAAGTGTTTAATGTGATTCCTAAATCCTGGATGTTCTTTTTTTTTTTGATGGAGTTTCGCTCTTGTCGCCCAGCTGGAGTGCAATGGTGTGATCTTGGCTCACTGCAACCTCCACCTCCCAGGTTCAAGGGATTCTCCTGCCTCAGCCTCCTGAGTAGCTGGGGATTACAGGCACCTCCCACCACACCCGGCTAATTTTTATATTGTTAGTAGAGACGGTGTTTCACCATGTTGACCAGGCTGGTCTCGAACTGCTGACCTCAGGTGACCCACCTGCCTCGGTCTCCCAAAGTGCTGGGATTACAGGCGTCAGCCACCGTGCCAGCCGATCCTAGATGTTCTTAAAAGTAGTAAATCTTTATTTTCTGAAAACTATTCTCTAAAGGATTGACTACCTCTATTTCAGACCTTATTTGTTGTATTTCACACAAATAGCATTCGTAAAAATACTTAAAGATTTTAGATAAATTATGTTATGCCAGATTTTTTTTTTTTTGAGACGAAGTTTCGCTCTTGTTACCCAGGCTGGAGTGCAGTGGTGCGATCTTGGCTCACCGCAACCTCTGCCTCTCGAGTTCAAGCGATTCTCCTGCCTCAGCCTCCCGAGTAGCTGGGATTACAGGTATGCACCACCATACTAGGCTAATTTTGTATTTTTAGTAGAGATGGGGTTTCTCCATGTCATTCAGGCTGGTGTTGAACTCCTGACCTCAGGTGATCTGCCTGCCTTGGCCTCCAAAAGTGCTGGGATTACAGGTATGAGCCACCATGTCCAGCTTTTTTTTTCTTTTTTAAGAGACAGTGTCTCACTATGTTGCCCCAGCTAGTCTTCAACTCCTGGCCTCAAGTGATCCTCCCACCTCAGCCTCCCAAAGTGCTGAATGAGCCTCTTATTTTCAGTAGTGTGCTAGGACTGGATTGTACTGGATCAAAAGGATATATTGTTAAATATGTATTCAAGAAAGCTGGTTGTTAATTGTAGCTAAAAATTGGCCATGGTGGGAGTATTCAAACCATGGAAATCAGCAAATACTACCAATCAGGGCTTTTTTTCTTTTCCTTCTGGAAAACTGATTTAGTAGTACAATCATCACCCCTATTTATACATAGGTGGGTTTAGTGAAATTATTTGGTTTCTGGAGATTCAGATCTATTTAGCAACGAGTCATTTCAATCATAACTATGGCATTCTTTATCTCATCTTCCATATTAGAAGTACTCTTGTCCAAGTTAATCAGATTATTTTTTAAGGTAGTAACAATCTATTCAAACATTAGCTTACCACTTATAACAGATATAAATTAGTCCAAACTGAAATACCTTTCTCCATTATATTCTTCTAGGGGAATTTCTTGAAAAGCATCCAAAGGAAACAAATGATGGTAAGACCGTGCCAAGTGGGGAGCAGACACCAAAGTAAGACCTAACACATTAAGCAGAGAGACATGTTGAGTAGTCCAAACCTCATGAAGACAACGGCTGAAAAGCCAAAAGATGTAACTTCAGCAGAATATGTTCAGTTTCTTTTAGGATGGCAGTTATTAATTTTACCTGTGGCTATAACAGAAGATTGTAGGATGGAGTCTTAGTTCTGTCACTAAGTGTGTAACCAACCTGTCTCGGTCTATTTGCTTACTTATATTATAAATGAAATAAAATTCGACAATTCTATTAGTTTAATTCTTCATTCTTATATATATTTACTTTATAAAGGTAAGAGATGGAAAAATGTCTACTACATCTACTGCACTGCCTTTAAAGAATATACTTTTTTCAGAAAGAGGATCAGGAAACTAGAATGCTACATTTATACGTGGAAGTGGAGTACTGGGCACTCAATTTAAAAAGTAATCTATTTTTCTTTGCACAGATTAAATCCAGAAACATAGGAATAACTTAACATTTACATTAATTTTAGCAGCAATACAGATTAAGAAGTCATTCAAGATTTACTGAATAATGAATAGTTGTTTTCTTACCACAGATTTTACATTCAACAGGTAGCTCACAGTACTTTGCCCGACACTGTGGGCAGAAATAGCCTCCTAATGTAAGCCCTGGCTCAGTATTGCCATCCAAATGCCTGTAGGGGGAAAAAGGGTAATATATAATGATCTGAAAAGTTAGAGCGGGAAAGCATGCTATCTTGACCTTAAAATCTTGACACTATTTAAAAATCTATTTAAAAGTCTGTATTTTTGGCCGGGCGCAGAGGCTCACACCTGTAATCCCAGCACTTTGGGAGGCCAAGGCGGGTGGATCACCTGAGGTCAGGAGTTCAAGACCAGCCTGGCCAACACGGTGAAGCCCCATCTCTACTAAAAAATACAAAAATTAGCCAGGCGCCTGTAATCCCAGCTACTTGGGAGGCTGAAGTAGAATTGCTTGAACCCAGGAGGCAGAGGTTGCAGTGAGCTGAGATTGCACCACTGCACTCCAGCCCGGGTGCCAAGAGTGAAACTCCATCTCAAAAAAAAAACAAAAGAAGTCTATATTTAAAAAAAAATTTATAACTTATATAGAGATGGGGGTCTCTCACTATATTGCTGGTCTTGAATTCCTAGCCTCAAGTGATCCACCTGCCTTAGCTTCCCAAAGTGCTGGGATTATAGGTGTGAGCCACCATGCCTGGTCTAAAAGTCTATTTTAAAATCTGTGAGTATGTCTTATAACTAAATTATGCTACATTCATTTTTTTCCCCCTCTTCATTTTTTTTTTTTTTTTTGAGACGGCTTCTCACTCTGTTGCCCAAGCTGGAGTGCAGTGGCACAATCTCAACTCACTACAATCTCCGCCTCCCAGGTTCAAGCAATTCTCGTGCCTTGGCTTCCTGAGTAGCTGGGATTACAGGCACGTGCTACCACACCCAGCTAATTTTTGTATTTTTAGTAGAGATGGGGTTTCATCATGTTGGCCAGGCTGGTCTCAAACTCCTGGTCTCAAGTGATCTGCCTGCCTCGGCCTCCCAAAGTGCTGGGATTACAGATGTGAGCCACTACACCCAGCCCTTCTCTTCATTTTTAAAGTCTCTATTACTATCTTTGAATTCACTAATTTTTTCTTCTGCAGTGTCTAATCTGCTGTTAATCCCAGCCAATATATTTTTCATCTAAAACACTGTATTCTTCATCACTAGAAGTTTGATTTGGGTCTTTTTTATACCTTCCATATCTCTTCTTACCATTCTCATGTTCTCTAACATCCTGAACATACAGAGTACATTTATAATTGTTGTCCTAACATCTTTGTCTACTAATTCTTTTTTTTCTTTTTTGATAAGAGTCTCGCTCTGTCACCCAGGCTGTAGTGAAATGGCACGATCTCAGCTCGCTGCAACCTTTACCTCCTGGGTTCAAGTCATTCTTGTACCTCAGCCTCCCAAGTAGCTGGGATTACAGGCGTGTGCCACCAGGCCTGGCTAATTTTTGTGTTTTTAGTAGAGATGGGTTTCGCCATGTTGGCTGTGCTGATCTCGAACTCCTGGGCTCAAGTGATCTGCCCACCTGAGCCTCCCAAAGTGCTAGCATTACAGGCAGGAGCTACCGCACCCAACCCTTTGTCTATTAATTCTACCAACTGGGTTATTTCTGGGTATGTTTCCATTCTGTGATTTTTCTCCATTTTATGGGTCATATTTTCCTTTGCATCCCTGGTAATTTCTGCCAGGGACTATGAATTTTGCTTTGCCAGACATTGTGAATTTTGCTTTGTTTTGGGTGCTGGATTTTTTCTTTTTTTTTTTTTTTTGTATTCCCTCAAATATTTAAGGGTTTGTTCTGAAATATACTTCATTAACTTGGAAATAGTTTAATCTCTTCAAAATTTGCTTTTAAACTTTGTTAGGCTGGTCTAGAACAGCTGTTAGTCTAGATTTTTCTTTTCTTTTCTTTTTGCCTCTGGTTCCAGTTCTTGTGATAGAATTAATTTGATCCCATTACTGTGGACTCTATTCAATGCCTGTCATGTTAAGAGGTATTTCCATACAGACTGGTGAGAACATGAATGTTCTCTGTGTGAGCTCTGGAAACTGTTCTGTCTGCTGCTTTCCAGTGATTTTTTCCCTGACTTCCAGTAGTCTCCTCACACAAAAGGGCTGATCAACGCTCAGCTGCTGACTCATGAGCAAGTCTATGCAGCTCCCCAGAGAGTTCTCTCTGTGCAGATCTTTCCTCTCCAGTACTCTGACCTGCAAAATTATCGCCATCTCAGCCTCCTTGAAAGATGAACTTTGTTTCTTCAACTCAACAACATCTCCAGCCTCTGTGTGCAGCCTGGAAATTCCATCCAGGCAGTAAGGTGGAGTGCTCTTAGGGCCCATCTCATTTGTTTCCTTTCTTTCAGGGATCATTATCAGCAAGGCTTGCTGTCCAACGTCTGAAAACCACTGTTTTATATATTTTGTCTGCTTTTTTTGACAGGAGGGTAAATCTAGTCCCTGTTACAGCTTTTTGGCTGGAGGCAGAAATCTTGTTTGTGATTTTTAAGAATTACTCTCTTAAATTTAATTTTGTTTTATAATTATGTAAAATACAAAGCTCTGAAGTTAAAACAAGGTACAGTAATATTCTATATAACATTTTGGTCAGTGATGAACCACATATATGACAGTGGTCCCATAAAATAATACATTTTAGTTGTACCTTTTCTGTGTTTAGTTAAACAAACACTAGGTGTTACATTACAACTGCCTACATTATTCAGTACACAATATGCTGTACAGGTGTGCAGCCTAGGAGCAATAGGCTATACTATATAACTGCGATGTTAGTAGGCTACACTATCTAGGTTTGTGTAAGTGCACTCTGTGATGTTTGCACAATGATGGTATCACCTAATGACACATTTCTCGGAATGTATCCCTATCATTAAGTGATGCATTCAGAAAAGTCTAGGGTCTAACCCTTTGCTTTTCCCTACACACTCACTGAGGTAAACATTAAAAAAAAAAATTTCCCCCTCCACCCCTTTTAAGTTTTTATTATTTCCATACTATTGTTTTTATTATTAACATAAACAAGTATATACATCCACTTACATCTCTACTTTCTTCTTAGGTGATTAGCAGCATACTACAAAATTCTCTCAAACTACTGTTTTACTTAGTAATTTATCCTGAAGATCACTCCATACAAGTATATAGAGATAGTCTTCATTGCCTATCTTTTGAATTTATAACTTAAAAGAAGGAATTAAAAATGTAAAAACATTATCACTGATATTTTCAAGGTCTTTACTTACGCCATGCTGAAAGAGGGTTTTGCATCCTGGTCAGATAAAGAAGCAATGGTGTGCTGAGGAAATCCTTCATAGAAGAAAATGTATTACTTTCTTTTTCCAAGCAAACAGCAGAATTCTAGGACTAAGAACCTAAAAATGTTCTTCTCAAAAAGCCAATGAAGTTGTACAAAATATCACTTTACTGCCTTTCAGATAAGCTTATTATAGCATGATGAAACTGACTAATTCCAAGCTACAAGAAAAAGTAGAGGAAACGGGGGAAAGACCTGTCTATATATGACCTCAGATTCTGAAGTTCATATATATATTTTTCTTTTTTTTTTTTCTTGAGATGGAGTCTTGTTCTGTCACCCAGGCTGGGGTGCAGTGGCATGATCTTGGCTCACTGCATCCTCCACTGCCTGGGTTCAAGCGATTCTCCCACCTCACCTTCCCATGTAGCTGGGATTACAGGCATCCGCCACCATGCCCAGCTATATATTTTCTAACTTAATGATTAACACTACTTTTTAAAGAGGTTGTAATTTTTACATCATTTCTGATAAAACTGAAGATATCATAGTACACCATTTTATCTACGTTTATGCTTTTATGTTTAAAATTTTGAAATGCTCAAATCTTTCATGTAATTTGTTTTCCATATACAATTTTAAATTCTGAAAACATGTTCAGGAAAAGCAGAAACCATTTTAAAAAAGATATATTACATAAAAAATGTAAATGTATCTACATATCAAAACAAATAAATAAAAGTAAAGGCAAATAACCAACAAGAAAAATATTTGCATCGGGTGACTGAGAAGGGTTAACATTCCTAAAGGACTCTAATAAATAAATTATAAATTTAAATAACTTTAAAATGAAATAAGAAAATATATCAGTAAATCAAAAAGATTAGCCAAACATAAGATCTAAAATGTATTGAATGTTTACATCAAGCATTATTCTAAACGCATCATCTGTATTAACTCAATCCTTGAAACACACAATAAGGTTGATAGTTACTGACATCATTAAACACATGAGAAGACCGTGGAAAAGAGAGGTCGACTGGTAATATAAAAGGCCAAAAGTAGAAAAGCATTTTATTTCATTAACATTTAAAAACATACATATTAAATAAGGAGATTATTTTTCTATTAAAAGTTATACTTTTTTCAATATAAATGTAATAAATTTTCATTGTAACATTTTTGTAAAATAGAAGAAAATAACATTTTAAAAAAGTGATCCAAGGCCGGGCACAGTGGCTCAAGCCTGTAATCCCAGCACTCTGGGAGGCCGAGGCGGGCGGATCATGAGGTCAGAAGTTCAAGACAAGCCTGGCCAACATGGTGAAACCCCGTCTCTACTAAAAATACAAAAATTAGCTGGGCATGGTGGTGCCCGCCTGTAATCCCAGCTACTCGGGAGGCTGAGGCAGGAGAATTGCTTGAACCTGGGAAGCGGAGGTTGCAGTGTGAGCTGAGATCGCACCACTGCACTTCCAGCCTAGGAAATAGAATGAGACTCCATCTCAAAAAAAAAAAAGAAAAAAAAAAGTGATCCAAAACCAATAATTTCCCCTCCTTTGAGCAATTTGGTGTACTTCCCTGCAAGCTTTGTCTTTGCACAGTTTGCATTACACAGCTTTGATCATCCAGTACAGAGAATTTTGTAGCTTATTTTATTTTTATTTTATTTTATTTTTTTGAGACAGAGTCTTGCTCTGTCACCCAGACTGGAGTGCAGTGGCGCAATCTCAGCTCATGGCAACCTCCGCTTCCTGAGTTCAGGCAATTCTCCTGTCTCAACCTCCTGAGTAGCTGGGATTACAGATGTCTGCCACCATGCCCAGCCATTTTTTGGTAATTTTTAGTAGAGACAGGGTTTCGCCATGTTGGCTAGGGTGGTCTCAAACTCCTGACCTCAGGTGATCCGCTAGCCTCGGCCTCCCAAAGTGCTAGGATTACAGGCATGAGCCACCACGCCCGGACTTTGTAGCTTATTTTAAAAAATTTTTAATATAAGTGTTTTTCTTTTGTTTTCTTTTTTGAGACAGAGTCTCGCTCTGTCGCCCAGGCTAGAGTGCAGTGGTGTGATCTTGGCTCATTGCCAGCTCTGCCTCCCGGGTTCATGCCATTCTCCTGCCTCAGCCTCCCGAGGAGCTGGGATTACAGGCGCCCGCCACCACGCCTGGCTAATTTTTTGTATTTTTAGTAGAGATGGGGTTTCACCGTGTTAGCCAGGATGGTCTCGATCTCCTGACCTCAAGATCCGCCCACCTCGGCCTCCCAAAGTGCTGGGATTACAGGCGTGAGCCACCGAGCCCGGCTTAATATAAGTATTTTTCTATAAACACAGTTTATACCTTTCTAGCCTTAAAAATAAAGAAAGCCAACAGTATTTTCTGGGTGACAGGACTACTGGTAGTTTTAATTTTTTTTTTCCACTTCTCTGTACTTTCCAAAATTGCTTCAACAAGCATATTTTTTCTTTAAAAATTCTTAAATATTAAAATAACTTGTGCAAATGAAAATAGAGAGCCTAGATATGTATTTTTTAAAAACATAAAAACACTTACCCATACGAATAAGTGAGCATTCAGAACTTGAGCTAGCAGGAGGAGGACTAACATGATGTGTGAGCAACTCTTTGTAATGGCTTTCATCTAAAATAACATGGTACGTGCCTAACAAGATGAAAAGGGAAAAAAAAACACCTTCATAGACATAACGAACTGTACGTTCTACGTAATTCTGTAAAAGTTGTATCATCTGAAAATGTACATTTTTAAAATAATGATTTTAGCTAAATTATCACTTTTAAAACCTTATTTAAGTAATATATCTAAATCAACTTCTCTAGGAATAACTATAATTACAATTGATTATTATTACTACTATTATTATTTTAACATATAAATAGAGACAGGTCTCACTATGTTAACCAGACTGATCTCAAACTTCTGGCCTCAAGTGATTCTCCTGCCTTGGCCTACCAAAATGTTGAGATTACAGGCATGAGCTATCATGCCTGGCCTGTAATTACAATTTAATTAAAGACAAGTTATAAAATCTTTATAAAGAATTACATACAGTAAAATTTCCAGCTTTCCAAGAGTTATAATACCTCCTCTAAATACTGACATAAGTACTGAAAACTCTTTGCATTTGGAGATGATTTCTTATGGAATCAATGATATATTTAAGATGACTGCCCATATTTTAGACTACTTTAAGTTTAGTAGCTCAGAACAGATTAAAACATCCTAATTTAATTAATAAATTATTTCCTACACAGTAATTATAAGCAAATATTAAATAAATTATATATATACCACCAGTTTCACGAGCAAGTACAGTGCAAACGCGAACTTCTGCAGACAATCCAATAACAGATACTCTAATTTTAGCTGCCTTTAGGGTCTTCATAAAATCCAAGTAGATAGATAGTTTTAGGAAAGAAGAAAAACATTTAAGATTTAATGTATTTGAAAAATAAAGAATGCTCTGAAAACTAGTAATAAATTCAATACATCTACCACAAAGATGAATCACACATACAAAAATACATATATATATAAATCAATTTGCTACAGAATTCTCTTTACAGTTATAACTTTGGTTTTGATTTTTTGGTCTACCTTGATTAGATCATAAATATTAGATGGATCGCAAGTTGTAAGGCTGCTAAAGATGATTAGTACTTCTCGACTTGTATGTCCAGGCATGTGTCTTAAAAGAAAGATAAAATACACTCCAATTAGGTACAACAAATTATACTACCAAAAAATTTACCCAGAAAGAACAGTAAACATAGGATTACACATTTAGACTATAGAATATCTCATTTGTTTCAACAATGCAAAGAAAGGTTGTGAGTATATTTTAAACACTTTAATGCAAATTTTTCTAAAATGAGCTATGCACTTCAAAAAATTGTTAATTGATTCATTTAATATTTACCAAGTACTCTCAAGTTCTGGGGGTAGAGTGATAAACAAGACTGACAATGTTCCCGACATCATTAAGCTTACATTCTAGTAGGTTTGTTTCATACAAAGTCTAGAGTATACAATAAAAAATACAACAATATATGGATAAACTTTAAACTAAAATGTGGCAATATCATATGGATCAGCTTTAAAGTGCAGAGATGTGGCTTCAAAACAGTAACACACACTTCTTTCTCAAAGACTATAGTAGTCCCCTCTTATCTGCAGAGGATACATTCCAAGACCCCCAGTGGATACCTGAAATCAAGGATAGTACTGAACCCTATATATACAGTCGTTCTTCGGTATCCTTGGGGGATTGATTTCAGGCCCTCCTATGGATACCAAAATCTGCAGATGTTCAAGTCCCAGATACAAAAGGGCGTAGTATTTGCATATAACCTATGTACATCCTCCCATATATTTTAAGTCATCTCTAGATTATTGATAATACCTAATACAATGTATACTATGTAAGTAATTGTTATCCTCTATTATTTAGGGGATAATGGCAAGAAAAAATGTCTATTTGTTCAGTACAGGTACAATTTTTTTCCAAAAATTTTTGATGCGTGGTTGATCGAATTCACAGAAGCAGAACCCAGGATTCAGAGGGCTGATTATACCATGTTTTTCCCTATACAGGCATACCTTGGAGATACTGCAGGGTTGGATTCCAGACCGCAGCAATAAAGCAAATATCACAATAAATATTTGCAATAAAGCAAGTCACATGAACTTTCAGGTTTCCTAGTGTATATAAAAGTTCTGTTTACGGCCAGGGATGGTGACTCACGCCTGTATTCCCAGCACTTTGGGAGGCTGAAGCGGGCACATCACGAGGTCAGGAGATCGAGACCATCCTGGCTAACACGGTGAAACCCCGTCTCTACTAAAAATACAAAAAAATGAGCCGGACGTGGTGGCAGGAGAATGGTGTGAACCCAGGAGGCGGAGCTTACAGTGAGCCAAGATTGCGCCACTGCACTCCAGCCTGGGCGACAGAGCGAGACTCCGTCTCAAAAAAAAAAAAAAGAAAGAAAAAGAAAAGTTCTGTTTACACTATACTGTAGTCTAGTAAGTGTGCAACAGCATTATATCTAAAAAAAAAAGTACACACCTTTATGAAAAATACTTTATTGCTAAAAATCGACTGAACTGTCAGTGAATAATATCTTTTTGTTGAAGGAGAGTCTTGCCTTGATATTGATGGCTGCTGACTGATCAGAGTGGTGCTTTCTGAAGGGTGAGGTGGCTATGGCAATTTCTTAAAATAAGACAAAGTAGTTTGTTACATGGGTCAACTCTTCCTTTCATGAAAGGAATGCAAATGCTGTTTGGTAGCATTTTATTCATAGTAGTACCTCTTTCAAAATGGGAGTCATTCCTTTGAAACCCCACTGATGCTTTACCAACTAAGTTTATGGGCTATTCTTTTTTTGTTTTGAGACTGATTCTTGCTCTGACACCCAGGCTGGAGTGCAGTGGTGCGATCTCGGCTCACTGCAACCTCTGCCTCCTGGGTTCAAGCAATTCTCCTGCCTTAGCCTCCCCAGTAGCTGGGATTACAGGCATGCACCACCATGCCCAGATAATTTTTGTATTTTTAGTGAGGACGGGGTTTCACCATGTTGGCCAGACTAGTCTTGAACTCCTGACCTCAAGTGATCCACCCGCCTCGGCCTCCCAATGTGCTGGGATTACAGGCATGAGCCACCATGCCCAGCCAGTGTAGATATTTTGACCTCTTTCTATGAATGGCATTTAGAATGGTGAATTCTTTCCAGAAGGTTTTCAATGTACTTTGCTCAGATCCATCTATGGCAGTCACAGCCTTATGATATGTATTTCTTAAATAATCAAGACGTGAAAGTTCAAAGTATTCCTTTATCCAAGGGTTGCAGAATGAGTGCTATGTTAGTAGATATGAAAATAACATTAATCTTCTTGTACATCTCAATTAGAGCTCTTGGGTGACTGGGTGCATTGTCAATGAGCAATAATATTTTGAAATAAATCTTTTTTCTGAGATATATCTCAACAATGGGCTTAAAATATTCAGTAAGCCCATGCTGTAAACAGATGTGCTGTTATCTGGGCTTTGTTATTCCATTTGCAGAGCACAGACTGAATAGATTTAGAATAATTCTTAAGGACTCTAGGATTTTCAGAATGGTAACAAACATTGGTGCCAACATCAAGTCACCAGCTGTATTAGCCCCTAACAAGAGAAGAAGCCTATCCCATGAAGCTCTGAAACCAGGCATTCACTTCTTCTAGCTATGAAAATCCTAGATGGCATCTTCTTCCAACAGAAGGCTGTTTCATTTACATTGAAAATATGAGGCCAGGTGCAGTGGCTCATGCTTGTAATCCCAGCACTTTGGGAGGCAGAGGCGGAGGACTGCTTGAGCCCAGGAGTTCAAGACCAGCTGGGCAATGTGGCGAAACCCTACCTCTACAACAACAACAACAACAAAAATTAGCTGGGTGTGGTGGCACATGCCTGTAGTCCCTGCTACTTGTGGGGCTGGGAGAATAGCTTGAGCCTGGGAGTTTGAGGCTGCAGTGATCCATGATTGCACCACTGCACTCTAACCTGGGTGACAGAGCGAGACTCTCTCTCAAAAACAAAAAAGAAAAAGAAAATTTGATATTTAGTGTAGTCACCTTCATCAATTATTTTAGCTAGATCTTCTGGATAACTTGCTGCAGCTTCTACATCAGCACTTGCTGCTTCCTCTTGCACTTTTTTTTTCTTTATTTTGAGACGGAGTCTCACAGTGTTGTCTGGGCTAAAGTGCAATGGCGCGATCTCGGCTCACTGCAACCTCTGCCTCCTGGGTTCATGCGATTCTCCTGCCTCAGCCTCCCGAGTAGCTGGGATTATAGGCGCACACCACCACACCTGGCTAATTTTTTGTATTTTTAGTAGAGACAGGGTTTCACTATGTTGGCCAGACTGGTCTTGAACTCCTGACCTCATGATCTGCCCACCTTGGCCTCCCAAAGTGCTGGGATGACAGGCGTGAGCCACCGCGCCCAGCCCCTCTTACACTTTTATGTTTTGGAGATGGCTTCTTTCATTAACCTCATGAGCTCAGCTCTGTTAGCTTCAAACTTTTCTTCTGCAGCTTCCTCACTGCTCTCAGCCTTCATAGAATTGAAGAGAATTAGAGCCTTGCTTTGGATTAGGATTTGACTTAATGGACTGTTGTGGCTACTTTAATCTTCTATCTAGACCATTAAAACTTTGTCTGTATCAGCAATAAAGCTGTTTCACTTTCTTATCATTCATGTGTCCACTGAAGCAGCACTTTGAATTTCCATTATTTTTTTCTTATTTTGAGACAGGATCTTGCTCTATCATACAAGCTGGAGTACAGTAGCACAATCGTAGCTCACTGCAGCCTCAAACTACTGGGCTCAATCCTCCTGCCTCAGCCTCCTGAGAAGTTAGGGACTACATACA
Source organism: Homo sapiens (assembly GCF_000001405.40). Lineage (NCBI taxonomy): Eukaryota > Metazoa > Chordata > Mammalia > Primates > Hominidae > Homo > Homo sapiens. The sequence continues at coordinate 601,271 of NT_187651.1, forward strand.
GGTGCTCGCCACTGTGCCTGGCTAATTGTTTTTTTTTTTTTTTTTTTTTTTTTTTGTAGAGGTGGAGGTCTTGCTATGTTACCAGGACTGGTCTCAAACTCATGGCCTCAGGTGATCCTCCCATCTTAGCCTCCCAAAGTGTTGCAGTTACAGGTAAGAGCCACCACGCACAGCCCAGCACTTTCAATTTCCTTCAAGAACTTTACCTTTGCATTCACAATGTGACTAAGTGTTTAGCACAAGAGACCTAGCCTTCAGCCAGTCTTGCATTTTGACATGCCTTCCTCACTAAGCTCAATCATTTCTAGCTTTTGATTTAAAGTGAGACATGCGACTCCTCCTTACTCTTGAACACTCAGAGGCCACTGGAGGGTTATTATTGGTGTAATTTGAATATTTTTGTGTCTTAGGAGATGGGGGGGCCGAACAGAGGGAGAGAGACTGGAAAACAGCCAGTTGGTGGAGCACTCAGAACACACGTAACACTTATCAATTAAGTCTGTTGTCTTATATGGGCGCAGTTTGTGGTGCCCTAAAATAATTACAATAGTAACATCAAAGATCACTGATCACAGATCACCATAACAGATATAACAATAATTTACAAAGCTTGAAATATTGCAAGAACTACCAAAGTGTGATATAGAGGCAAGAAGTGAGCACATGCTGTTAAAAAAAAATGGCACCAACAGACTTGCTCAACAGAGTTGCCATAAACTGTCAGTTTGTAAAAAAAAAAGTTATCTGAAAAGTGCAATAAAAGTGCAACAAAATGAGGTGTGCCTTACATACACACCTATGATCAATAATGTATAAATTAGGCACAATAAGAGATTAACAACAATAACTAATAATGGAACATTTATAACAACATGCCGGCATCACTACTCCTGCACTTTGAGGTCATTATTAAGTAAAATAACACAAACACTGCAATAGTTTTGACAGTCAATAACAACAGTTAATCTGATGACTTAGGCCATTACATGGGTGGGCAGCATATACTGTGAGGATCTACAGGACCAAGGGATGATTCACGTCCTGGGCAGGACAGAGAGGGAAGGTGTAGGATCTCATCACGCTACCCAGAATGGCACACAACTTAAATCTTATGAATTATTTATTACTGAAGTTTTCAATTTAATATTTTCAGACCAAGAGTAACTAAAACTGGAAAGTGAAACTGCAGATAAGGGGGGATTACTATAATTTAACCTCACAGTAATTCAGAGTCATAATAATCATGAACATTAATATTGCATACCATTTAATTAAAATGATAGCTTGTAGATTTTTAAGTTGTGGTGACCAGTTTTCACCTACACTAAATAGACCTTTTTATGCTTTCTGCAGCAATTTTATCAGTTAGTTATAGCTTTCCTGCTTATATTTTCATTGTTATCTTCTCAGCTCTCACTGGTAGACCCTGCTACTGTACTTACCTCTATTACATGTGTTGCCTCCTTCTCATCCACTTCAAAACTAGAAAAATATCTATTATATAAAGGTATAAGTCTGAGCCAGGGCGGACTATCCAGAGATAAAATATATAAGCTTTAGGGAGGCTGAGGTGGGCGGATCGCTTGAGGCCAGGAGTTCAAGACCAGCCTGGCTAACATGGTGAAACCCCATCTGTACTAAAAATACAAAAATTGGCTGGGCATGGTGGCACACACCTGTAATCCCAGCACTAGGGAGGCTGAGGCACAAGAATCACTTGAACCCAGAGGTGGAGGTTGTAGTGAGCTGAGATCACGCCACTGCATGCCAGCCTGGGTGACAGAGCAAGACTCTGTCTCGAAAAAAAATATATATATACGTGTGTGTGTGTGTGTGTGTGTGTGTGTGTGTGTGTGTGTGTGTATATATAATAGATATATAAGCTTTAACTTATATATGTAAGTTTAACATATATATAAGCTTTATATATATATGTATAATAAATTATATATATAATATGTATATAAAGCTTATATATATATATAAGCTTTAACTATACCAAGTATTTCCTTTGGGGTCTTAGCTCTATTCCATATAGCTGAACTTGCCATATCTATTAATTTACAGATATATGACATTGGTGCAAAAGGAACTGTGGTTTTGGCCATTACTTTCAAAATAAATTAATAAATGTTAATAAAGGTACAACCAACTTACAATTATTATACTATATTAAATCTCATTTTAATAAAATATTTTTTCATCAACATATTTTTGTACTATTGATACTGCCGACAGTTTTAAATTATATTTTTATAAAACCTTTAACAATATCTTACTAAAATGTAAAATAAAGATTACTAACCAACACCACACTAAACATCATAAATAACACTACATAATTCTTGTACTTAACAATTTTGTTATAGCTGGGTTTATGGGCCCCATATTAACACATCACTTCAGCTTAACTCATTTAAAAAACTTCTAATTCAATTATACATAATGTATAATACTAACTTTAGAGTCTGCATAGCTATGCTTAGGGAATTATAAAGAGATGGCTCTCCATGGCAGGTCATATCCACAGCTTTCTTCAAAGACGTTATATGTTTTCTTGGGTTTCCTAAAATAGAAATAAGATCTTTAAATAAAATCCTATATATTAAAAAAGTTTATGTTTCTCTCAAAATTTACATATCTATGATGTTAAAGAACAGAATCCTTTCAATGTATATTTCTGTTGGAATTTTATCTGCAATATTTTGTAAACACTCTCACTTCATACTGAAAAACAGAATACAAATAATCTCCTTATAGACTAGCATACATATTTTAAAATAATGCTAACCTAGAGTGCATTTTTTTACTCTTAATATTTCCATATTTCATCATTTTTAAGACCAATACATTTTCACATTTAACATCTCTGAAATCAGCATGTGTTTAATAATCACTGGTAGCCAGCAGCACTTGTAACATAGTCTTTGCCTGTTCATATGTGAACCTACAAATAGGTCTTCATATGTTGTTGCTTCAATTGCATTATGTACATTGTCCTCTTCATGGTGAGTTTAACTGCCATTTAAAATGTTTTTAAGGCCAGGCGCGGTGGCTCACGCCTGTAATCCCAGCACTCTGGGAGACCACGGCAGGCAGATAACCTGAGGTCAGGAGTTTAAGACACACCTGGTCAACATGGTGTAAATCCCATCTGTAGTAAAAATGCAAAAATTAGCTGGGTATGGTGGCATACACCTGTAATCCCAGCCACTAGGGAGGCTGAGGCACAAGAATCACTTAAACCCAGAAGGTGGAGGTTGCAGTGAGCTGAGATTGCACCACTGCACTCCAGCCTGGGCAACAACAGCGAAACTCCATCTCAAAAAACAAACAATAAAATGTTTTTAGAAATGTTGTTAATACAAAAGGCTATATTTTTATGTAGAAAGGTGTGGAACACAGCAGTGAGGCATAAATTTATTATAATGAATCAAATATTGATGGAAGAATGCATGCAATTCCGTATTTTTCTTGAGGGAAGAAATCAAGAACTTTACAAGACCTAAGAAACGAATATTCCCACAAACAGACGAAGCTGTGTTATCTTACCAAATAGCATCTGAAAAGATTGTCTATCTTATGCTAAGCAATTCAAATGAAGGGGGGAGAAGCTGCCAAATCCTTTTTTTTCTTTTTAATATAATATTTTTTTATATTATTTATATTTAGATTATATATATATCTGTTGCCAGGCTGGAGTGCAATGGGGCAATTTTGGCTCAATGCAACTTCCACCTCCCAGGCTCAAACCATCCTCCCACCTCAACCTCCCAAGTAGCTGGGACTACAAGTGCCCAGCACCACACTTGGCTAAATTTTTTTGTATATTTTTGGTAGAGACAGGGTTTCACCATGTTGTCCAGGCTAGTCCTGAACTCCTGGATTCAAGCAATCCTCCCGCCTCAGCCTCTCAAAGTGCTGGGAGTACAGGTGTAAGTCACCACGCCTGGCCCCCAAATTTGAGATGTCTGTACATGTCAAATTACCAAGAAGCTAGTATAGCCAACTCATATATCATTTGATACTGTGTCAAAGTTTAACTACTAGGACTTTTCCTTCTTAATGGCTTATAAAAGTATCTTGTAATTGATGGAATCTGAGTTTCAATGAAATATAGTATTCCGTAAACATTTTCCATTTCAGCACTGTCTTCGTATCAATCAATAACCTAAGTATCATTAAATTGATTTTGTCATAAAATATAATCCATCAAAGCATACTATTAAACATTTAATTTTTAATCTGTCACTATTATACATAATGTTACAAAGAGTATCTTTGTAGAGTGATCATTCTCCTTCCATAACATTCCCTAAATATAATTTCAGGAACAATTTTTATGCTTTTCTAAAAAATATTGAACTAATTTGTAAGACTATCAGCACTATAAATAACAGTTTCTCTGTGGTTCCACAAGCAACATATTGCTTTGGAAACTTAATTTTGCTCATTTAAAATATATTAAAAAATAAAATGTTATGTAATTGGGTGGAGTTTTTTTGGATTACTAGTTTCCCTGATTTAATTTCTGGGTTTCTTCTGTGTGAATCATGTCTTCTTTGTCTATTCATCAACTTGGAGCTCCCTTGAGTTTTTACTCATCTGAGTAAGTTTTAAAATATTAACCATTTGTAATATTTAATATTTACTGCAAGTATTTTAGATTCATAAATTTTAGAGATGAAAAGTACCTCGCTAAGCAGTCCAAATCCCTCACTTCATAAGTGAGAAAATTAATCTAAACAAGTGAAATGACTTGCCCAAAGACATATGCCTGCTTAACTGCAGGACCAGCAGCACCCAAACCTAGATCTCCTGGCTCTCTATCCACTTCTCTTCCTACCCTACAAAATTATTTTTAATCTCCCACTGTGTTATGGGTATAGGAAAAAAGCATACTACAATAGTGTCAGTGTGGTTTACAGCAGTGGTCTGATTGGAGGGAAAAAAAGGTGGCTTCAAGAGGCCTGTCAGAATCTCCAGAATATTTTTCATCTTTATACATGACTTCACTAACATCCATAGAAAACTGCTGGGGCCGGGCATGGTGGCTGATGCCTGTAATCCCAACACTTTGGGAGGCTGAGGTGGGTAGATCACCTGAGGTCAGGAGTTCGAGATCAGCCTGGCCAGCATGGTGAAATCCTGTCTCTACTAAAAATAAAATTAGCCAGGTGTGGCAGCGCACACCTGTAATCCCAGCTACTCGGGAGGGGGAGGCAGGAGAATCACTTGAACCCGGGAGGCGGAGGTTGCAGTGAGCCAAGACAGCACCGCCTGGGCGACAGAGTGAGAGACTCCTTCTCAAAAAAAAAAAAAAAAAAGAAGTAATAGAAAACTGCTGGTAACTCGGGGTGGGTAAAGTGAGAGGAAAATATTGACCTTATATTCCTACCTTGGAGGAACCATCCTTCTTCCACTATATAATAATCCTGCTTAGTTCATGTGGTGCTGACCCTACTTCTATCCTGCTCTGGGCATCAGCAGGCAATCGAAGCGTACAAACAAAATACTTCATTTCCTGGCCACTTTGTTCATGGATGGGCAGATCGTAACTCAGGCCAATCAGAGTTCTCCCTAGACGTGTGCTGAAGCTATAGGCTACGGGTACAATGTAGACTGGGACAATTAAGAGACATCTTTTCAACTTCCAGAAAATCTATCAGAGAATGAAGCCAGACAAAGCCAGGACCCCAACATATGCAGCAACTATATATGGAATTGGCCCACCTTTGAACATAGCCCAAAATTTTCCTTCTGCACTTAAGCTAGTGTGACATTCTTTTGGTTACTCACAACTGAGTTTCTTGAATCACTCCAGGCCAATGTACATTTCACTCCTCACTGCATTTAATGAAAAACTACTAATGAAGAAAGTATGTCATTTCCCTTATGTGTGCCGGCAAGGATAAAAGGTTGAAAACCAGATTTAAGGGAGAGTGTATTTCACAGAAAATAAAATAGAATCAGTGATGCAAATTTGTAACAGCATATATACCAAAGCAAATAAAAAATGCCATTACTACGTTTTGAAACTAAAATTCAGTTAGGTATGTCATGGAAGCAGAAAAATTGATTCATTAGCAATAGCTACAGTTTAATTTTTATACTTTTTCCCTTTTAAATTAGATGCTTAACTTTCTAAGAATTTAATTTTAAGATTAACTGGATTTTATAAATGATTACAATAACTGTATTTTAATATTTTCAGGATAAGGCCGGATGCGGTGGCTCAAGCCTGTAATCCCAGCACTTTGAGAGGCTGAGGCGGGCTGATCACAAGGTCAAGAGATTGAGACCATACTGGCCAACATGGTGAAACCCCGTATCTACTAAAATACAAAAAATTAGCAGGGCGTGGTGGCGGGCATCTGTAGTTCCAGCTACTCAGGAGGCTGAGGCAGGGAATCGCTTGAACCCGTGAGGCGGACTTTGCAGTGATCCGAAATTGTGCCACTGCACTCTAGCCTGGCGACAGAGCAAGACTCCATCTCCAAAAAAAAAAAAAAAAAAAGGAAAGAAAAAAAATTTCAGGATAAGCACATATAGATTTTAAATAAAAACATTTATATTCAATGTAGTATTATTTACCACTACGCAGAACTCAATTTAGAATAGTTAACCTTGTATCCTAAGAATATAATGGTGGGGGAGATGTTATTAAATTGTTTCACCTAGAGAAGACAGAGGAACCACCCTTCACGTTACTTATTAAGCAGCCATATAAACAGGGCTACGAGGTTGGGTAAATAAAGCAAAGTCCTTGAGTCATGTAAAGGTAATTTTATGCATACCTGAAAGTTCAGTCAATTTTTCAGCTCTTTTACTCTTAGTTACAATTATTCCAATCTTGAAATAAAAACAAAAATTATTATTAATATAACAAGTTATTTCCTCCCATTAAGAATATATATAACTATTCCTGTAGATGATATTGGAGCAGAAAAAAAAATAATTTATATAGCTAAAATAAACTAGTAATTACAAAAGAAAGAAGCAACAGGTGAGAAACTTTTTCTCATGCTGTTTTTGGCAAATAAATTTAGCTATGAGTTCACATTACGTTTAACTTTTAGAGTTATTACGCTTTTCATTTTTAAGTATACCAGAAACTGGTTAAACAATTTGGGTAATTCACAAAATACATGTCCAATTTTTAAAAATAAATTACATTTGGAAGCAAAATAGGAATCTAATTCTGAATTCTATCACTTAGATACGTACCTGACTAATAGGATTTTGATCAAAATATTCCTCTACAAAGTATTCCAACAACTGTTTAAACAAAAAAAGACATACTAGATAAAGGCAAAATAACAATCATAAAGAACACGTCCAACTGATGTTTGTGAAACCTGTTAATCAAGCGTCACTTCTCATGACTTTTAAACTTACAGATTTTCAAAAACTGTTAAGTAATAAAAATATTAAACAGTAAAAACGTTAATTTGAAATGGTGGGTGATGAGACAGGTTTGAGCTAGGTTTTAAAAGATGGAACCATTTGGATGTGTCAGAAGAAATTTCAATGAGGAAAAGATCCAATGAAGAGAGATGGGAGAACGAGCAGAATTGAGAATAGGTTTTGATAAATTAGGAATACGAACATATTTGTAATCTGAGGAGACAGAGTTAAGTAAGGCAAAGGAGAATGAAGATTCAAGAAAGAAAAGGGATAACTGATAAACCAAGATCCTGATGTGGGGTGGGAGGATAGAAATTAAAAACACAAATAATTAGCTATGTTGGTTTAAAATTTCCCTAAATAACCTGGCAGTACTTCTACTTAGCTATCATTAGCATTAACTAAAAATACAAGGCAAAAAATAAAAAATATTGCATTCTTTAAAAATATCCTTTAGAATCCAGTGTTCTTCCCCACTTTTTTAGTAAAAGTTTAAGTGATTTTGGTACAAATTTAAATGATTTAGTATAAACTTAAATTTTACCTTTAAAGTACACGTCAGTCTATTAGGCTTTAAATCTTGGTCTTCCATTGTTCTTGATCCATCTACTACCACATAAAGGTGGCGCATCTATCGGAAAAAAGAAAGGGCCAATTTCAAGTACTTGTTTTGTTTTGTAGAAACTGGGTCTCGTTCTGTTGCCCAGGTTGGTCTCAAACTCCTGGGCTCAAGCAATCCTCCTGCCTTGGCCTCCCAAAGTGCTGGGATTATAGGCATGAGCCACTGTGCCCAGCCTCAAGTGCCATTTTGACTAGTAAAAATGGCATTTAATAATTACATATTCTATGCACGTATTTTTAACATATTCTTTTAAAAACTTTGTTGTTTTGCTATTGTTTTTTCTAGCAAGACAGAATGTTTCTCTAACCTAAACTAGTTCTGTACTAGTAAAAGAAAAAATAATGACATACCATTCCAAGTCGAACTTGTCCATGGTGCTCAAATACTCTGTTAAAATTATACAAACATTTTAATGTAATTCCATATACTATCCCCCCCCACAAAAAAAATACAACTTTCCAATTGACCTCCTTTGTTTTTCTTTTTTTCTAATTCTGAGTAAGAATGTCATAACGTGCATTTTTAGTGGAGTAAATAATTAACTTATGGAATACAATACACACAATTATAGGTATTGTAGACAGTCTCTAAAGACCATTTCCTGCTGGGGCAAGGGTAGGTGGCTAGTTCTTTCCCCATAGTCAGAAGGCAATAGGTCAGTTACCCTGAAACACAGCTAAAATGAAGTACTGAGGAGTATTTATAGATAGAAAGGCTTAAAATGAATATATTTTACCTTTTTAAGATACATAGGAAGGTTACATACCTTTTTCTCTTTGCCTTGAATAGAATGTCTTCTATTGTAGCTTTAAGTGATCCAGATTCATCTTCTTTAAGAATCTCCCTATAAGTCATAATTATTTGTTTGAAAAGACAAGCTAAAATGATTACTAGCCCAAATGAAATGAAAATATATGTCCACACAAAGATTTGCATGTAAGTGTTCATGGCTGCATTTTCCTAACAGTCAAAAACTGTAAAGAACCTAAATATCCACAGACTAGTGAATGGATAAACAATAATGTGGCATAACCATAGATGGGAATACTATTCAGCAATAAAAAAGGAATGAAGTATTAATACACACTGCATCATGGATGAGTCTTAAAAATAAGTGAAAGCCAGCCACAACAGACCAACTATTATAGTCATGCATCGCTTACTGACAGGGATACATTCTGAGAAATGCATTGTTAGGCAATTTCATTATTGTGTGAATATCACAGGGTATACTTACACAAACCTAGATGGTATAGCCTATCCCACGCCTAGGTTACAAACCTGTACAGCACGTTACTATACTGAATATCTTAAGACAACTGTAACACAATGGTCAGTATTTGTATATCTAAACATACATAGAAAAGGTAGAGTAAAAATACAGTATTATAATATTATGGGACCATTGTCATATATGCAGTCTGTCTTTGACCAAAACATCATTATGTGGCACATGATTGTATATGATCACATTTTTGTGAAATGTCCAGAAAAGGTTAAAATTTGGAGACAAAAAGTAGACTAATGATTGCCCACAGGTGGAATTAAATTAAGATTTAAATTAATTGTAAATGAATGTGAAGGATCTTACTGGAGTGGTTACAATATTCTAAAACTGGTTTATGATAATGGCTGCACAGCTCAGTAAATTATTAATAAAACATCACTGAATTGTACATTGGAAATGGGTGAATTTTAACATATGTAAAATATACTTTAATAAAGTTGTAAAGAAAAAAAAAGACATTGTCTAAAAGAAAAGACAGGGCAATAAAGCTCTCCTTACCATGTTCTTTCATAGCCTCCTTCCCATCGCTTAGTTCTTTCAGGTTCTTCATCCATTTTTTTCAAAACTGTATTTTATTATTCAATAATCTGTAAAAACCATTAGAATGTAAGTTATCTAAAGATGTTTGTTACAAAATTCATCCAATTAAATTTGAAAATTAGACACATATATAAAGTAAAAAAAAATGGAATGCCAGGTCATCTTATTCTTTGTATTTTACTCAATAATTGTCTTAAAAATCTTCATAGAACTCCATTTCTCATTTCCAAGAAATAATATGAACTTATACACAAACTTGGTACCAATAAAAATAAGCGTCTTTTTACGATTTGTAAAAGAACAAAAATGCTTTATAGATGTGTCACATGACAAACTGTAGACTTGTGAGGAGTCAGTATGGGCGTAGTTGAACTATTATAGCTGAGTGACATGTGATTCATTGTACTATCTCTCTGTGTATGTCTCAGTTTTCTCATAATCAAAAGTTTTTAAATCACATTTATTATTTATAAATGGGTAAATGCTATAGCTCATAATTCAAAAAAAAAGGACACAAAATTAAACATAGTTCTTTGAGACATCTCCAAACTGCTTTCCATAGTGGCTGAACTAATTTACATTCCTACCAACAGTGGATAAGCATTCCCTTTTCTTCACAACCTTGCCAACATCTGTTATTTTTTGACTTTTTAATAATATCCATTCTAACTGGTGGTGAGATGGGTTTGTGGTTTTGATTTACATTGTGGTTTTGGTTTGCATTTCTCTAATGATCAGTGATGTTGAACATTTTTTCATATATTTATTGGACACATGTATGTCGATCCAACAATCCCAATACTGGGTATAAACCCAAAGGAAAATAAAACCATTCTACCAAAAGTACAAGAGCACTCATATTAATCACAGCACTATCCAAAATAGCAAAGACATCAAATCAACTTAGATGCTCATAAATGGTGGACTGGATAAAGAAAATGTGGTACGTAATATATCATGGAATACTAGCAGCCAAAAAAACAACGAAAAAAAAACACAATGAAATCCTGTCTTTTGCAGCAACATGGATACAGCTGGAGGCCATTATCCTCATTGAATTAACACGAACAGAGGCCCAACGCAATGGCTCACGCCTGTAATCCTAGCACTTGGGAGGCCAAGGCAAGTGGATCACCTGAGGTCAGGAGTTTGAAACCAGCCTGGCCAACATGGTGAAACCCTGTCTCTACTAAAAATAGAAAAAAATTAGCCAGATGTGGTGGCGAGCACCTGTAATCCCATCTACTCAGGAGGCTGAGGCAGGAGAATTGCTTGAACCCGGAAGGCAGAGAGGTTGCAGTGAGCCGAGATCGTGCCACTGCACTCTGGCCTAAAAAAAAACAGCAACAGAAAACCAAAGACGGCATGTTCTCATTTACGAGTGGAAACTAAACACTGAGTACACGTGGACATAACGATGAGAACAACAGACATTGGAGACTATTAGACAGGGAAGGATGGGAGAGAGTGAGGGTTGAAAAACTGCCTATCAGGTACTATGTTTACTACCAGGGTGACGGGATCATTTGTATACCAAACCTCAACAACAAGCAATTTATCCATGTAACCAACATGCACACGTACTCCGTGAAAATAAAAGTTGAAAACAAAACAAAACAAACAAACACAGGCCAGGGCCAGGTGCAGCGGCTCCATCCCTGTAATCCCTGCACTTTTGAGAGGACAAGGTGCGGATCACCTGAGGTCAGGAGTTCGAGACCAGTCAGGCCAACATGGCAACACCCGTCTCTACTAAAAATACATAAATTAGTTGGGCATGGTGGCAGGTGCCTGTAATCCCAGCTACTAGGGAGGCTGAGGCAGGAGAATTCCTTGAACCTGGAGGGCAGAAGCTGCAATGAGCCAAGGTCACGCCACTTCACTCCAGCCTGGGTGACAGAGCAAGACTCCGTCTCAAAAAAAAAAAAAAAAAAAAACCAGGCCAGGTATGATGGCTGACATCTGTAATTCTAGCACTTTGGGAGACTAAGGCAGGTGATCACTTGAGGTCAGGAGTTTGAAAATTAGCTAGGAGGTTGGTGGGAGCGGGCCCCTGTAATCCCAGCTACTGGGGAGGCTGAGACAAGAGGACTGCTTGAACCCAGGAGGCACGGAGGCTGCAGTGAGCCGAGATCAGGTCACTGCACTCCAGCCTGGGCAACAGAATGAGACCCTGCCTCAAAAAAGAAAGAAAAGAAAGGAAAGAAAGAGAGAGAGAGAAACGGGCACGGTGGCTCATCCTGTAATCCCAGCACTTTGGGAGGCCGAGGCCAGCAGATCATTTCAGGTCAGGAGTTCAAGACCAGGCTGGCCAACATAGTGAAATGCCGTCTCCACTAGAAATACAAAAATCAGCAGGGCCTAGTGGTGCACACCTGTAATCCCAGCTACTCGGGAGGCTGAGGCAGGAGAATCACTTGAACCTGGCAGGTAGACACTGGAGCGAGCCAAGGTTGTGCCACTGCACTCCAGCCTGGGTGAGAGAGCGAGACTCTGTCATTCATTCATTCATGCACAAATAAATGTCCTCATCACACCTCCATCCTCCCCAATGCAATCTCCCTCCCAACTCCACCACCTCGTGGCTCACTGCAACCTCCACCTCCCGGGTTCAAGTGATTCTCCTGTCTCAGCCTCCCAAGGAGCTGGGATTGCAGGCGCGTGCCACCATGCCCAGCTAATTTTTGTATTTTTAGTACAGTCAGGGTTTTGCCATGTTTTATATTTTTGTAGAGCCAGGGTTTCACCTGACTTGCCAGGCTGATCTCAAACTCCTGACCTCAAGTGATCTGCCTGTAAACAGAATATTTTTGTTTCTTTTTTTGTTTTAAGACGGAGTTTCACTCACCACCCAGGCTGGAGTGCAATGGCGCGATCTCGGCTCACTGCAACCTCCGCCTCCGAGTTCAAGTGATCCTCCTGCCTCAGCCTCCCGAGTAGCTGGGATTACAAGAGCCCACCACCACACCTGGCTAACTTTTGTGTTTTTAGTAGAAATGGGGTTTTGCCATGGTGGCCAGGCTGGTCTCGAACTCCTGACCTCAGGTGACCCACTCACCTCGGCCTCCCAAAGTGCTGGGATTACAGGCGTGAGTCACCACACCCAGCCTCAACTGAACATTTTGCTCCTCCCTGTTTTCTGTTACGTATTGTGAACTTTAAAAATGAAAAACTCGCATAACGTTCTCAACGTTTTTAAACTCAAATTCTTGGCAGGGCACACAGTGGCTCAAACCTGTAATCCCAGCACTTTGAGAGGCCAAGGCAAAAGGATTGCTTGAGTTCAGGCGCTCAGATCAGCCTGGGCAATAACCTTGTCTCTACAAAACATCAAAAAATTAGCTGGGCGAGGTGGCGAGTACTTGAGTCCCAGCTACTTGGGAAGCAAAAGTGGGAGGATGACTTGAGCCCAGGAGAGTCGAGGCTACTATGTTCACTACTGCACTACAGACTGGGTGACAGAGTGAGACCCTATCTCAAAATAAATAAAATAATTACAAATATATAATAAATATTATAAATATAAAAGTAAATAGCAACTGAGAGACTTTTGGCTGACCATATCAAAGGAATTCTTTTTTTTCTTTTTTTTTTGAGACAAGAGTCTTGCTCTGTCGCCCAAGCTTGGAGTGCAGTGACGCAATCTCGGCTCACTGCAACCTCCGCCTCCAGGGTTCAAGCGATTCTACTGTCTCTTCTGTCTCCCGAATAGCTGAGATTAAGGCACACGCCACCACAGCTAACCTTTTTATTTTTAGTAGAGACGGGGTTTCACCAGCCTGTTGGCCAGGCCTGGTCTCGAATTCCTGACCACAACTGGTCCGCCCACCTCGGTCCTCCAAAGTGTTGGGATTACAGGCATGAGTCACCACGCCCGGCTAAAAGGACTTCTTAATTAGAGCTGCCTGCAACGGGAAATCCGACTGGACAGGAGGTATTAAGGTCCCTAAAACTGCAGACGTTCAATGGGAAGTCTGATTGTAAACATGCATGCTGTTTAAAGGATTCATGCATCCTGAAGATGGACTTTGTAAAGATCTCCAATGGCCTGTCACTTCCCGTCAGTCCATTTTCTTCTTAAAAATATCAGCGAGGCCAGGTGGGTGGCTCACACCTGTAATCCCAGCACTGTGGGAGGCCGAGGCGGGAGGATCACGGGGTCAAGAAATCAAGACCATCCTAGCCAACATGGTGAAACCCCGTCTCTACTGAAAATACAAAAATTAGCTGGGCGTGGTGGCACGCGCCTGTAGTTCCAGCTACTCGGGAGGCTGAGGAAGGAGAATCGCTTGAACCCGGGAGGTGGAGGTTGCAGTGAGCCGAGATCGCGCCGCTGCGCTCCAGCCTGGCGACAGGGCGAGACTCCGTCTCGAAGAAAAAAAAAAAAATTTTAAGTGATCTGTTTCCTGGAATCCAACCCCAAACAATCCACGTTCCTCAGCATAAGCCTACTGGTGTGATTCCCGTTACATGAGCTCGGAATGCTATCTGCCAACAAATGAGAGCACCAAACATCCCAATTTAAGAAGCTTTTCTTCACACCTTACCAAGCTATGTGAAACTGGCAAGGGTGATTACTGTCCTTGTTTTTCAGGTATGGGATTCAGGCTCAGAGGTTGGTCACTTTCTCAAGCGGGTCACAAACTCGAACCCTGAACCATCATTTCTAAAAGTCGCGCTTTTACTTAGGGAGAGACGGCCTGCAGCTTCCCTCCCTACTCTGCGGCTCCCCAGACGAAAGTTACCTTCCTCTGCCTTCACAAGCTCCTTCACATCCTCCTTCCCTATGAGCCCAGGCAGGGCAATTCAACCTCCGTTCCCCGCCACGAAAACGCTCCCAGCCGCCTAGCTAGCCAGACGGCCTGCCCCACCTCTGCGCCTCACAGACTTCCACACGCGGACTCACCGGCGCCGCTAGAAGGACTCTCAGCCGGAAACTCCGCCCGACACTCCTCTCCGCCGCTTTAGGGGCGCCCCGGAAGTCATTCCGCCGCGCCCTGCGGCCACGCCGAAACGTTCCGGATGCTGCAGAGTGCAGCTGCCGGAGCGGGGCGCTCAGGTGCAGGGCATGGCCTCCGCTGAGTTGGGGCGCGGAAAGGGACGGTGTTCCAGCTGGAATTCACGGAGAACCGGAAAGAGTGATCGCCATTCGCTCTCGGAAGGTCGAAGGCTCTGCAGCCATCGACCTGGGTTCTGAGGAGCTCGATCTGGTTTTTCTACTTCTAAAAGGTTGGGATGAAGGACCCTGGCCACAGAAGTAAAGCCAGAATTATCCTTGCTTCTTGCTGTGTATTTCAGGACTCCTCCATTGCTCTTGCTGTTCATTCAACAAACATTGAGCATCTACTTTGAGCCTGATGCATGTCTAAGCACTGAAGAAATAACAATGAAAAACTGTCAAAAATCCTTGCTCTCGTGGAGTTTTCCTTCTCCAAGGGGAGTCAGTATGAAGAAAAACATATACTATATGAAATGGTGATAATGCTGTGGAGAAAAACTAAGCACTGAAGGGGAAAAGTTTGCAGTTTAAAATAGGGTGGCCAGGCCGGGTGCGATGGTTCACACCTGTAATCCCAGGCATGGTGATTTGGGAGGCCGAGCGGGGGTGGATCATCGGAGGGCAGGAGTTCGAGACCAGCCTGGCCAACATAGTGAATTCCGTCTCTACTAAAAATACAAAAACATTAGCCGGGCGTGCTGGCAGGCGCCTGTAATCCCAGCTACTCGGGAGGCTGAGGCAGGAGAATCGCTTGAATCCAGGAGGCACAGGTTGCAGTGAGCCAACCTTGCACTCCAGCCTGGGTGACAGAGACTTCATCTCAAAAAATAAAATAGGGTGGCCAGAGGAGTCCTCGCTGGGAAGACAGTTAAGCCATGACCTGAATGAGGAAGGGTGTTAACCCTACTGATACCTAGGGGAAAAGCTCTTCAGACAAAGAGAGCTGCAAGTGCAAAGGCCCTGAGGTAGAAGTGCATTGGGGTCTTTGACGACTGCAGGAGTGAGCAGGGGATGAGTGGTGGCAGCTGCAATCAGAAGGGTAAGGTGGGGAGGAGAGGCTGTGAGCACTGTTAAGAACTTTGGGGGAATTGTGATGGCTTGGACCAGCAGCTGGTGAGAAGTGACTGAATTCTAAATCTTACCAATACACTGGATGTGTGTTATGAGAAAAGAATCAAGGATACCTCCATAGTCTTTAGCTGAGCAACTGAAAGGTTGGGGTTGCAATTATTAAAATGTTGGCGGGGTGGGTAAGATCAATTCAGTTTTGGACAAGTTGTCTGACTGCCAATTAACACAAGTGGAATTACTGGCATTTCCCATACTTGAGAAATGGAGAGGCAGTGCACCCCCAGATGAGAAAAGGGTTAGGAATAACACAAAGGAACTGCAGAAGCTAGGGCCTCTTTCCTTCCCCATCAGCATACTCATCCCCTCCATTGCCTTTATTTTATTGTTAAAAATTTTTCCCATCTCTGTTGTCTCCCTCAAAAATATAAACAGAAGGTATCTTGCATAGCAGTGGAAAGAACAGCCCTGGATTTAAAATCAGGCTCTGACACACTGGCTGGGTGACCTCAAGCAAGTCACAACCCAAGTCTATGAACTAATGTGTAAAATGGGGTTGTCTCCACCAACCCTGCAGGGCTTAGTGGGAACTCCATAATCAGTCTCATTTCCTCCCAGAAGACAGGATTTTAAAAGGGAGAGGAGGGGAAATTAGTATCGCAGTGCCAGGAAGCTTCCATGCTTGCCTCCCTCCCACCTTTGACCTCATTAGAGGACTCACACACAAATTCCACACTTTTCCTTTTGTGCCCTTCCTTCCTATCCACACTTTTGCTTCCTTCCATCTTAATTGACCATCCTATTTGCAAGACGGGATGCATTCCTCTAGGACAAACAGCCTAGAGGAATCCCAAGCCCCAAGTTTCTTGCATATGTTTGTTATCCATCAGCCTGGGAAGGCTTTAAGGAAAACCAGGAAAAAGATAGAGGACTCCCCAATAAATATAAAGCATATTTGCGAAGAGAGGAGACTGAAACAGTTTTCCCAACTGTAATATTTGTTCTGTATAGATTTTAGACATGGATGTTAAGATTCAACTAGGAATGGTACTACAGCAAAACAAAATATGCATAAATCCATAATCTCTTGGCATGATTATGACTGACATATTCTAATCATTTACAAAGTGGTAGAATAAATTATCTAACCTACTCAGATGTTTTTTCAACTTGTAAAACTAAAAGACAACTATAAAGAATGGATAATCTGTTCTTTGCCCATGAGTGGCCAGACACAATCAACAGGGTTAGGACATTCACAATCAGCTCAGCCAGTGGAATCAGATATAAAAAGCATGCAACTTGAAAGACTGGGAGAAGTGAACCTGTCTATTCCAATAGACAGGCTCCCTTACAGGGAAACTAAATCATTCCAGAAAGCCTCATCTAAAACCTCTGTAATTGACAACAGTATCTAACAATCGTGATCTTGATAAGTAAACTATTTGCTGTAACCTAAAGAAGCATTTGTTTATCATGTACAAATATTTAGAATGCCAATCCTGCATTCTCTGCCTAGAATTCAAAAGAATTTACATTCTAAGGCTGCACCCAGCACAGATCAATCATATGGGATTGGATGACACATGCACTTTTAAAAAACACAATTTGCTTTTAGAAAACTTGTTAAAGTTTCACCTTCTGGCTTTGGAAGATGGGGGTAGCTAGGCATATTTACTTTTAGACAAGGACTGAGTCACACATTAACTACCTTCTTAACTATGAGATTATTACAAATATATTTTTACAAATACAAAAAACTGAAGTACAGAGAGGCTAAGTTAATTTCTCCAAGGTCCCACAGCAAGTAACTGCAGAAGGGCAAAGCAAAAATAGGACAACACATGTAGGCAATACCAAGCAGTTCTTGTGGCAGCAACTGGAAACCTTTTGGAGACACCATTCTGCATTTCGTTGTAGTCATACACAAAACCCTAGTTATGTATCCATGCTTCTTTCTCATAATGCCAAAGTGGCACTATTCTAATTTACTAACAAGGTTTTCTGAAAACTACCCAAATTATTGTGGTGTTTTTGCTCACTTCTTCCCATTAGAATAAATGTAGACAATAAGAAACGCATGAGGGATGACATAGTCCTCCATCAAATCTGTCCTTTCACACAAGAGATGGCATGGTGTAGTGTAGCAGAATCATGAGCTGCCAGGAAATTATGAATTCTGATTCCTCCAGCTGAGTCTTTGAAAAAGTCCAGATGAGAAACACTTCCATCCTGATGCTGAAGCAAGGAGAATGTCCTTGTGTGAGGAATTCTCACAACACCAACTGAAGCTAAGGTCCCCGGAGCCATGATAAAAGCACTTTTCTGCCCTGATTCTTCTTTACACACATGTACCCATTCAGGTCTTTACAGATATTTCACAGGAAGCATTTATGTTACAAGTACTTAAAATGCACTCGAAATTAATATAGGATACTTTATTTACATCAGAGTGATCTCACATTATCCAATCCATTAACAAAGTCAACACAGGATGGAAGTATAGAATCTAACAGTTGAAGAGACTAAGATCCTAATCCCTTGTTTTGCCACTTGCTAGTGTGACAACAGCCAGTTAATCTATCATATCATTAGTTCCTTGTCTATAAAAGAAGAATAAGAAATGGTCACATGTCAAAAGATCGTTGTGAGGATTAAATATCATATATGTACTTATGTGTATGTAACTTATTTACTATAAATACTAGTTGACTTCACTTTATTTCAAAAAATATAAAGCACATATGACAAAACATTAACACATGTTATTTCTGGGCGGATGGTACTTATATTTTATACTTTTCTGTATTTAAATTTTTCAAAATAAAATAATGATCCTATATACTTTTAATACAAAATCACATATGTAGGGCATCACTTTATACGCAGGGAATCTTTACAAAATGAACTATGTGCTATCACAACAAACTCCTTAGAACAATAGTTTATAACAAAGCAGAATTCCAGACAAGAACTACAGGTCAGAAATGGAAGGGATGTCGGAAATCTAATCTAAACCTCTGACTTTCTAGACTAGGAAGCTGCTTGAGTGGCTTTTCAAATTTACATCCAGCTAGTTAATGCCAACGCCAACAGAAACACCCTGATCCTAGTTTCCTAAAACGGTATTTAGTATAAATACACATGAAAATTTTTCTTATTTTTGAAATTTCAAAGTCCAATTTTATAACACAATTTTACAATGCAAATTCTTGCTGTTTCACTTTCTGGATTCAGCTGAATAGTTTTGTGAAAATACTGACAAACTTGCCTTCACGAACTGACTTCCAAGAACAAATTGTTAAAACTTTAACAGAAAAATCAGTTAAAGGTGCTCATCAAGAGAGTCCTTTTCATTTGGTATAAATCCAAAACTATGAAAATACCTTTTGTATTATGTGCATGCAGAAAATTAAGAATTTATTCAATTTGCAGAAATAAATCAGTGATATAATGGAAACATTTAAAATTTTATCTCTGGAAAATAATCCAAAATCATCTATCAAAAATTATAGGCCGGGCGCAGTGGCTCACGCCTCTAATCCCAGCACTTTGGGAGGCCGAGGTGGATGGATCACCTGAGGTCAGGAGTTCGAGACCAGCCTGACCAACGTGGAGAAACCCCATCTCTACTAAAAATACAAAAAAAAATTAGCCAGGTGTGGTGGCGCATGCCTGTAATCCCAGCTACTCGGGAGGCCGAGGCAGGAGAATTGTTTGAACCTGGGAGGCGGAGGTTGTGGTGAGCTGAGATCGCGACATTGCACTCCAGCCTGTTCAACAAGAGCAAAACTCCATCTCAAAAAAAAAAAAAAAAAAAAAAAATACACACACACACACACACACACACTTAGGCCAGGCATGGTGGCTCACGCCTGTAATCCCAGCACTTTGGGAGGCCAAGGCAGGAGAATCATGTGAGCCCAGGAGTTCAAGACCAGACTGGGCAACAAAGTGAGACCCCGTCTATATTATAAAATAAAAAAATAGTTCAGAGGAGAGGTCTGGGCTAGAGATGGAAATGTAGAAGTTAGTAAATTTAAAGCTGTTGAACTAGAGGAGATAGCTGAGGAAGTGCATTCAAATAGAGAAGATGTCAGAGGAGAACTTTGGGGTTCTCTCAGTGGTTAGAGATAGGATATGAGGAAAAACAGTGCAGGAGACTAAGGAGGAGCTCTCATTGAGTTAGGAAAATCAAGAGGGATGCCCTGGAAGCCAAATGAAGGCAGTGTTTTGAGGAAGAGGGGTGATGGGCCATGTGAAAGCCAATAGGTCAAATGCTGCTAATGGGTCAACTAAAGTGAGGACTGAGAAGTATTCACCAATTTAGCAATGTGGAGCTCATTGGTGACCCTCATAAGAGCTGTTTTGGTGGAATGGAGGAGGTAAAATCCTGGAGGGGGAGAACATAAGAATGAGAGAACAGTTGACAGTGCATGTAAACAACTCTTTCACGGAACTTTGTATTTCTGAATTTTTGTTTATTTGGCTATTAATAAAATCATATCTGATATAGCTTTATTTTAGTAAGGTTTGTTTTTGTGGGACTTCAGTTGTGTATACACATATGTGTGTGTATGTATGTGCGTATGGTGTTTTGATGTAAAATTTATTATTGTGGGTCATGGTTAAAAAAAAAGCTTGAGAATGAGGAGTTAGATCAAGAAATAGAAGGAATGTTGACATAAGAAGTTGTGGATGTAGGAGATTCTACCATGTAGACACAGTGGAAGGATTTAGGGAGTTGGAGCAGGTTGGGATATGTGATCAGAAAGCGGGAGTTTAGCTCTCTCACTTGCCCCTGCTTTTACCATGTGATGTGTCTGCTACCCCTTCACCTTCCACCATGACTGTAAGCTTCCTGAGGTCTCCCTAGAAGCCAAGCAGATGCCAGCACCATGCTTCCTGTAAAGCCTGCAGAACCATGAGCCAATTAAACCTCTTTGTAAATTACCCAGTTTGAGGTATTTCTTTATAGCAGTGCAAGAATGCCCCAATACAGGAAATTGGTACCGAGAAGTTGGGCATTGCTATAAAGATACCTGAAAATGTGGAAACAGCTTTGGAACTGGGTAATGAGTAGTGGCTGGAAGAGTTTACAGGGCTCAGAAGAAGACAGGAAAATGAGGGTAAGTTTCGAACTTTTTTTTTTTTTTTTTTTTTTTTTTGAGACGGAGTCTTGCTCTGTCGCCCAGGCTGGAGTGCAGTGGCGTGATCTTGGCTCACTGCAACCTCTGCCTCCCGGGTTCAAGTGATTTTTCTGCCTCAGCTTCCCAAGCAGCTGGGGTTACAGGCATGCACCACCATGCCTGGCTAATATTTTTGTATTTTATTAGGGATGGGGTTTCACCATGTTGGCCAGGCTGGTCTCGAACTCCTGACCTCAAGTGATTCACCCACCTCGACCTCCCAAAGTGCTAGGTTTACAGGCGTGAGCCACCGCTCCCGGCAAGTCTGGAACTTCTTAGAGACTAGATAAGTGGTTGTGACCAAAATGCTGATGGTGATAGGGACAGTGAAGTCCAGGTTGACAAGGTCTCAAAAGGAAACGAATTTATTGGGAACTGGAGCAAAAGTCACACGTTATGCCTTAGCAAATAACTTGGCTGCATTCTGCTTGTGTCCTAGGGATCTGTGGAAGTTTGAACTTAAAAACTATGACCTAGCGTATGTGGCAGAAGAAATTTCTAAGCAGCAAAGCATTCAAGATGTGGCCTTCTGCTACTAACAGCCTGTGCTCAGATGTGGGGGCAAATGAATGACTTAAATTTGGAACTTACATTTAAACAGGAAGCAGAGCCTAAAAGTTGGGAAATTTTGCAGCCTAGCCAGGTGGTAAAAAAAAAAACCATTTTCTCCAAGGAATTCAAGCAGGCTGTGGAGCAACCACTTGCTGATATTTGCATAACTGAAAGGGATCCAAGTGGTAATATCCAAGACAATGGGGAAAAGGCCTCAAAGGCATTTCAGAGACCTATGGGGCAGCCCCTCCTGTCATAGGCCCTGAAGCCAAGGAGGACTGAATATTTTCCTGGGCTGAGCCCAGGGCCCTGTTGCCCTGTGCAGCCTCAGAACACTGCTCCCTGCATCCAGATGGCTCCAACTCCAGCAGGGGCTCAAAGGGGCCTAGGTACAGCTTGGGCTGTTACTTTGGAGGGCATAAGCCATAGCCTTCACAGCTTCCATTAGGTGGTAAGCCTGCAGGCACACAGAATGCAAAAATGGTGAATTCTTGGTAGCCTCTGCCTGGATTTCAGAGGATGTATGGAAAAGCCTGGGTGTCCAAGCAGAACCCTGCTGCAGGGGCAGAGCCCTCACAGAGAGCCTCTACTAGGGCAGCGTGGAGGGGAAATGTGGGGTTAAAGGCCCCACGCAGAGTCCCTACTGGGGCACTGCCTAGTGGAGCTGTGAGAAGAGGGCTACTGTTCTCCAGAATGGTAGAGCCACTGGCAGCTTGTACCCTGCACTTGGAAAAGCCACAGGCACTCAACCCAGCCTGTGACAGCAGGCTGAACTCTGCAAAGCTATAGGAGCAGAGCTGCCCAAGGCCTTGGGAGCCCAACCCTCATATCAGCGTGCCACATGGAAACCAAGGAGATCATTGTGGAGTTTCATGATTTAATGACTGCCATGCTGGGTTTTGAACTTGCATGGGGCCTATAGCCCCCTTTTTTGGCAGGTTTTTCCCTAATGGGAATATTTCCCCAACCCCTGAACCCTGATTGTATGTTGGAAGTAAATAATTTGTTTTTTATTTTATAGGCTCATAGGTGGCAGGGATTTGCCTTGTCTCAGATGAGACTTTGGACTTCTGAGTTAATGCTGGAATGAGTTAAGACTTTGCGGCACTGTTGGGAAGGCATGGTTGTATTTTGCATTGTGAAAAGGACATAAGATTTGGGAGGGGCCAGAGGTGGAATGATGTGGTTTGGATATTTATCTCTACTTATGTTGAATTTTATCCCGAGTGTTGGAGATGGGGCATGGTGGGAGGTGTTTGGATCATGGGGGCAGATCCCTCATGGCTTGGTGTTACCTTTGTGTTGTTACTGAGTTCTCGTGAGATCTGGTCATTTAAAAGTGTATGAAACCTGCCCCCTGCCCCCCCACTGTCTCTCACTTGTTTCTGCTTTCATCATGTGACATGTGTGCTCACCTTCTGCCATGATTTTAGTTTCCTGAGGCCTCCCTAAAAGCCGAGCAGATGCCAGCACCATGCTTCCTGTAAAGCCTGCAGAACCGTGAGTCAACTAAACCTCTTTTCTTTATGAAAGAAAAGGAAGGAAGGGAGAGAGGGAAGGAGAAAAAGAGAGAGGGAGAGATGGATGGAGGAAGGGAGGGAGGGCTTACAACCATGAGGACAGTTTTTAGGTCAATGAGGGATGACTTGGGAGTCCTATGAAGACTGATGTAAACTAGAATAAAGGGCATGATGAGCTTATGATTCAAAAGTATTTCGTCATAGAAATAGTTTGTTTTCTGTAAAAGAACACAGTAAATATTTTAGCTTTGTAGGCCACTGAGTCTCTGTTGCTTTAAAAAATGTGAAAACCATTCTTAGCTTGAGGGCTGGACAGTCCAGGGCCATACTTTACTGACCGCTGCTTGAACTAAACGCTGTTAGAAGCAGCTCTGGAAAAATAATTTGCATGGAATCTTATGATTTTTTTTTTTTTTTTTTGAGGCAGAATTTTGCTCTTGTTGCCCAGGCTAGAGTGCAATAGCGCGTTCTTGGCTCACTGCAACCTCCGCCTCCTGGGTTCAAGCAATTCTCCTGCCTCAGCCTCCCGAGTAGCTGGGATTACAGGAAGGCACCACCATGCGTGGCTAATTTTGTATTTTTAGTAGAGACAAGGTTTCTCCATGTTGGTCAGGCTGGTCTCGAACTCCCAACCTCAGGTGATCCACCCGCCTCGGCCTCCCAAAGTGCTGGGATTACCAGCGTGAGCCACTGCACCTGGTCAAGTATTATGGTTTTTTAATAGTATGCACACATGGGACAAAACTCAACTGGTATAAAAGGGTATGCAGGAGAAAAAAAGCAAACTTCCCTCTCTCCCTTTTCTGTCCACCAGCCATCCTGTTCTCCTCCCTAAACTCAATTATGGTTGCCTGTTTTTTATATAAGTTTTCCATGAATTTATAAATACATCACGTGCATATATCCTGTCAGTCAATATTAAGAAATTACTAGGTTATTTTGTGTTTATGTGTGCACTATTAGATTTAATGAGTTATGCTAGTTGTTGCCTCTTATATCCACATTCAGTCTTCATTGTCTGTTCTGTAATAATAGATCTGGGCCCTGTAAATACCTCTCCCATGACAGTAAGCACAGAGTGAAACTTTGTCAATCGAGGGTGCTGCTGACACACTGAAGGGGCAAGGGCTGCTTTTCCTGGTTCCATTGTGCTCCTCTAGGCAGACACCTGCAACACCTGTGCCATCTGCAATACCAGCTCCTGTAGCACATACACTCTGCCTCTGCAGCACCTCGTTCTGGCTGCACACTTCTTGGGCGGTGCCTAACTTCAGCAGCACCCAATGGTCAGCAGCGCACAGTACCCCCACATGAATGGCTTCCCTTGACATGCACAAGGTCCCTTCTCTGCAAAGTGCCCCAAGCCCAGCACCTTCTCCAGCTGCAACTCCACAGCCTCAGCAAACCTCTGTCTTTCACAGCTGTGTCCTCTCACACGAAGTCTGGATCTCAGCCCGGATCTCAGCCCTGAGCTTTCTTCTTTGAGTTGTTCTGTCTCAGCCTGGGGTGAAAAGCCCATATCGGCTGTTCCCTGCATCTGCCCAGGCTTCTCTTTATTCCTTACTACCCAATCCCCATTCCAATCCTCTGTTAATAACTCTTACGGACAGTCCCCAACTCATGATGACTTGACTTAGGATTTTTCTACTTTGCAATGGTGCAAAAGTGATCCGCATTCAGTAGAAACTGTTCCTCAAGTACTCATACGACCTCTATTTTTCACTTTCTGTACAGTATTCAATAAATTGCGTGAGATTTTCAATACTTTATTATAAAATAGGCTTTGTGTTTATGATTTTGCCCAACTGTAAGCTAATATAAGTGTTCTCAGCGTGTTTAAGGTAGGTCAGGTTAAGCGATGATGTTTGGTAGTTTAGGTATATTAAATGCATTTCTGACATACAATATTTTCTACTTACAATGGGTTTTTCAGGATATAACCCTGTTGTAAGTTGAGGAGCATCTTATTTTATTTATTTATTTATTTATTTGAAATGGAGTCTTGCTCTGTCACCCAGGCTGGAATGCAGTGGCACGATCTTGGCTCACTGCAACCTCTGCCTCCTGGGTTCAAGCAATTCTCCTGCCTCAGCCTCCCAAGTAGCTGAGACTACAGGTGCACACCACCATGCCTGGCTTTTTTTTTTTTTTTAATTTTTTTTTGTATTTTTAGTAGAGACAGGATTTCACCATGTTGGCCAGGCTGGTCTCGAACTCCTGACCTCAAGTGATCTGCCCACCTCGGCCTCCCAAAGTGCTGGAATTACAGGCGTGAGCCACTGCGTCAGGCCGAGCATCTGTATATTAAACTTTCCCCATTCAAATTTCTGTGTGGTTTCTGTCTCCTGACTGGATTCTGATATAATGCTTAACAACCTTTCTAATTACAAAGGTATTACATATAAAATCAGACAAGCAAGAAGACAATCCATCCCACCTTCTAGTACTCTTGCCCTCCAGAGGTAGCTCCAGTTAATATTTTAGTGCTAAACTAGATTTATTTTTGTTTTAAATAGAAAAATAATGCAGGCACGAAAGTAAAACAAAAAACAGTACAGAATGGGAGAGACTGAAAAGTAAGAATGGCTTCCAGGCCCACTTCCTAGAGGTACGCACTATTAACATTTTTAGATATAAACTTCCAGAAATTTTTTTCCAGTTTTATTTAGGTATAATTGACAAAATTATTTATATTTCAGTTGTACAACATGGATGTTCAACATGTTTTGGTGTACATATACTTTCTGATATTATAAATGGTTACCACAAGCAAGCTCAGTAACATATTCAGAAATTCTTAATGTAGCTAGCAATATAAGTGGTTTTGTTTTTTGTTTTGAGACAGACAGGGTCTTGCTCTGTTGCCCAGGCTGGAATGCAGTGGCGCCATCTTGGCTCACTGCAACCTCTGCCTCCCGGGTTCAAGCAAGTCTTGCGTCTCAGCCGCCCTAGTGGCTGGGACTACAGGCATGTGCCACCACACCTGGCTAATTTTTGTATTTTTAGTAGAGATGGGGTTTCACCATGCTGGCCAGGCTGGTCTCGAATTCCTCACCTCAAATGATTCGCCCGCCTCAGCCTCCCAAAGTGCTGGGATTACAGGTGTGAGCCACCGCACCCAGTCATAAGTGGTTTTCTAAACAAATGAGACCACACCATACATACTGTCCCTATATTTCATACTTGGGCAAGGGGAGGGGAGTTGACTTTTTTCTTAGTGAGAATAAAAATGAGGATAAAAGTATGGTTGTTTACCAACTTATAGTAGTATCATGAATTTCGAATGGTCTTCTGGCCGTTCAGAAAACTACTTAACTGGTAGGAACGAAATTCTGGACACTGACATTGATATAGACACTCATATCAAATATAATACTATGAAATACTATGATATGGAAATAATATGCAATCACTAGAGATAAAATATTTTCTACCCAAGTAGAGTGGATTCATAAGAAAATTCTAAATTATAGCATATGTTGAACTCTGAGAAGCCTCTGGAATGAAGTCATTTTTCCCTAACCCCTGTTTCCTCTTTATATTGGCAGTGGATAAATGGAAAGTAAGTTAACTCTACTGTACCAAAGCTAGTTCAATATAGAAAACAGGTTCTACAAGGATTAAGGAATATTCTACAAGGATTAAGGAACATCTCTTGGCCCACAGAAGATTCATGTGGTTCCTGTGTTAAACCCGTTTCATCCATGTATGAAAGTGATTCAACCGTTAAGTTAGCCATTTATTATATAAATTGAATACTTCTTCCATATTGTGGCTTTTAGATAGATTGGCAGACCTGTCCCCAACCCCTTCCCTGTTGACCATGGACAATGGAGGGTTAGCTGTATAAACTTGATTGAAGGGTTTGCCTTTAGCTGGGGTGGATTACTCAGGGACCTCAAAGGTATTGGTGATGATTTATTTCTTGAGCTTGGTGGTGAGTATGCAGGACTGTGTTTTGTTTTGTTTTGTTTTTTAGCAAGCCTTACACATTTTCTTTTGTATGCAATATTTAATAAAATAATTTTGGATAATTTGGTTTTTAGCATTAATCAACAACTTTTTTTACATCCTCAATATGCCCCAAGACAAATTATTGATTCAGCAGTTTTTAGCTGAATCTTTTATTTCTGAATGATTGGAGAGAACGGCAGTATCCATTTCTGGAGAATAGTTAAGTACTTAGATTGAGGATGTCTTTCTCATCACAGGCTGGTCTCAAACTCCTGGACTCAAGTGATCCTCCTGCCTCAGCTTCCCAAGTAGGTGGGATTACAAGCACGTGTCACTGTGCCCAGCTTAATATAATATTTTGAAAATATCTCCTTAAAAACCCCAAAGAGCTGATGGGTTAATAAAGAACCACCTGGCAAAAATCTAAGGGAGAAGCAGAAACCAAAGAAGTACAGCCAAGCCTAAAGCACTGACGCCATTGTGCTGAGAGTTTCACCATCCTGGACAAATATGAGCTTCTCTTTTGGTCTCACAGGAGGTCACATGCCAAGGCACATCATGCCTACAAACCAGACTAAATTGGCAAGTCACAGTGGCTCACGCTTGTAATCCCAGCATTTTGGGAGGCCGAGGTGGGTAGATCACTTGAAGTCAGGAGTTCGAGACCAGGCTGGCCAACATGGTGTTCAGTGTTTACTAAGTTAAGGAATGATGGTGCCTAAGTCATTTAGCTAAATGATGTATTTAAGAAAGATGGCTGCACCGTTTTCCATGAACTATTAGGATAGGCTGGTGAGAAACAGGGAAATACTTCCAATGACTACGGATTAGCAGATTTCCTTCCTGCTGAGCTGCCAGATCTGTAAGTTGCAATGTAAGACCAGCCTAACCAAAAACAAAATAAAATAACCCTACAAATTATTTTGGAGTGGCAACATTATATTAGGGATTTCTTTTTTTTTTTTTTTTTTTTCTGAGATGGAGTTTTGCTCTTGTTCCCCATGGAGTTTTACTCTTGTTCCCCAGGCTGGAGTACAATGGCGCGATCTCGGCTCACATTGCAATCTCTGCCTCCCAGGTTCAGGTAATTCTCCTGCTTCAGCCTCTCAAGTAGCTGGGATTACAGGCATATGCCACCATGCCAGCAAATTTTTGCATTTTTAGTAGAGGCAGGGTTTCACCATGTTGGTCAGGCTGGTCTCGAACTCCTGACCTCAGGTGATCTGCCCTTCTCGGCCTCCCAAAGTGCTGGGATTACAGGTGTGAGCCACCAGGCCCGGCCTATATTAGGGATTAAGAACTCAGATTTTGGAGTCAAAATTCCTGTATTTGAGTCACAGATATACATTTCCTTAGCTGGATATTACGAATTACTTTATCTCTTTATGTCTCAGTTTTCCCAGCTACAAAATAGCATTAATAATAGTACTTTACTTTCGCCAGGCACAGTGGCTCATGCCTGTAATCCCAGCACTTTGGGAGGCCGAGGCGGGAAGATCATGAGGTCAGGAGATCGAGACCATCCTGGCTAACACGGTGAAACGCCGTCTCTACTAAAAATACAAAAAATTAGCTGGGCGTGGTGGCAGGCACCTGTAGTCCCAGCTACTTGGGAGGCTGAGGCAGGAGAATGGTGAACCTGGGAGGAGGAGCTTGCAGTGAGCCGAGATCGTGCCACTGCACTCCAGCCTGGGCGACAGCGCGAGACTGTCTCAAAAAAAAAAAAAAAAAATAATAATAATAATAATAATAATAGTACTTTACTTCATAGAGTGGGTATGAAGACTGAGTTCATATTTGTGAAGTGCTTAGGATACTTCCTAGTGTGTAGTAAAGGCTCAATAATTACAAACAGCACTCTGCTTTCTTAATGAGAAAGAGTGCTATTCCTCACAATTTACCATGGATACAGGCTACACCCTTAGAACCACAGGCACTTTAACTCTTAAATAAATTATTGGCCAAGTAGCTTTTCCAACTTACGTAAACACAAGTATATTAAAGTGCCATCCTTACCTAGTTTGGAAGGATCATACTCAGCTGAAATTTGGATCAATAATTTCTCCATATGGTGGAAGTTTGGAAATTCTTCAGGAATGACTGAAAAAACATTTATATTGCCCTCCAGATCCACAGACAGTTCTTTCAGGCACAGGAACTTATCCAGATTAGGAAAGATTTGGTCTGGAAAGCAGCACAGTTTCCCATTATTAATCTAAAGAGTTCTGAATGGACATTTTAAAACTGTCATTTTGATTCATCCAGCTATTTTCACATGCAAACCTTCCACATACCATAAAACATTCTTTTTTTTTTTTAAAGAATACATATATGAAGATATTGCTTTTTGCAGCTTATGCACTGTATGGGAAGCCCTGTGCTACTCTTCAGACTCACAAAAAGAAATACAGCATCTCGGCTAGGCGCAGTGGCTCATGCCTGTAATCCCAGCACTTTGGGAGGCTGAGGCGGGCGGATCACGAGGTCAGGAGTTTGAGACCAGTCTGGCCAACATAGTGAAACCCCGTCTCTACTAAAAATACAAAAAAAAAATTAGCTGGGTATGGTGGTGTGCATCTGTAATCCCAGCTACTCAGGAGGCTGAGGCAGGAGAATCACATAAACCTGGGAGACGGAGGTTGCAGTGAGCCAAGATCGCGCCATTGCACTCCAGCCCAGGCTACAGTGTGAGACTCCGTCTCAAAAAAAAAAAAAAAAAAAAAAAAGAAGAGAAAAGAAATATAGCATCTCTTCAACAAACGGTTGGGGACAACTGGATTTGCACATGCGAAAGAATGAAGTTGGATTCCTATCCCTCACCATGTAAAAAAAATCAACTCAAAATGGATCAACGACCTAAATATAAAAGCTGAAATCACACAACTCTTAGAAAAAACATAGGAGTTAATCTTCATGACCTTGGATTTGGCAATGGATTCTTAGATAGGACACCAAAAGGACCAGCAATAAAAGAAAAAAACAGATAAATTGGACTTCGTCAAAATTTAAAACTTTCGTGCACAAAGGACATTATAAATAAAGTAAAATGACAACCTATGGAATGGGAAAAATATTTTCAAACTGTGTATCTGATAACAGGTTGAAATCCAGAATATACAAATAACTCTTACAATGCAACAAAAACAACAACAATTTTTAAATGAGCAAACAGATATTTTTTCAAAAAGTGAAAAGATACTTAACATCATTTTCATGATTTGCATTAGAGAAATGCAAATCAAAACCACAATGAGATACCACTTCACAACTACTAGAACGGCTTTATGATAATCACAAAACAAAATGGGCTGGGTGAGGTGGCTCATACCTGTAATCCCAGCACTTTGGAAGGCCAAGGTGGGTGGATCATTTGAGCCCAGGAGTTCAAGACCAGACTAGGGGCCAGGCACGGTGGCTCATGCCTGTAATCCCAGCACTTTGGGAGGCCGAGGTGGGTGGATCACCTGAGGTCAGGAGTTCAAGACCAGCCTGGCCAACATGGTGAAACCCCATCTCTACTAAAAATACAAAAATTAGCTGGGTGTGGTGGCGGGAGCTTGTAATCCCAGCTACTTGGGAGGCTGAGGCAAGAGAATGGCGTGAACCCAGGAGGCAGAGCTTGCAGTGAGCCGAGATTGCGCCACTGCACTCCAGCCTGGGGGACAGAGCGAGGCTCCATCTCAAAAAAAAAAAAAGAAAGAAAAAGAAAAAAGACCAGACTAGGCAACATAGCAAGAATCTGTCTCTACAAAAAATAAAAAATTATCCAGGCACGGTGGTGCATGCTGGTAGTCTCAGCTACTCAGGAGGCTGAGGCAGGAGGATCACCTGAGCTCAAGAGGTTGAGGCTGCAGTGAGCCATGATTGCACCACAGCACTCCAGCTTGGGCAATAGAGCGAGACACTGTCTGAAAAACAACAATGAAAACAAAAACAGGTCGGGCACTGTGGCTCATGCCTGTAATCCTAGCACTTCGGGAGGCCAAGGTGGCTGGACTGCCTGAGCTCAGGAGTTCGAGACCGGCTTGGGCAACATGGCGAAACCCCATCTCTACTAAAAATACAAAAGTTAGCCAGGTATGGTGGTGCACACCTGTAGTCCCAGCTACTCAGGAGGCTGAGACAGGAGAATTGCTTGAACCCGAGAGGTGGAGGTTGCAGTGAGCCAAGATCTCGCCACTGCACTCCAGCCTGGGTGACAGAATTAGACTCTGTCTCCACAAAAACAAAAATTAACAAGTGCTGAAGAGGATGTGGAGTAATTGGAACCTTTGTACATGGATAGTGGGAATGTAAGATGGTGCAGCTACTGTGCAAGTTCCTCAAAAAGTTAAACATAGAACTACCATATGAATCAGCAATTCTGCTTCTAGGTATATACCCAAAATGATTAAAAGCAAGAACTTAAACCGATACTTATAATGCCAGTGTTCATTGCAGCATTATTTATGATAGCCAGAAGGTAGAAACAACCCAAGTGTCTCTCAGCAGCAGAATGGATAAACAAAATGTACTATATACATACCATGGAATATTAGCTATAAAAAGGATGAAGTTCCTTTTCAAAGTTGATACATAATAATTGTACATATTTATGGAGTACATGTGAAGGAATGAAATTCCAATATAGGCTACAACATGATGTACCTTGAACAGTATGCAAAGTGAAATAAGCCAGACAAGTGATAATGCTTATAAACAATATCTAGAAGAGGCAAATTCATAGAGACAGAAAATAGAAGAGAAGTTATCAGGGGCTGGTGGGAGGGAAGATTTTTTTTTTTTTTTTTTTTTTTTTTTTTTTTTGAGACGGAGTCTCACTCGGTAGCCCAAGCTGGAGTGCAGTGGCATGATCTGGGCTCACTGCAACCTCTGCCTCCCAGGCTTAAGTGATTCTCATGCCTCAGCCTCCCGAATAGCTGGGACTACAGGCGCATGCCACCACGCCCAGCTAATTTTTTGTATTTTAGTAGAGACGTGGTTTCACCATGTTGCCCAGGGTGGTCTCAAACTCCTGAGCTCTGGCGATCCACCCTCTTCGGCCTCCCAAAGTGCTGGGATTACAGGCGTGAGCCCCCGCGCCCGGCCCAATTTATTGTTTAATTGGGATGATGAAAAGGTTCTGGAGATGGATAGCGGTGATGGTTGTACAACATAGTGAATGCTTAATGCCACTGAGTTGTACATTTAAAATGATTAAAATGTAAGCTTTGTTACATGTATTTTACCATAATAAAACAGTACTTGAAAAAAGATGAAAAATTTTCTAAATTTGGTAAATGTCAACCCACACATTCCAAAAAAGTTCAGTGCACCTCAAGCAAGATACATACAAAGCAAAGCACACCTAGGCATATAACAGTCAAACTGCTTAAGACCAAAGCAATACTAGCAACAATTAGAAAATGAAAAAATATTTTTAATGACATTTACAATACTTTCAAAAGATATGAGTATCTAGGAATAAATTTAATGAAAGATGGGTTAAGTCTACACTGAAAACTATCAAATAGTGCTTAGAGGAGTTAAGACACAAATAGATGAAGATATTATTTCCCATTAATTTATTTATTTCCCAGGGACTACAGGCCTTTCTTCCTTTAGGCAGCTAGGGTGAAGGTAATTTCTAAGCATCATCTTACATATAGCTAATTCTTTTACTAATAACAGATAATTCATGTCTTTATTAAGAACCTTCAATAATTTAATATAAATATTTTATTCATTTTGTCTGAGTTATTTGAAAACCATTCTATTATTCAAGGACTTTTCACTAATTCATGCTACTGTCAAAAAAAATTAGTGAAGGTTTATTTTATATCTGTTCTATCAATGAGCATGCATGCTTTCATGGCCTCAGAAGTTTTCAACCACTTAAAGTAAGAAAAAGAAATTATACATCAGAATAGTCATCCAAAATATATACAGGTATACCTTGTGACTGGATTGTCCCTGAGACTTCAAGAGATTCCAGGGAAGGCAGGGTGAGAAGCAGTTCCTGTTCGGCTGCGCTGAGTTCCAACTTGCTTATGGAGCACTTGGTGACAGAGGCCTTAGACAGCTCAAGAGCTGGGCGGATGCTTTCTATAAAGCCTCTGCTGTGGTTTAAATGGAGTTCGATGCGCTGTGAAGCTGAGAAAACTGTCATTAGAATCTCAAGCATATCCTGGCCTACAACATCAATATCATTCACATCGACTTCTAGACAGGGAATCTTGTACTGCTTTGGAGAAAGTTTCCAATAGCCAGTACTAAGGTCTGGTGATGCCCTGCGCTGCATATCCATATAGCTCTTTACATTATCCTCTTTTTCAGCTAAATTTCGCTCCCATTCATTCATAGGTTCAAAGGCAGAAGCATAGTCCTGATCTATAGTTGGCACCTGTGATTTGTCAAAACATGTTTCCAGAACTGAAAAATGTGCTCTGGGTGATGTCTTATTTCCTCGTATTGAGAAGTGGATGCTCCTCAACAATGACAAGCTTTCTGGGTGGTCGAAAAAGTACTGTAAGTTAAGCGCACCCAAAGTCAGTGTTCTCCCTTGAAGGAATTGCAAAACAAATGGAGAACACGCAGCAACAGTGTTGCTTTGATAAGCAGTTTTCAGGGCAAGAACCAGTAAATGTTCTGAAACCATTGAAAAGTAAGCTTGTGGACAAATTTGCCACAATCCCCTAAGTAACTGCATCTGCAGTGAAATTTCTGGCTGGTGCTTTAAGTAGTCATCATTTTCAGATATATTCTCCAATGACTCTTTGTTATCCACTAAATGGAGCAAATGAGACACAATTTTGGGCCCTGCTTTTGTTGAAGGGAGGCTGGAGACATAGTTCAAAAAATTGTTGTAGGCGCTTACAGTCATCATGGGTGAGTTGATTTGTTTCAAATGATACAGTCCCAAATCTTGATGTTCCTGCCTATCTGAATCCAGGAGTTCAATCAGCCTCATCCCCGCAAGAAATTCTTGGAAGGCAGGACTTAAAAACCGGTAGAATGGTCTTAGTCTCTGGGCTGTAAATTTGCTCATCAAGCACATGGTTAGATCTTCATCTTCATCAACCCCTGCTTCTGCGAGATCATCATCATTAAACTCAAAGCAACATGAAAAAAACCCTTTCAAGGCCAGCTCACCACAGGAGGACACAGTTGCTTTGAGAATTTCAGCTGTCGCTTTGTTCCTTAAGGAAAGGCGTTCCATATAGGACTTGAAAACAGCCACATCATCAAAGGATGGGTCAAAAGGATACTGAAACCAATGAGCACAGATCGCCGCCACAAAGAGAGGAGTTTTCTGTATCTTCTGCAAACTTTGGTTCTTTCCAAAGTAAACCATAAACTTTCGCAGACGAGTCATATTATGTGAAAAGAGCTTCCGTAATATACAGACAGTATTATAAAAGGGAAATGCTTTGATCTCTAGAATGGTCTCTAGGTATCGGCGGATGTCCCTGGCCCTGTTTGTACGGACAGCAATCAATAGGCAGGTCCGGGATAAGTGGTTTTTTTGAATCAGTTTTCCTATGACTTGAGGGATTGAACATATTTCTTTGTAGTCATCTAAAAGGAATAAGACCTGATTCTTTAACTGCTGGATAATGTTCCTCATGCACATTTCAGTAACAGATCCTTCTTTCTCTAGGAGCTGGTCACAGATGATACTGGCCAGCCCCTCGTCTGGT
Organism: Homo sapiens; assembly: GCF_000001405.40. Taxonomy (NCBI): domain Eukaryota; kingdom Metazoa; phylum Chordata; class Mammalia; order Primates; family Hominidae; genus Homo; species Homo sapiens. The sequence continues at coordinate 636,089 of NT_187651.1, forward strand.
CTGGTGGAACTAAGGGAGAGGTAGAAAACCAGCTGGAACCTGTTTAACAGGGGACAGCATCCAGATGCCCACAGAAAAGCTATTTTCTTCAGGAGGACCGTCTTTCCACTTCCAGCTTCACCCTCCACACACATGACAGAGTTCAAGTTGCCAAAGACCTCAGGCAGCACCAGAGGTTCTTGCACAGGTTTGCTGATGTGTTTTGAAGCAATAGACAGATCACAGCCCAGCAAGTGGTCCGTGGCCAGATCGGAAGAGATATCAAGCAAAGACGTGGCGGAAACTGGCGCTGGTATAAGCTGCTCTCAGCTGCTCATTCAGATTCTTTGCCTCTTGAAACCACTGGGCTTCACCCTGTGCCATTTCTGTGGAGAGAAAGAAAGGGGGGCACAACAGGGATTCATAGTCACATCTCCCTCAGTCTGAACGCCATGCCTTTTCATTCCATGATTCTGCCTGTCTACTACGAATGTGTTAGGATTTTCCACAGCCATCCATGATTCCCACATTGCGATCATCTCATAGGTTTTGGCACAAAATCGGAATGTGGGAAGCATGTGTCCAAAGTGCCACACTTGAAGCAGGGACCTAGACATAATGTGTGCTTATCATAAGCACCATGCATCTCAGGAAAGAGGCCAGGCAAAGTGACTCATGCCTGTAATCCCAGCACTGTGGGAGACCGAGGCAGGCGAATTGCTTGAGCCTAGGAGTTCAAGACCAGCCTGGCCAACATGGCAAAACCCTGTCTCTACAAAAAATACAAAAATTAGCCAGGTGTGGTGGCACATGCTTGTGGTCCCAGCTACTGGGGAGGCTGAGATGGGAGGATCACTTGAGCCTGGGAGGTCGACGCTGCGGTGAGCCATGATCTTGCCATTGCATTCCAGCCTGGGTGACAAAGTAAGACCCTGTCTCAAATAAAATAAAATAAAATAAAATGAATAAAAATAAAAATCTCAGGAAAGAAGTTTACTGATTGGTGCTTCTAAGGACTGGTTTGCTTGTACCTGAGACACGTTGCCTACTATCAGTTTGGTCCTGCCTGCACTCTGGAGAAGCCACAAGAATCTTGACTTTTGCTCATACACGACACTGTTGCAATGCTGCTCCTCTTTGGAAGCTCTTTGGACAATTATAAATACTCTTTTTTTTGCAACTGCCCTGTATACAAATATATTTACAAATACATATAATCCCACGTGCTACTTCAAAGTTCTTACCTGGCACTATAGGACCAACTGCTATTGAATCTTCAAGATTGCTTTCACTTGTGGTTTCCTTTGAAAAATAAAATCTTTTCTTAAATCAAAATTTGTATAGGAGAGTGGTGCATCATGTTGTAATCATTGGAGACTAAACATCTTCTAAACACAGCCCACCCTCAAATATTTATGCTGATTGAAGGGAGGGGTGCTCCAAATATAAAGCAATTAATAATCTGCAAACATCTGCAGGAATGTGTGTTCCTCAGTGGTTCATATATGATACAATCCATGGGTGATACTATCCAGGTAACGAGAATCATAGTGTCTTGAGCAAGAAGGTTCCTCCAAAAGTCATTAGGTGCAGCCTCTGTCCTTGGTTAACTACATTTTTAATATTACACATCCAGTACTTAGAAAGGTTATGTTTCTTCCTTAAAAAATAAGCTATTTCTATATCCCCAAACTTTTTTCTTTAGTGCCATTTTTCAATTCATATAGAAAATGAATCACGTGAATAGCAAGTTGGTTTTTGTGTGTGTTGGGGGTGGGGGGATGACAAACATAACATACCTAACACACAGCCTCAAAATAAGGTGGTATATGTGTGCATTAAATTAGTAGTGGCTTATATCCCAGAGAACTAGGTAGGATTTCTCAGCTTAAAGTGGTCAGCCTATTACCTGGGTTTATGATTTTGTTGGGCACTTGCTTTTGTTAAAGTAACATCTTCTCAACCCCTAAAAAGGCCAAGTAGCAAATCCAGCCTTATTGCCCTCCACATGAAGATCCAGAGAGGATCCATTTAGCCTGGATGCTAATCAACAAAGTCTAAGAGAGTCTGGGCCTTGAAGTAGAAGAGATTGACTATACATTTCATGAAGCTAGGTATTGTGCCCGACTGGTTTATTGTGATTTCCCCAATCTGTACCTAGAACATAACAGATGTTTAGTAGATGTTTGTAGAATTTATTAACTTATTTATGATGAGACATTCCTGTTCAAAACAGTTTTCAATTATATGATCATGTGCTGGTAAAACAGACAAGATGACGGTGTTCATTACCAGTAATTCACAAAGTTCACCACGGCTCTGAAGGTCTGGAGTCACTTCCGCAGAGGACTTCATATTTTGGAGAAATGGACAACTAAGTGTAAAAGTTAAAAGTTATAAAAATAGTTGTATGCATTTAAGTATTTGTGTTAGGTATTTTTGTTGTTGTTGTTGCTGTTGTTGTTTGTTTTGTTTTTTCAGAGACAGGGTCTCACTATGTTGCCCAGGCTGTTCTGGTTTCAAACTTCTGGCCTTGAGCAATTCTCCTCCCTAGGCATCCCAAAGTGCTGGGATGATAGGTGTGAGCCGCCAGGCCTGGCCTTGTATTAGGTTTTTAAAAACACTATTAGAGTTTTAGTGACAAGAATTAAGTATAAAACTATCATTTCCAGTGATTCTCTCTGTCAGTGTCATCAGGTAAGGCACTTAGGTTGTGGCTCTCTGCAAGAGAAATGTAAATGGTTTATAAAGTAACGGTAAAGGATATCAAGGGAATTTGGTGGAATGAGTGCGTATATGACACTCCTCCATGCAACCAACAAAAATGAACTTAAAGAATCAAAAATAGGAAAAAAAAAACCCTCTATTTATGAATTCTGGAACAAAAAACAACATAGTGGAAAAACTGGTGAAATCCAAATAAACTCTGGATTTTAGTAAATAGTAATGTACAGTATATGAATTGGTACACTGATGATTTTGACAAATATGCTAGTGTAAGATGTTAGCATTAGGGTAAATTGGGTATGGCAATATATAGGAACTCTTTGTATTACTTTGCACTTTCTGCAAATCTAAATAATTTCAAATAAAAATTTATTAAAAAAAGAAAAAAACTCTGTGAGTGCGGTGGTTCACACCCAAAATCCCAGCACTTTGGGAGGCCGAGGCGGGCAGATCACTTGAGGCCAGAAGTTTGAGACCAGCCTGGCCAACATGGCAAAACCCTGTCTCTATTAAAAAGAAAATTCCAAAATTAACCAGGCAGTGGTGGCGCACACCTGTAGTCCTAGCTACTTAGGAGGCTGGGGCACAAGAATCGCTTGAACCTGGGAGGCGGAGGTTGCAGTGAGCTGAGATTGTGCCACTGCACTCTAGTCTGGGCAATGGAGTGAGACTCTGTCTCAAAACAAAACAAAAAACAAACAAGGCCAGGCATGGTGGCTCACGCCTGTAATCCCAGCAGTTCGGGAGGCTGAGGCGGGTGGATCACTTGAGGTCAGGAGTTTGAGACCAACCTGACCAACATGGTGAAACCTCACCTCTACTAAAAATACAAAAATTAGCCGGGCGTTGTGGCGGACGCCTGTAATCCCAGCGACCTGGGAGGCTGAGGCAGGAGAATTGCTTGAACCCAAGAGGCAGAAGTTGAAGTAAGCCGAGATCGCACCATTGCACTCTAGCCTGGGCAACAGGAGTGAAACTCTGTCTCAAAAACAAACAAACAAACAAACAAAAAACTAACCAACCACAAACCACTCCATTGCCAGGTGCAATGGCTCATGCCTGTAATCCCAGCACTTTGGGAAGCCAAAGTAGGAGTTTCACTTGAGGTCAGAAGTTCAAGACCAGACCAACCTGTGCAACATAGAGAGACCTCCTCTAAAAATTAGCTAGCAGGGTGGCATGCATGTATAGTCCCAGCTACTTGGGGGTGCTGAGGCAAGAAGATCACTTGAGGCCAGGAGGTTGGGGCTACAGTGAGCCGTGATTGCATCACTGCACTCCAGCCTGGGTGACAGAGTAAGACCCTGTCTTAAACAAACAAAAAATTAAAAAAGAAACCCTCCGTCAGTATCAAAAGAAAAGAATGGCCACAAACATACTCTCTAAAAACTACTTGCCAATCTCGTGAAACTAGGACGCAAATACCCTCTAAACTCAGGTTTGATGTATGCTTGAAGAACAAGAGAGAAAGTTCAAAAAGAGCTCTAGTTGCAATTATTAAAATGGACAGATGAGAACTATACATGTGAGTAAGTCAGTGGCCTATTCCATGCTGTAGAATCACTGGAGAGCAGGAGTAAAGCAAAGGGACACTTTTTTTTTTTTTTTTTTTTTGAGACAAGGTCTCACTCTTTTGTCCAGGCTTGAGGGTAGTGACACGACCAAGGATCAATGTAGCCTCCAACTCCCAGGCTCAAGTGATCCTCCCACCTCAGCCTCCCAAGTAACTGGGACTACAGGCACGTGCCACCATGCCAGGCTAATTTTTTTTTTTTCTGGGCTCAAGGTATCCTCCCACCTCAGTTTCCCAAAGTGCTGGGATTACAGGCGTGAGCCACTGCATGTGGCCCAGATACTTCATTTGTATTGCCTTCAGGTGACTTGGCGATGAGTCCAGAAATAGAAGCATAGCTTCAGGAAAACAACAAGTAGAACTTTTAACGTTTCTGTCCAAAGTCAGCCATGTAGAGGTAAATAAAAACAAACCCATAGGGAAGGGGTGAAGTGGCTTACAAAAGAAAAAAAATATTTTAATAGGCCCATCAAGGAAAAGAACTATGAAGGAAGGTAAAATATAAACTTATTCATACAAACAAATGCCAAATAAAGTCAGTTGCCAGCATAACTGCACTACAAAAAATGTGAAAGGGACCAGGCACAGTGGTTCACCCCTGTAATCCCAGCACTTTGGGAGGCTGAGGCAGGCAGATCATGAGGTCAGGAGTTCAAGACCAGCCTGGCCAACATGGTGAAACTCTATCTCTACTAAAAATACAAAAATTAGCCTGGCATGGTGGTGGGCACCTGTAATCCTAGCTACTCAGGAGGTTGAGGCAGGAGAATCACTTGAACCCGGGAGGCAGAGGTTGCAGTCAGCCGAGATCGTGGCGCTGAACTCCAGCCTAGGAGACAGAGCAAGACTCCATCTCAAAAAAAAAAAAAAAAAAAAAAAGTGAAAGGAAGCACATCATTTAAAAGGAAAATGATAGCAGATGGAAATTTGGTTCTACTCAAAGGAATGAAAAGTACCAGGAATGATAAGATAACTAAGAGGGCAAATATGAAAGACTTTTGCCGTTGTAAAAATGTACTTAAATTGTTTAAAGCAAAGATATAACATTATATTGTAAGATTTATTAAAGTACATGGAAATAAAATGTATGACAATAGCACAAAGGATGAGAGGGGAGAAATGGAAATATACTATTGTATGGTTCATACATTTTATGTCAAGTGTTATATATTTTTTTGACCCAGAGTCTCACTGTGTCACCCAGGCTGGAGTGCAGTGGCACGATCTCAGCTTTCTGCAGCGTCTGCTTCCTGGGTTCAAGCAATTCTCGTGCCTCAGCCTCCCAAGCAGCTGGGATTACAGGTGTGCGCCACCACACCCAGCTAATTTTTTTGTATTTTTAGTAGAGACGGGGTTTCACCATGTTGCCCAGGTTGCTCTGGAACTCTTGACCTCAAGTGATCTGCCTGCCTCAGCCTCCCAAATTACCGGGATTACAGGCATGAGCCACTGCACCCAGCTGTTATAATATTTTTGAAGATTACTATGATATGTTAAATAGGCATATGGTAAACTCTAGAGCAAGTAGTAAAAAGGTAAAATAAGGATTAATAGCTAATAAGCTGACAGAAATAAAATGGAGTACAAAAAAAAATACTCAAGGAGGGGGTAGAAAAAAGAAAAAAAAAAAAACCCTAAACCCTAGGAAGTCAGGAAAAGAAAAAGAAACAAAGAAGTGATGAAATAAATAGAAAGCAAATGGTAAAATAGGTTTAAATCCAACCATATTCATAATTGCATTAAATTTAAACGTTCTAAACATTCCAATTAGAAAGCAGTTATTGTCAGACTCTTAAAAAGCAAGACCTGGCCAGGCGTGGTGGCTTACGCCTGTAATCCCAGCACTTTGGGAGGCCAAGGCAGGTGGATCATGAGGTCAGGAGATCGAGACCATCCTGGCTAACACGGTGAAACCCCGTCTCTACTAAAAATACAAAAAATTAGCCAGGTGTGGTGGCGGGGTGCCTGTAGTCCCAGCTACTCGCGAGGCTGAGGCAGGAGAATGGTGTGAACCCAGGAGGCGGAGCTTGCAGTGAGCCAAGATCGTGCCACTGCACTCCAGCCTGGGCGACAGAGCAAGACTCCGTCTCAAAAAAAAAAAAAAAGAGAAAACCTGGCTGGATGTGGTGGCTCACACCTCCATCTCAAAAAAAAAGCAAGACCTGCTGGGTTCAGTGGTCCACACCTGTAATCCCAGCACTCTGGGAAGACAAGGCAGGAGAATTGCTTGTGGCTAGGTGTTCGAGATCAGACTGGGCAACATAGTGAGACCTTGTCTCTATAAAAAACTAACAAACTTAGCCAGGCTTGGTGGCATGTGCCTGTAGTCCCAGCTACTCAGGAGTCTGAGGTGGGAGGATTGCTTGAGCCTGGGAAGTCCAGGCTGCAGTGAGTCAAGACTGCACCACTGCACTCCAGCGTAGGCAACAGAGCGAGTCTGTCTCATAAACAAATAAAAAATAAAATAAAAGACCCCACTGTGTTGTTGCCTATAACAATTCACTTTAAGGCTGGGTGCAGTGGCTCATGCCTGTAATCTCAACACTTAGGGTGGCAGAGGTGGGAGGACAGCTTGAGCCCAGGAGTTTGAGATCTGCCTGGGCAACATAGTGAGACCCCGTTACCCACAAAAAGGAAAAGGAAAAAACAAGAATTGACTTTAAATATAGTCACAGATAGATTAAAAAGAAAATAATCTAAAAGATGTAACATGAAAAAACTAATAAAGGCCTAAAAAATACTATCAAGGATAAAGAGGGATATTTCTGTTTTTTAGAGACAAAGTTTTACTCTGTCACCCAGGCCACAGTACAGTGGCACAATCATAGCTCATTGCAACCTATACTCCTGAGCTCAAGCGATTCTCCTGCCTCTGCCTCCCAGGTAGCTGGGACTACAGATGCATGCTACCACACCCTGTTTGTTTTAAAAATTTTTTGTAGAAATGGAGTCTAGCTATGTTGCAAAGGCTAGTCTCAAACTCCTCGCCTTGTGCACTCCTCCCACCTCAGCCTCCCAAAGTGCTGGGATTATAGGTGTGAACCACCATGCCTGCTTGGGATATTTAATATATTCTCTGGAATATGAAAGACCAAAGGGCAAAAAAATAGCTAAGACACACTCTTGAAGAGAAAGAACAAGACTATTCTGCAGGAAAATATGAAAATAAGCTCAACTGCCAGGCGCGGTGGCTCACACCTGTAATCCCAGCACTTTGGGAGGCTGAGGTGGGTGGATCACCTGAGGTTGGGAGTCCGAGACCAGCCTGACCAACATGGAGAAACCCCATCTCTACTAAAAATACAAAATTAGCTGGGCGTGGTGGCACATGCCTGTAATCCCAGCTACTCGGGAGGCTGAGGCAGGAGAATCACTTGAACCTGGGAGGCGGAGGTTGTGGTGAGCCGAGATCGTGCCATTGCACTCCAGCCTGGGCAACAAGAGTGAAACTCCCGTCTCAAAAAAAAAAAAAGAAAGAAAAAAAGAAGAAGAAAATAAGCTTAACATTATTAGTAATTACACTGACAAAAATTAAAATTTGGGCAATACCAAGTTAGTGAGGAAGCAAATCAATAGAAACGCATCTAGGCCAATGGGAATGTAAATCAGTGCAACCACTTGGGAAAAAGCTTTGCATTATCTAGTGGAGTTGAACACCCGCAAAGTTCTATGACTCTGCAATTCTTTACTTTGTTATGTATCCTAGAGAAACACACATGAGCACTGGAAAATATGTACAAGAATGTTCATAGGGCATTATTTGAATTTGCAACACTCTGAAAACGACCCACGAGGTTAATCAACAGTAAAATAAGTTATTATATATTCATAAAATAATACACTATTTACCAATGAAAACAAGTGAACTACAACTGTGTAGTACATATAAATATGGATGAATCTCAAAAACATCGTGGAGTAAAACCAGCCAATTACAAGAAGAATCATGCAGTATGCTTCTTATTTGAACTTCAAGAATAGACAAAGCTAAATATGTTTAAGGATGTATATGTAGTTGGTAAAACCACAAAGAGAAGCAAGGGAATAATTAACCCAAACTGAGCATCACATTTACCTCTGGATTGGAGGGACAGGGATATAATCAGAATTAGGGGGTGGTTGGCATGCAGAGTTGTTTTTTGTTTTTTGATTTTTTTTTTTTGAGACAGAGTCACGCTCTGTCGCCCAGGAGTGCAATGGCGCCATCTTGGCTCACTGCAACTTCCGCCTCCCAGGTTCAAGCCATTCTCCTGCCTCAGCCTCCCTAATAGCTGGGACTACAGGCGTGTGTCACCAGGCCCGGTTAAATTTTTCTGTTTTTTAACAGAGATGGGGTTTCACCATGTTGCCCAGGCTGGTCTCGAACTCTTGAGCTCAGACAATCTGCCCACATCGGCCTCCCAAAGTGCTGAGATTACAGGCGTGAGTCACTGCACCCGGCCGCAGGGGTCTTTTAAGGCATTGATAATGTCCAATTTCTTGACTTTACTAGGAGGTTCATAGGTTGCTTTTTATTCATTCTTTAAAGCATACATAAAAATTTTAGGTAATCATTTGGAGACATACTGGTTTGCAGTTTTTTTAAGAGGCAAAGGAAGAGTAAAAATCCAAAAAGGAGTTGGCTGGGAGCAGTGGCTCATGCCTGTAATCCAAGTACTTTGGGAGGCTGAAGCAGAAGGATCATTTGGAGCCAGGAGTTTGAGACCAGCCTGGGCAACAAAGCAAGACCCCATCTCTACAAAAAAAAACTTTAAAAAATTAGTCGGGCATGGTGACACATGCTTGTAGTCCTAGCTACTTGGGAGGCTGAGGTGGGAGGATCACTTGAGCCCAGGAATTTGAGGCTACAGTCAGCTAGGATTGTACCACTGCACTTGCTCCAGCCTGGGTGACAGAGCCGAGACCCAGTCTCTTAACAAAAAAACACTAAAGGCCAGGTGTGGCGGCTCACACCTGTAATCCCAGCACTTTGGGAGGCTGAGGCAGGAGGATCACTTGAGGTCAGGAGTTCAAGACCAGCCTGGCCAACATGGTGAAACCCCGTCTCTACTAAAAGTACAAAAAATTAGCCAGGCATGGTGGGGAGGTACCTGTAATCCCAGCTACTTGGGAGGCTGAGGCAGGAGAATCGCTTGAACCCGGGAGGCGGAGGTTGCAGTGAGCCGAGATCACGCCACTGCACTCCAGCCTGGGTGACAGAGTGAGACTCCATCTCAAAAACAACAACAACAAAACACTAAAACTAATAATAATAATAATAGTATAAAAGGGAGTTGATCGATTCCAGAGTAAGTTCTAAATAAGACTAGACTGCATCCTAGCTTATCCTTCCAAGAATTAAGTAGAATGTCCCCATTGTTCTCAATAATTTATTATACACTAAGCCCAAATAAGAAAGAAAAATGAGGTAACTACTGCTATCAAAATACCTTCAAGGCAATAAAATTAGATAGAAGTATTCATTTTGTTTTATTTTTGTTTTTACCACTATACAAATGAGCAGGAAGCATTCATTTTAAAATCTGTATGTGTTCATATTCATTTCTAAAAAAAAAACTCTTACTAATTACATAGTGAAAACACAAATTTCTTCTTGCAATTAAACATTTCTAAAGAGTTTGATGGGTAAAAAAAAATTAAGTTTAAAGATTCATAGAAAAGAAATATTTCTTCATAAAATTTTAGAACAGATATTTTTCTGAAAGCTTCCAGCACAGGAAAAAAAAAAATTTTGTTTGCAGTAAAAGGATTGACAAGCAGAAAGGCATGGAACTTCTCGACAGCACATTAGGAACCAGTAGAAATGTAGCAGTGCCTCTACAATTTAGAATTAAAATGACTTCCAACCTATAATTCTACACCTAGCTAAACTATCAAATAAGTGTGAGAATACAGGAAAAACATATATCTAGATAGATCTATATGTCTGTATATGCATTATATGCAACTAAAAGTGTGTATTTCTTATGCAGTCTTTCCCAGGGAACTCCGATGAAGTGTTCCAACAAAATGAGCGAGTGAACCAAGAAGAGGATGACATTAGATCCAGGAGATACAACAGAGGAGATAATCTCCAGGATGCCTGTGAAGAAAGATCCCTGGATCCCAGGATGATTATAGGACAAGTTGTTCATAATCCAGCAGGCCAGAAGACTTCCAGGGAAACTCATTTCAAGATGAAAATGGACCAGCCGCAGTGGCTCACGCCTGTAATACCAGCACTTTGGGAGGCTGAGGCAGGCGGATCACTTGAGGTCAGGAGTTTGAAACTAGCCTGGCCAACGTGGCAAAACTCCATCTCTATTAAAAATACAAAAATTAGCCAGGCATAGTGGTGCATGCCTGTAGTCCCAGCTACTTGGGATGCTGAGGCAGGAAGAATTGCTTGAACCTGGGAGGCAGAGTCTGCAGTGAGCCGAGATCATGCCACTGCACTCCAGCCTGGGTGACAGAGCCAGACTCCGTCTCAAAAAAAAAAAGAAAAAGAAAAAAAAAATGATGACTCTTTCAAGAAATGAAAATGATGAGATATCTGGTAGGTCTGAATGACTTAAGAGGAGATTTAAACATTTGGGATAAGTTGAAGATGAGCTGGTGTTCGTCTTCATTTATTTCATTTAAATAAATAAAATTATTAATACATGAATTTTATCTCAAGAAACAAAAATAAGCAATGTACATAAAAATTAAGCAGATGGCTGGCCGGGCGCGGTGGCTCACGCCTGTAATCAGAGCACTTTGGGAGGCTGAGGCGGGTGGATCACAAGGTCAGGAGATGGAGACCATCCTGGCTAACACGGTGAAACCCCGTCTCTACTAAAAAAATAAATAAAAAATAAATTAGCCGGGCGTGATGGCAGGTGCCTGTAGTCCCAGCTACTCGGGAGGCTGAGGCAGGAGAATGGCATGAACCCAGGAGGCGGAGGTTGCAGTGAGTGAGATCACGCCATTGCACTCCAGCCTGGGCGACAAAGTGAGACTCCATCTCAAAAAAAAAAAAAAAAAAAAAAAAAAAAATTAAGCAGATGGCTATAATTTTTTTAAAAATAGAAAAGTGTTGATGAGAAATGGGAAACCTCATACATTGTTGGTCAAACTGTATGCTTCCATTTAGAGGAAATAGTCAGAACAAATAAATCCATAGACACCAATTAGGTTGGTGTATCCCAGGGGCTGGGCATGGAGTGGGGTGGAGAGAGAAGGAGGGCCTGCTTAGTGGATACAGAGTTTTCTTTGGGGGCGATGAAAGTGTTTTGGAACTAGATAGAGGGGGTGGTTGCACAACATTGTTGTTGGTGGGAATTTAAAATGGTGCAAGCACTGTGGAAAAAACAGTTTAGCATTTCCTCAAAAAGTTAAAACAGGCCAGGCGCTGTGGCTCACGCTTGTAATTCCAGCACTTTGGGAGGCCAAGCCAGGTGGATCACTTGAGGTCAGGAGTTTGAGACCAGCCTAGCCAACATGGTGAAACCCTAAAAATACAAAAAATTAGCCGGGCATGGTGGCAGACACCTGTAATCCCAGCTACTCAGGAGACTGAGGCAGGAAAATTGCTTGAACCTGGGAGGCGGAGGTTGCAGTGAGCTGAGATCGCACCGCTGCACTCCAGCCTGAGCGACAGAGTGAGACTCTGTGTGAGAAAAAAAAAAAAAAAGTAAAAACATAGAATTACTATACAGCTAGCAATATCGTTGTTAGGTATATGCCCCAGAGACTTGAATACAGTTACATGCTCCATCAGATACCTGTACCCAAATGTTCCTATCGGTATTACTCATGGTAGCCAAAAGGTAGAAACAACCCAAATATCTACAAATAGATGAATGGATAAATAAAATGCAGTGTATCCATATGGAATATTACTTGGTCTCAAAAGGAAGGAAGTACTTATGCAAGCTACAACATGGATAAACTTCAAAACAATATGCCAAGTGAAAGAATCCAAATGCAAAAGGTCAAACGGTATGCTTCCATTTAGAGGAAATAGTCAGAACAAATAAATCCATAGACACCAATTAGGTTGGTGTATCCCAGGGGCTGGGCATGGAGTGGGGTGGAGAGAGGAGGGGGGCCTGCTTGATGGATACAGAGTTTTCTTTGGGGGCGATGAAAGTGTTTTGGAACTAGATAGAGGGGGTGGTTGCACAACATTGTGAATGTACTATAATAAATGCCACAGAATTGTGTACTCTAAAATGGTTTAATTGCTGTGCATGGTGGCTCACGCCTATAATCCCAGCACTTTGGGAAGCCAGGATGGGAAGACTGCTTGAGCCTAGAAGTCTGAGAGCAGCCTGGGCAACATAGAGAGACCCTGTCTCTTAAAAAAAAAAAAAAAAAATTAGCTGGGTGTGAAGACATGTGCCTGTAGTCCCAGCTACTTGGGAGGCTGAGCGAGGAAGATTGCTTGAGCCAGAGAGGTCAAGGCTGCAGTGAGCCATGATTGCACCACTGCACTCCAACCTGGGCAAGAGAGAGAACCTGTCACAAAAAATAATAAATAAATAAATAAAATGGTTACTACCTGAATTTTACCTCAGGAAAAAAAAATAAGCTAACATACCAACAGGACAGTTATTACTTCCTAAAAAAATAAAAGGATATACAGGAAGGGAAAAATAAATAAAAATTTACCACAAGCTTCAGCTCCACATAGCATTTGTATAGTCATGATAATGTAAACATGTAATGTGAATATATGAATCTAGCCAAAACTATGCCATAACTATAAAGAGGGGAAGGCTAGTACAGGAAGGGGGTCATGGAGCAAAGGGATGAAAGACATGAAGACTCATCCTTCATAGCCTGAATCCGAGGAGTGGATAAAGACTCAATCTAAAGATAAAATAAGGCAGGAAATGAGGAAAAAGAAAAAAACTGTTGAAGTGCATCCAAAGTTGCAGATGGTTAACATTCATTCCACTCACTTGGGAAAACATCTGGTGTGATCGTCTAATGGGTCATCACCTTCCTGCCATTTCTCTAAACACCCTCCACAGGAAAAGCACTGGACGATGTCCTTTATACCTAAAAGTAAGGAAACTTGATCAGTGCCACTGGCATGGGCATCTGTCCATTAACATGCAGATAATAACCACCAGACCTGTAATAGTGAAAGCCTATTCAGTCTCCAGTTGGGTTTTGTGACAGTCAGAAGTTGGTTACCAGTGAGGCAATTTTCTATATAAGACTCTGTCCACCAATGGGGTAACTGGCAAGTAGTCATTGAATGCTCCTACACACCATGCACTTTGATGCACACCATCCCTCTGCCCCATTCTCCTTTGATCAACAAACAGATTGGCAACCAGAATCTGGAATTGAAGCTCCATGAGGGGGCTGGGCGCAGTGGCTCATGCCTGTAATCCCAGCACTTTGGGAGGCCAAGGCCAGCGGATCTCCTGAGGTCAGGAGTCTGAGACCAGCCTGGCCAACACGGTGAAACCCTGTCTCTACTAAAAATACAAAAATTAGCTGGGCATGGTGGCACATGCCTGTAATGCCAGCTACTCAGGAGGCTGAGGCACAAGAATCGCTTGAACCCAGGAGACGGAGGTTGCAGTGAACCAAGATAACGCCATTGCACTCCAGCCTGGGCAACAAGAGTGAAACTCTGTCTCAAAAAATAAAAATAAAAATAAGCTCTATGAGGGTAGAGGTTTTTGCTCACTAATGAATGACATGAACCTAGAAAAGTGCTTGACACTCATGTGGCACTCAATTAGTATTCGTTTAATGAATGAATCAGAAAGAATATATTTAGAGCTCACGGAAAAAAAAATACCAGCAAATCTAGCAGCCCTTATGTAAGTGAATGCATGAAGAATTAATTGCCTCTTACCACATTATTGCCATGTTTATTACACCAGAAATAGGATTAAGTCTCTTTGTGAAATTATATTTCTTTGGAAAGAAATTGGTATTTAGCTCTGCAAAAGGATCAAACTAGAAACAGAGCATTTCTCATCTTCCTTCCACTCTGGGAAAGCTGGGGCAGAGGAAAGCCTCCCAGAAATATGAGATCCTAGAGCTTGCAAGATCTGAAAACAGTCAGAGATGATTAGGATTTGTGTGGAGTGGTGGAGGATTGGAAAGGAAGAGGGGGAGCACACTGGTCAGAGGGGTCTTGCGGAAGGCTGACAAGAGGAAGACACAGTAGAGTAGGGAGAAATGGCAAACACTCTTTCCAAAGGCTTAAGATTGTGAGGCAGTCAGATTTTTTTTTTCCAATGGCACATGTCTGTTAGGTAGAGTGACAACTATATTCTGCTTCTCTGTGTTGCTCTATGGTATTTGTGACAACTACTTGATCTCTCAGTTAAAGATCTGCATTAACCTCCACTGTAACTTATGCATGTGTTCGGTTTGAGCAAGACCAGCAAGGTACCTAGGAACCTTTCCCTGATCATCTTGTATTTCAGGCAGAGATTTAGCTGACAGGAACCAGCCCATCATTTATAGATTGCAGAGGTGCTTCCTAATGACCAGCAGCTAAAGAGAAAATGCCACAATCTGGTGGAAGGCTCTACGTGTTTAGGAATCATGAAAATTAATTTCCTGATTTTCTCCTGCAGGCAGAATGTGGCAAAGATTGCTATCCATGTTCCTATTATCTCAAATCCTTCCATACTAATAGAAATCCCAATATTTAGCTGGGCACATTGTCACCCAGGAAAAAGATTAGGTTTCCCAGCTCCTCTTACAGCTAGGTATGGTCATCTGACTAATAATAATAATAATAATTATTATTATTATTATTATTATTTTTGAGACAGAGTTTCACTCTTGTTGCCCAGGCTGGAGTGCAATAGCATGATCTTGACTCCCCGCAACCTCCACGTCCCAGGTTCAAGCGATTCTCCTGCCTCAGCCTCCCAAGTAGCTGGGATTACAGGCACCCGCCACCATGCCTGGCTAATTCTTTGTATTTTTAGTAGAGACAGAGTTTCACCATATTGGCCAGGCTGGTCTCAAACTCCTGACCTCAGGTGATCCACCCACCTCGGCCTCCCAAAGTGCTGGGATTACAGGCGTGAGCCACCATGCCCGGCCCATCCAACTAAGTTCTGATTAAAGAAATATAAGCAGAAGTGTCCTGTGACAGTTTCTAGGAGCACTTTGTCAGGGGACAAGAGGTGAGGAGAGTAATGTGTAGAAAGAAAAGACATGATAATTATCACAAATAGAATATTTGTATTCATTGTTAGTCCAGACCTTAAGGTTTCAAATTTGAAGGTTTACCACCTAAGGGAGGAATAGAAAACTGGGAGAGGATTTATGATGCAGGAAAGAAAAGAGATGTATGCCAGGTGCAGTGGCTCACACCTGTAATCCCAGCATTTTGGGAGGCCAAGGCAGGAGGATTACTTGAGCCCAGGAGGTTGAGGCTGCAGTGAGCCATGATCTCGCCACTGCCCTCCAGCCTGGATGACCATGTCTCAAAAAAAATAGAAAGAAAAGAAAACGAATCTATAAGAAATGCTGAAGAGAGGCCTGGCGCGATGGCTCACACCTGTAATCCCAGCATTTGGGAGGCCAAGGCGGGCAGATCACGAGATCAGGAGATCAAGAGCATTCTGACTAGCATGGTGAAACCCTGTCTCTACTAAAAATACAAAAAAGTAGCTGGGCGTGGTGGCAGGCGCCTGTGGTTCCAGCTACTCCAGAGGCTGAGGAAGGAGAATCTCTTGAACCCGGGAGGTGGAGGTTGCAGTGAGCCAAGATCTGCATTCCAGCCTGGGCAACTCTGTCTCCAAGGGGGAAAAAAAAAGAAAAGAAAAAGAAACGCTGAAGCTAGTGGACATTGCTGAGTGTAGCTAAACGTAAGCCCAGGAGCATAAAGTCTATGTGGGAATTAAAGGTCAAGCAAGCAAGTGGGCACAACCTACTGACTCACCTGTGTAGAAAAGACCTGCTTTGGCCAGTGCTGCAACTCCCACAGCTGATTCCCGGGGCCAGTCCTTAAAAGAGTCCAGCCGTAGTTCTTCGTAAGCAAAGATGCTGTCATTGCAATAAGCTTGAATAAAAAGCACAAGGTGAGACCAGCAGGCTTTAGTCTTTTTTTTTTCTATATCTTTATTGCTGCTGCACAAATTAAAGAGACCAGTAGGCTTTGATATTGCAAGTATCAGCGTTCAAGTTGTCCCTTCACAGTTACAGATGGAATGATGTCTAGAGTTTGCTTCAAAATAAACGGGGCGGGGCGGGGGGGACGACAAAAAGAGATAGGGACAAAAAATCAAAAGAAGAAATAAACAAGCAAAGCCTTTGGAAAATGTTTGAGTTTTTACCTGATGCCATAGGTAATTCTCTCTGGACCCAGGAATTCACAAAATGTTCTCCCTGAGGGAAATTAAAATTCAAGTTGTTGATTATCTGACTTTTTTTTTTTTTTTTTTTTTTGAGGCAGAGTCTCACTCTGTTGCCCAGGCTGAAGTGCAGTGGCAGGTTCTCGTCTCACTGCAACCTCCGCCTCCTGGGTTCAAGTGATTCTCCTGCCTCAGCCTCCCGAGCAGTACAGGCATGTGCCACCACACCCGGCTAATTTTTTTTTTTTTTTTTGTATTTTTAGTAGAGACAGACACGATGTTGGAGGTCTTTTTTTTTTTTTTTTTTTTTTTTTGAGACAGAGTCTCGCTCTGTCGTCCAGGCTGGAGCACAGTGGCACGACCTTGGCTCACTACAAGCTCCGCCTCCCAGGTTCACGCCATTCTCCTGCCTCAGCCTCCCGAGTAGCTGGGACCACAGGCGCCTGCCACCATGCCGGGCTAATTTTTTTTTTTTTTGTATTTTTAGTAGAGATGGGGTTTCACCATGTTAGCCAGGATGGTCTCTATCTCCTGACCTCATCATCCGTCCGTCTCGGCCTCCCAAAGTGCTGGGATTACAGACGTGAGCCACTGCACCCGGCCCATGTTGGAGGTCTTGAGGCTGGTCTCGAACACCTGATCTCAAGTGATCTGCCCAGCTCGGCCTCCCAAAGGGCTGGGATTACAGGCATGAGCTACTGCGCCCAGCCTGATTGTTTGACTTATGAAGTATATACCTATCTATGAACAAGAACTGAAGGAACTTTACCCCAGAATGAAGAGTTTCACTGGATGGAACGGCAGAGTCGGAGGAGAATTATTCCTTTAATTTTTATTTCTGTTGATGTTGCAATTGTTTTTATGCAGTGCAAGCAAACATACACACACACACACACACACACACACACACACACACGCATGCAAGCTGTGAATGTTTATGCATACTCAGGAGGAAGCCTTCTCAGGGTCACTGTTTCCGGAAACTGACCTTGAAAACAGACCTGCATTTAAATATCACAGATGTACTTTGACGAATGAGGAAGTAAGAGACATAGAATGGTAACTAAATTCATCAGGGTATTATATATTGAGCAACTGATTCTTCTGGGAAAGCTGCACCCAGTTTCTTTTTGAGGAAACACCTCTCTTCCCCCACTGTCAGGCCATGTTCTCTATAGAGTTCTGGTCTCCTGAGTCATGTTAATCAATAAATTCTCATTTTTGTTTAAGCCAGTTTGGATTCGATTTCCCATCACTCTCCACTAGGAAATTTTTACTGATTCAGGATAGTTAGCCAGCTAGGAAGAGCCAGCTCTGCAGCCCACTGTGGGTGACAGCGCCTAGGTCAGGAGATCTTAGCAAGCCTGCAGATAGGGGCAGCAGAGGGAAGCTGGGGCAAGTGGCTTCATTCATAAAGGGGAAGACTATCAGGAAGGCAAGCAGAGCCCGTCAGAAGCCAGCCCTGGAAAAAGAAAAAGGCTCTAGGTCAGCAAGTGAATGTGATATTTTTCACTTTGAAGATGGGAGCCAGGGGAATGAAAGGAGAAAGGAAGAAAGAAATCAAACCCATGACATAAAAAGAATGCCTATGCCCTTCTGAGTCAGACACTTACAGGTAATCCAAAAACTTGAGAAAAAAATTGCTGTTATACATTACCGTTATGTCAACAAATCCCTTGTAGCTTTGAATATACTGGGTAATTTCCTCTGAGGATTTCTTACTCCGAAGAAATTCACATCTGTAATTAATAAATATAATTAAAATTTACCCCAGTACTGTGATAGAGCTGTCCTATATCACAATGAACATTTATAAAGACGTATTGAATTGTTGAATTTTATTATACTTCAATAAAATTGCCAAAAAATTTACCACAAAACTTAGGAGAATTACCATTATTCTCATATAATTATTTGTTATTTCTATTAGTGACAACATGTGTAGTTATTTAAAATTAAATCTTCAGGTTAACTTTTTTCTTGAAATAAAACATGCAATACAATCAAAGAGACTGATTTACAGTAAATATAGGATGGAGCTTTTGTTTTTTGGAATTAAGCAGTGGTGACTAAATCTAGTCGCTAGGGTTATATGAAAGCTACTGGCAGTAAAGAGAACTATATTTAAAATAATAGGCCAGACGCAGTGGCTCACATCCAGGAGTTCAAGACTAGCCTGGGCAACATGGCAAAACCCCATCTCCACAAAAAATACAAAAATTAGCCGGGCATGGTGCCACACCTCTGTAGTCCCAGCTACTCAGGAGGCTGAAGGGGGAGGATCACCTGAGCCCGGGGAGGTAGAGGCTGCACTGAGCCATGATCAGGCTGCTACACTCCAGCCTGGGCAACAGACTGAGACCCAGTCTCAAAAGTAAATACAAAAAATCTTTTTAAGATAACAATATATTTATCTACTGAACAAAAAATTACCATGCATTAAAAAGTAATGGCTATTAGGCCAGGCGTGATGGCTCACGCCTGGAATCCCAGCACTTTGGGAGGCCGAGACAGGTGGATCACGAGGTCAGGAGTTCGAGACCAGCCTGGCCAAGATGGTGAAACCCTGTCTCTACTAAAAGTACAAAAATTAGCTGGGTGTGGTGGCAGGCGCCTGTAATCCCAGCTACTTGGGAGGCTGAGGCAGGAGAATCGCTTGAACCTGGGAGGTGGAGGTTGCAGTGAGCTGAAATCATGCCACTGCACTCTAGCCTGGGCAACAGAGCAAGACTCAATCTCAAAAAAAACCAAAAACAAAAAAAGTAACGGATGTTAATGGATAATTTTTGATTTTTTTAAAAAAGAGCACACTGAATACCATTTAAAAACATATTCCTTTCCCATAAAAGAGAAGCAGTTTTAAAATTAACTTTTAAAATTTCCTCCAATTCAGCTGGGCATGGGGGATCATGCCTGTAATCCCAGCACTTTTGGAGGTTGAGGCGGGTGGATCACTTGAGGCCTGGAGTTTGAGACCAGCCTGGTCAACATGGTGAAACCCTGTCTCCATCAAAACTACAAAAATTAGCCTGGCATGGTGGCATGCGCCTTGTAGTTCCAGCTGCTCTGGAGGCTGAGGCAGGAGAATTGCTTGAACCCGAGAGGTGGAGGTTGCAGTGAGCCGAGATCACGCCACTGCACTCCAGCCTAGGCAACGAGAGCGATACTTCGACTCAAAAAAAGAGAAGTTATCTCTAGGTAAGATCATGATGGAAATTTTCATCTTACTTTATACCTTTCACTGTTGAAATTATTTTACAGTTGAAGTAAAGGAAATTTTACAATATCCAACAAGAGCCGATGTCATTTATTTAATATCAAAATTAATATTGGAAAAATGTCTATACTTTAGGCTACCACCCATCTGCCTGAATTAATCAGCATTAATACTTAATTTTAAATATTACCTGTCAACGCAGGTCACTGAATGTGATCTCCTTTAAGGTATTATCATGTAATAAACTGCTACAAAAAGTCTAATTCTCTCAAGAGTTTTATAGTCATCCACTTCATTTTCAGGTCAACATTTTAACATATTTTCCCATATTTTTTTCTGAAGCTTTAATCTCTGCAAAGCCCATCTTTAAATTTGAAGGAAAAGGTAGAAGAGTGAGGAGCAGCAGTAATTAACTTGAATTTGGAACTTGGATATAACTAAAGACACATTTTGCTTCTTCATTTTTATGTCAGTTTGCAAAGGAAACAGTTATGATTTTAGCTAAATACAGAAATTTTTTTCTTTTTTCTTTTTAAAATTCTACTTGTATCACATTTCAAAACCTACTCTGAATTTTCACTCAGTTCCCACAATATTACCATAATTCTTTGAGCTGTTGGCAAAATGGATCCATTTTATAAAGTCATGCCTTTTGCATTGAGCTTTTGCCTGTCTCATATATTTAGATAAATTTGAAAGCAAAAGGAATATCCACTGTGTTGAATATCTTTAATAGCATGGTTGAAATTTATAATTTGAAATTCGTAAGTTCAAAGAACATTTATCTACTGCTTGATTTTATGCTTGAAACTTCCTATGCTTCACAGCAGTTTTTTTTTAATAGGTGGACAAAAATCCTTCCTCCTATCATTCATAACAATTTTCTTTATACTTAAGTAAAATATACAGAAACTTTTAAAGGAACGCCAAAATCTTGTTCCCTCTTATTGTTGCCACATTATTTTTATTATATTACCCAACCAGGTTTTTATGGTTATGCTTATACTCTCATACAAAACAGTTTTAGAACAAATATTGAAGGAAATGCAGGGTCACAAAATGAATAAGTTTACCTTAATAACATTAATATGAACAATGATATTATTTTATTGAACTTAAAGCACGCTCTTGAGCTTAAGAGCAAAGATGTAGCCACAGTTGAACTTGTATTTATTTGGGCTATATTTGTGCTTTTAATTACTCATACTAATACACAGGAAGCTTATTTGCAACAGGATATTTATATAATTTAAAATATTTTCAGAGTTTTTGTGTGTGTTGAAATGTTAGGAAAACAGAACTCATTCTTAAGCAATGATTTGCAAAGAGCAGTGCTCATATGCAGATTTTTAAGGCATAGCCCAAATGGTTAGAAATGCTGCAAAAGTTTAATTTTCTTTTGGGTGATCTGTTGTCTGGAAAAAGCTGTTACATGTAAAAATTTGGATGCTGAAATCAAATGGCTATACCCAAATGAGCAAGAATAGTTTAAAACATTTAAATCAGCATCTGCATAAAAATTAATATAAATATTATTTATGACTGTTATGTATATATAATTATATTATGTATAAGAATATATTTATACAAATATATACTACTAGAAAATTGTATATGATGCACTATTTTATTTTATGTAATATTTTATGTATATATTTATTTACACATAATTTATATACTTTTAAGACTGTGTCCATTTTTCATTTATTCTTGGTCTCCGGTTTGAACAACGCTGCTTTATGGCATTACACTGATAATTCTCTCTACTCTTTAGTTCTCTTCCTTATCGCTTATTCATGTGTATCTTATTCCATGCTATAATGTAATGTACCATACATGTGTTGAATTTTAAAAAAAAATTAGCAGAATTTCAATGCTTTCCTATATTACTCAACATAAATATTCTCTATATAGAATGAATTGGAACAAGCTATTTGTGAATCTGAAAGGATAATCAGTGATTCTACCAATCATAGTGGTAAACTCATTCAAACTCAGCCTGTTAAAATGAGACGCTCTGCCCTATATCACTGAAAACCTCTTGATTTGCCAGATTTTTCCCTTCTTTACAAATGAAAATGCTTAGTGTTTTCTGAGTTCCTTTGCACTATCTCCCACTGGATTCAGGTCATTGATTTCATCTTCAGAACACTTGGAAAGTTTATTTTGTGGTGTCTATGAGCTAATTTATTTTTATTGCAATGTTTATTTAAAATGAAACAATAAGTACACTGAAGTTTTGTGCATTTCATTTTATGAAAATGTTATCCCAAAGGGATACAGAAGAACTAAATACAAATTTTCAAAATTTATTGTTTTTTTTTGCCTGCTGCTATATCTGAGGTTGTACTTTTGTTCTGATCTTTGTAACACCTCAAAAAAAAAATGGGTTAAGAGAAGGATGAACAGAAGAATGGATATGAGACCTATCTGATAAGGCAAGCAGATTAATAGACGAATGGAGGAATGTTTGGATGTATAGGTATATATGTGTTCATTGCACACATATGGAGGAATGTTTGGATGTATATGTATATGTGTTCATTGCACAGTTTTCAACTTTTTGTGTTGAAATTTTTATAAAAAGAAGTTGGAGAAATAAAAAACAAGAAAACAGAACCATAAGATTTTTATTTAACATTTTTGATTAAAGGAATTGTATTGCAAATTATGACTTTTTAATTTGGCAACATCCTTTTAATGGTGTTCTTTCTTTGTCCTTCTCTTTCTCTTCCTCTCTCTCTCCCTCTCTTCCCTAAAGCTCCATTCCGACTTAGACAAGGGAGAGGGCACTGCGAAATACACCCTCTCAGGAGATGGCGCTGGCACCGTTTTTACCATTGATGAAACCACAGGGGACATTCATGCAATAAGGAGCCTAGATAGAGAAGAAAAACCTTTCTACACTCTTCGTGCTCAGGCTGTGGACATAGAAACCAGAAAGCCCCTGGAGCCTGAATCAGAATTCATCATCAAAGTGCAGGATATTAATGATAATGAGCCAAAGTTTTGGGATGGACCTTATGTTGCTACTGTCCCAGAAATGTCTCCTGTGGGTGAGTAGGCAAATCAAAATTCTGTGAGATACAATGAGACCTCTTCAACATTGACTTTTTGCAGGTTGATGTAAACATCTTATCTATCATCTAAAAGAATTATTTTTCAATTCTAGAAAATACAGTTCTTTTCATTTATTTTTGTAACTTTTTTGTTTTTCTTTCTGCTTCATTATGAAGATAACTACAGGAATATATAACATTAGTTCCTGTTTTCCACCCTGTGAATTTACCTGAATTCATAGAATCCTTGCGTGCTTTAAGCAAAAAATGTATTTTGTATTGAAATTGATTCTTATCTCAATTCCAGACACCTATACAGTGCTGGAGACACCTACCCTACACCACGAAATGCCAGACAGTAATTCCTAGATCAAAGTAAATGATCTAAAGCATGCATCACATCTGATCTGGAAGTGGTCCAGAAACAGGTGTGTTGCATCTTTTGTAGCTGTAAATAGAGATTCTGGAAGGGTGATACTGTTTCCTTTTCAGGGTAAATAACCCATACTTGTTATGCCATCAAGCCAAGCAGCAAATGAATAATGTCATGAAAACATTATTAGAACAAATTAACAAATTACAATTACAATTATCAAATTAACAATTAGAATATAGTAGCACCATCATTCTAAAAATTTAAATTTGATATAAATATACATTTCCATATCAGCCTAAATTTACAAAGTCCTATAATATGTAGGATATAAGGTCAATAAGTTAAGAATTCCAGCCTTAAGGACAATTTTAAATTATAATTTTTATTCCTCAGTCACCACTGCTAATCCTTCAATTTATTTCAAAGTAACTTCTGGTTTTTATTACATTTGGAAGATAAAGCAACTTATCACATGTAGGTTACAACTTAAAATTCGTGTATGAGCCATTGCTTATATTTTCTAAATCTGACATGACCCAGGGGGTTTCTACTGCTCCTACCACCACCCAGGACATGCGATGAAGATTGTGCACGCTACCGTGAGGGCAGAAGCAGGTTAGTAGCTGTAGGAGCTGTCACATGGATTTACTATAATGCACTTGAAATTGTGTATGTGACCTTATCAGGCATTTAAGGACCATAATCTCTCCTTGACCTAAGAAATCAGCTTGAAGTAATTCACTTAGATTTCAAATTTTAATGTGGATACCCAAGGCTGCAAATCTGTTATTCAGTACCTGCTACACTTTTGGGGTTGCCTCTTTTATGCACTGTTAGAATTGCTAGAAATTTAGAAGTCCAATTGGAAAGAAGCATATCTTGTTAGAAAGTATTCCCAGAAAATGAGGAAGGCTACATTTTAACTGTGTCTTGATTTTACAGGGAGAAAAATAAAGTTAATATTTTGAGGAAAAAATAAGGCTTTTAAGATGACATGCTATATAGTAGACAAATAGTTTAACTCGGTGCCTACTTCATGTACACTGGATGTGTTAACATGAATTTATGACCTTCAGTGACTTTTTATTACCAAAACAGCTTCCTTAAAGCAAACACACACACATGCCTCTACAGTATTGGAAAATTCCGTCTCCTTAGATAAAACAATTAGGATTTTTCTTGGGCCAACTAGAATAATTAGGGCTGCAGAGTTGGAGCCTTTATATAAGGAGTTTGCAGCTCATATCCGAAGAGAGAAATGTATTTGGAAAGTCAAAAGTGTAGGTAAGTGAGAAAGCAGAGTAGTTTCAGCTTTTGCAGTTGGAGTGGGTATAATTTACTGTGTTGTCATAAGATACTGGAAAGATCTTTGGAAGAATAGGTTCTTAAAGTGTTTTCTCATGTGCCCTTACTGACATTTCCCATTGGGCCTTCAAGACAACTCCAGTAAATACTTAAATTGATTTTCAGTGCACTGCTTTCTTTCATTTTTATTTATTTATTTTGAGACTGGGTCTTGGTCTGTTGCCCTGGCTGGAGTGCAATGGCCCAATCTTAGCTCACTGAAGCCTTAAATTCCTGGGCTGAAGAGATCCCTCCACCTGAGCCTCCTTAATAGCCAGCCATGTGCCACCCTGCCTAGCTATTTGTTTTTGTTTTTTTTTTTTTTTTTTACTTTTTGTAGAGAAGGGATCTAGCTATGTTGCCCAGGCTGTTCTCAAGTAGTCCTGGCCTCAAATGATCCCTCCACCTTGGCTTCCCAGAGCACTGGGATTACAGTCATGAGCCACCCTCCTGGCTCCTTTTTTTTTTATTTTTAATAACAGAAGGGTATTTCTTTTGAATGTGAAATTTTACCACATGGTATGAATTAGTCCAAGTGTTTTTATACTAAATTTACATAATATACACTTTTCAAGTAAGTACAAAGAGGTATAAACACTGCTTATGAATTGAATGTTAAAAAATAAATCTCTATGCATTACTTTTGTCTTTCCCCATAATCTCACGTATACACATAAAACAAAAAACAAGAAGACCCAGTTATAGTTGTGGTATCTGCTGTTTCTGCCTTGAAATTTCCAGCTTACAGCTAAGCAACAACTACTGTGCATCCAGAACTTACATCTATGTTCCTAGAGTACTTGTACCCCATTCTCAAGTGCACCCTTCTTACCAGGTGGAAATAGTTCACTGCTGTAATAATCTAAGAAAACATTATGTTTCTCTCTACTTTTTTTTCTCTCATATAATCTAGGCAATTCTCCCTCTGTATCATTTTCCTGAGAAAACTAAAATAATTTTTAATCAAGACCAGATGGAACTTTGTATGGTATATTGACAGTATACCAATTGTTGTGACGAATCTTACTGCCTGTTGTAGATATCAGTGTTTGAAGTATTCCCTATGAAATAACTTTTCTGTCCCAATAATTGAGAGGGCTGTTTCATTTCCAAAAAAGGGAAGAATTAATCAATTAAAAATACATATAGTGAAATAACCTGTTTTGTAACATAAAACATAAGATGAAGAAATATCGGAACATTGATACGAAGTTTAACAGTAATGGATTATATATCCAGAAATATGAACAAATAAACCTGCAATGAAAATTTACTAATGTTACTAATTTTCACTTGTGTAACGTGAACATTACAAAGAACATAGTGTACAAAGGGAGAATGTTGGTGGGTAGGATGAGTCAAGATTTCAGAGGAAAATCAATATTTAAGACTTACAGCACTGTGGAATATATTTCATTTTCCTAAAGTTGAAGAAAATTTCAGTGAATCTATGAATTGTTTAAGACAAAGGTCACTCCGTTACTGACTTCTGCTACATCTAATTTTCCAGGGAAGTAATATTTAGAGATAAAAAGCTTTTACTCTGACCTCCGGAAATTACTTAATGATCCAGATACTCCCAAAGTCAAAGCAAATCCTTGGAGACAAGTTTGGACTTTATGAATGTGGACTTAATTCTTTAAGATCACTAGAGCAACAATAAATTACAGGAATGTACCCTCTTTATATCTGATGATTATGCATAAGTGGGGTGTGCAGTTTTAAGTTACTTTTCCTACAGTGCTGACAGGTTTAGAGTGTTAAATCCATACTCAACTTGTATTATCTTCCTCTGCTTGAGCTATGCCACCTTGAGTCAGCTGATTTGACTATTTATAATTAGATACCTAACCTATGATATGATATAGTAGATGTCAATAGTGACTCATCATTTATGTAGTAAGTCTTACCATTTTCTAAGCAGTAGTCAGGTGCCATGTGATCTAACTAAAGATTTGTATTTCTTATTTTACTTAACAATTACAGTAACCCCAATGCAGTATTATTCACTGTTGGATTTTTTTTAATGTGAAAACTTAATAACCCCTGTGGATAAGAAAGTAAGAATGATTCTTAGGTGCTTTAGGACCAAATTAATCAGAATTTAATATACCACTTTGTCTAGGTGTCATGGCGGCTAAAATATCTTTGAGAAAGTTAAACTTAGCTTTCAATCTCAGATGATCTACTTAAGAATTTGGAAAGTTTATATTATATTATTTGAGAATGGGGATTCTTGCTTAAACGAAACCTGAAGGATGGGCATCTTTCATTCAATATCTTAAAAAGAAAGTTTAGCTGACATTTAAATAAGAAAAGATACACCTAAAATAAAGTAGAACACTGGTTTAATAAAAATAGTGAACAGGTACTCCCTTGCCTTTCTATTTTTCTCTCAACTCTATTTTATTTTACATGAAGTTTGGGGAGAAATGCTAAGATGAAATTTTTGGTGGAGTCTTTCAGAGGTTATTTAACCAGAGACTATTTTCTTTTTTCTTTTTTTTTTTTTTTTTGAGATGGAGTCTTGCTCTATTGCCCAGGCTGGAGTGTAGTGGTGCGGTCTTGGCTCACTGCAACCTCTGCCTTCCAGGTTCAAGTGATTCTCCTGCCTCAGCTTCTCGAGTAACTGGGATTACCGGTGTGCACCACCGCACTCAGCTAATTTTTGTATTTTTAGAAGAGATGGGGTTTTGCCACATTGGCCAGGCTGGTCTCGAACTCCTGACCTCAAGTGATTTGCCTGCCTCGGCCTCCCAAAGTGTTGGTGTTAAGGACATGAGCCACAGTGCCCAGCCAACCAGAGACTACTTGTTTCGTGGCCATATTTAAACGGTCTAAGAAGGAAAAGTGAAGACTGTGTCTGTACTTTACATTAATGAACTATTACAATTTAGAAACATATATAAGTCTCCACACTTCCTTATTTTCACAAAAATGCCATAGAGAGACAAATTGAAACATAAAAAACTAGATATATTCTCTCATCCCATGAGCCAGCCATGGAAACAGAGAGCAGCTCAATTAGTAGCAGAGGAACAGGTGAATTATCATCCACTTCTATCTATGCCCTAAAAGCAGAGTTTTTTCAGAAGCTTGAAGACAGAATGTTGACTATTTATTTTCCACACATAAAGACATTCTCCTTGTGCAATCAAACTACAATGTTTAAAATCAGGAAATTTGCATTAATGTATTATTATAATCTAATCCTTCAGCCCTATTCAAGCATTAGCACTTGTCTCAATAGTGTCTTATATAACAAAAAGTTCAAGTTCAAAATCAAACATTGTATTAAAATGTTAGGTCTGTTTAGTTTCCTTTAATCTGGAACAGGTTCATATTTTTTCTTGGTTTCCGTGACTTTAATATTTTTGAAGATTTCTGCCTAGTTATTTTTTAGAATGGCTCTCCCATCTTGAGTATGTGTGATGTTTCCTCATGTATGAATGAAGCATATACATCTTTGTCAGAAATATCCCAGAAGCAATTCTGTACTCTCCTCATTATGTTCTATTGGGTGGGCCATGGTTTTTGATTTGTCTCATTACTGATGATGGTTACTTTTATTATTTGATAAAGGTTGTATATAACTTATCTATTATGGCATAATACATTAGCTAAAACCTTAGCGGTGTAAAACAGCAGATACTTACGTTTCTCATAGGAATGGCTCTATTGAGTACCTCTGTCTCAAGGCTTCTCAAGAGTTTGTAGCTACCTTGTTGGCTGGGGTTGCGGTCTGACCTAAAGGCTTAGTTAGGGGGTGGTAGAAATCTTCCATATGTTCTTTGCTACGTGGACCTCACAGGCCTACATCATAACGTGGCAGCTGGCTTTCCTCAGAATGAACTACCCAAAAGAGAGCTAGACAGAGAGAAAACCCTCTGATTGAAGCCATAGTCTATTTATAACCTAATCTTGAAAGTGACATCACATCCCATCTGCCATATTATACAAGTAAGTGCAACGCGAATACAAGAAAGCTGGGATCATTGAGGGCTCTCCTACAGTCTACCTACCACTCTCTATATTCTGGCTCTCAATGATTCATGTTGCTCTCTCATGCAATATATCCTCATCCCCTTCTGAGGACCCCAAAATTTTCAACCCACTATAGCATCAGCTCAAAGTCCAGAAGCTTTTCATCTAAATCAAGTCCAGATGGGGAAGTGATTTTGGGTTTAATTCTTTTTTTTTTTTCTTTTAGATTTTTTTACTTTTAGTTTTGGAGTACCTGTGCAGGATGTGCAGGTTTGTTACATTGATAAACATGTGCCAGGGTGGTTTGCTGCACCTATCAACCCATCACATAGGTATTAAGCCCAGCATGCATTAGTTATTTTTTCTAATGCTCCCCATCCCTCCCCTCCACCCCCCATCAAGCCCCAGTGTGTATTGTTCTCCACCCTGTGTCCATGTGTTCTTACTGTTCAGCTCCCACTTCTAAGAGACAACATGTGGTGTTTGGTTTTCTGTTCCTGCGTTACTTTGCTAAGGATAATGGCTTCCAGATTCATCCATGTCCTTGCAGAGGACATGATCTCATTTCCTTTTTGTGGCGGCATAGTATTTCATGGTGTATATGTACCACATTTTCTTCATCCAGCTTTGTGATACTAAAGAGGCCAGTTACTTACTACACATTCACCAAAAATACAGTGGCAAAACAGGAATAATGTCTCTAGACATTCCTGTTGAAAAAAATGGGAAAATGCACAGACTAAAAGAATGATTGGTCCACCACATTTTAAAATCCCAGTGGTAAATGTTGCAAGTCATTTGATTATATTCAACGCCTGTGAATAATTATTCATGCCTCTCATCTCTGACCTCTAGGCTCTTCGTTCTGCCTTTTGAGTTATTCTTTTTTTTTTTTCCATGAAATACAGCTTGTACTTGCAATAGTACTTGGGTGTTGAACTTGTTAAGAGTGCTTATCCTTTTTTTCAGATCCATCTATCATTTCCTAGTTGTATGTGGTTGTGTGGGTTATTTCTCCTCTTTTACATTGATTTTCTCACCTGCAAGTGAATAATAGTAACACTTTATGAGCAGGGTTATTGCAAGTAGCAAGGAGAAAATATATATTTACCATTTGCCACAATCCCTGGGGAAGTGCAGTCAATACATTGGAAAGGGTCCTCATAAGAGTTTGATGATCATTCTCAGAAAGCTAGCCAGAGAAAGTCTAAATGGTAAAGGTTCCAGCTCATTATCTTCTTCCCTTTTCTCAAGTTTTCTCTCCATCTGACATGTGAGCTCAGTATTTACCATTGCCCTTTCTACAAATTTAACCAAGTTTATTTAAAAACATAATGACCTTCTATCCCAATTTACATTTTCTTTGGTGTAGAGGACGCCTTTACCTTGATGTGTGGAGACAAGCCGTTGATTTGTAAGAAACACCAATTATCAGCTTCCACTTGTGCTTCACAATCTGCTGAGTCGCTTTAACACTTTTGATGAAATTGAGCAAGGCCTTGTGATCTCTCCTGTGCCAGCCGTGAAGTGTCCACTGCACGCAGCTTGGCAGAACTATTTTCAGGGCCATAGGATGTTATGGCTGTGTGGGCAGGGAGCATTTTATTCGTCTGTTTGATTCCTATGTTTTTATTAGTGGTGCAATTGCAAAGGTAATGCTATTGACACTTTTTGTGTAGCCTTGAGAGAAGAGTATGAATTGTTTTAGTAGCAGCACAGCGTGTCCCTAAATATAAATCATGCTGTACTGATAGTTACTTTAGCAGCCACTGATCAGCAATAAATGTTAAAAATTAACAAGAAGTTTCTTTTTTTCGAAACCGCCAAATGACTCTAAGCATTAAATATATTTTAGCCGGAGTTGCTTCTCGGCCACAGAGTGGTTCACAACATTAAACATATTTTCAAAGTATTACTCCTTCCCCAGCCTCCAAGTGGTTGTAAACATTAAATATGTCTTATAAAAACTGCTTTGCCAGCTACTGGCAAGACAGCTATGAACATCATTTTTCTTTAAAGTTGCCTTCCAGCTGCGGGACTATTTTTCCTTATTTGCTCTATTCTATTTATATTTTGTACACAAAAGCAGGCAAGAGGCTACATTGGCCCAATTGTCTCTGGCTTTATGATAAGTGATCGTGGGAGAGCAGTTGCACCTCCGTAAAACCCTGCTGGCCACAGGAGCTTGCTGAAGTTCAATCACTGATACTGAATATTTCATATAGATGTCAGCTGTGTCTTCCAAAATAATTTTTGTTTTTCATTGTGCAATGTGTTGAGGCATAAAGATGGGCATGCATTAACATCAGCATTAAGAAAAATAACTTGAAGCAACCAGACACTGATGAATTATACCCACTGATTCAGGTGAAAATATTCCGTGAAGAGAACAGACTCAAATGGCAGGACTAGTATGTTAATGAGGTCTTTAACCCAAACATGATGAAAGACTTGGAACCTCTGTCTGGAAATCATCCAGTCTGACAACTGCATGCGATTCAAAAAGAGTGAAGAGTATGCTATTACATAAAGGTCTATCCAGGACTTAGAGCAGGAAATCTTTTCATTTTAACCAAATTCACAGTGAAAATAACGTGTGTCCCCTGAGTGAATTGAAAAATAAATTAGCTCTATCATCTCAGGCACAGTAATTCATCATCAGGCCAAATAATTAATTACTCAGGAAGGCTTTGATTTCTATGGGAGCCAAGTGTTCTCCAAATTGTGTAGTACTGTATCTTGCCAAATGTTTTATTTTAGGTGTATGTTCAACAGGTTCCAATATTCATCAATACCTACGTGACAGGCACTATTTTAGGTACTGGAGCTAGAACTTGAGCAAAAAAGACAAAAAGTCCTCCTCTCAGGAAGCTTTTACTCCAAAGGCCTCCTGCAGGGGCAGCAAGCTAAACTCTGTGAGCTAAATTCAACATATCATCTGTTTTTATTGGAACAGTTACACTTATTCATTTCTGTGTTGTCTATGGCTGCTTTCACACCACAATGGAAGAGCTGGCAACAGAGACCATATGGCCTGCAAAGACTAAAATATTTACTATCTGCTCCTTCACAGAAAAGTATGTTGACCCATTACATAGTGGATTGAGTTTGAGAGAGGAGATTAAGGTAAGGCCAACATTTTAAATCGACCTATGAGGAAAAAGTGTTTTTTTTCTCCCTAAAAATTACCTCTT
Organism: Homo sapiens; assembly: GCF_000001405.40. Classification (NCBI taxonomy): domain Eukaryota; kingdom Metazoa; phylum Chordata; class Mammalia; order Primates; family Hominidae; genus Homo; species Homo sapiens. The sequence goes on from NT_187651.1 coordinate 667,850, forward strand.
CCAAAAGAAAACAAAACACAAAAAAACATAAAAATAAAAAGAAAGAAAATGGCAAGACCCAAGGTAAAATGAAGGGTAAAAGTGAGCACCACACTAATACATATGTATCAGCGTGAAATCAGATGCTGCCATTTAGTTCCTGCTGAAAGTGTTGGTTTGGCTTTATTAAAATAACTTAAACACAGTCTTTCAATGTTATAGACTCATGGTAAAGGTTTCTTTTTCCTTTTGTGAATTTTTAAAAATTTCTCTGCAAAAATTATTCCTCACACAATTATGTAACTTTATATTTTCGATTAAAACTAAAACTAAAAATGTTGAAAGAACAACTCGATATTGGATTAAAATATTCATTTTCCATCTTCATTCTCAGGATTCATATTTGGTTGCCTCATTGCGATATAAGTATGTTGAAAAAAATGGAAAATTGCTGAAAGCAAAAATTTTAAAACTCACCAGTATTAATAATTATCACCAAATAACTATTACAGAAAACTTCCTCAGAAAGTAAAATTAGAGTGAAGGTATCACAGGTTGGCACTATTTTCATTCCCGACCAAGAAACTGACACCTGAAAATTAAAAAAAAAAAAAATCAGAGTCTACAGTTTTACAAATAATTAACAAAATGAACATCAAAATAGGGTGCAATTTGTTTAATTGGCAAAGGCACACAACGAAAAAGAAATATGTCAATTAAACTGTCAACCATGTTAATTTTGCCTCTGAGAAAAACATTGTAATGGGATAATTTCACGAAATGCTTTGATGACAAGAAAATGCCAAAATATGATTAGCTACTTCAAAATTCAGCTGAAACAAGAAAGCAATTGGTGGCAGCCAGAATAACCAAAGGTCTTTTTTTTAATATACCTTTTTCTTTCCGTCTCTTTTTGCCTGTGTTTAATCAACAGCGTACATTTTGTTTGACAGTGAAATGATTCATAATGAAAACACTGGCATCACAAAAACTTAGCAGAAACTTTGCTATAAGATTAGAGTATACACTTCTATTTTCCCCAAACTCTTTAAAAATATAATTACTATTTCTGAAAGAATTTGTTATCTTTATGAAATAATGTATTTTTCTTACTAGCATTAAGTGCTTATTTAGCTAAAAGCCAGAATTAGAAGCAATTCACTCATATGAGTATGTTTATATTTATATTGTCAAATATATTTACTTAGAATTTAAACCAAGATATATTTTATTTATTGTTCTCATCACTGCCTGTTAGTCAGAATGGATATTTTAAATTTTACCAGGTCATGTAAATTTTACTACCTATATTTCTTATTCCTGTTTGTTTAGAAAAATAATCTAGTCTATACCTAAGCTAACAAATAATCCTAAACATTGAAAATACAAACATGAGTATGAAGAATTCACTTTCTAATAAGTTTCAGCTTTTTACAAATGGCTGCTTAAATATAATGCATAAATATGACGTATTTTTAAAAATACATCTTGTTTATGCATTACTTGAACCATAACTAATCCCCATTTCCAGTCAAAAAGAACACTGTCTACATATGTTAATCTCTAATACAACAAAAGCAGGCTTAGCTTAATGGGAAACTTATTAGAGTAAAATAGTTCTTTTTATTTTTTATTTTATTTTATTATTACAATAAGAAGATTATAATTTGGTAACTAGCAGGAGAAGAAAGACTTCCAAAGATTATTTTATGGGTCCATGTATTTGCTTTTCCTGAGGGTAACTAGTGCTAATTCTAGAAAGGCAGAATGCTGTAGGAAAAACAAAATAAGCCCTGGAGTACAAAAGATTTGGATTCAAACTTTGAAGAAGGATGGGGAAGTGTTTAGGAAAGTGCTTCCCTGTGTAAAACTTAGCTGGTAAGTACCATATTTCACTGAAATTGCTGTTATAATAATTGAAACAGATTATTATTGGAAAAACAACATCAGCAAAACTAAAACCTAGATGAGTTTAAATAAGTGCCAGCCATTTTTCTCCTGTGGGGATTTAGAGTTGAAGTGGGTATCTTCGATTACTTTTCTTTATCCTCATTCTTATTCTTATAATTTTTCCTAATAAGTCACCTAAGAAGGGCATTTAAATAAGTGCTAGCCTTTTTTCTCCTAGGGGGATTTAGAGTTGAAGTGGATGTCTTCAATTACTTTTCTTCTCTATTCTCGTTCTTATTCTTATAATTTTTCCTAATAAGTCACCTAAGAAGGGGATTCTAGAAACATCTCTTTCCAAGAATACATATTGTTTTAAGAAATATCAGTTACCCCAAATACTTGAATAGAAACTAGGAAAACAGGAGAGGGAGATTATAGGTGTAAACAAGGAATTACTGTGCAGTAATATGTGTAGTGGACGTGAAAAGTAATGACTTAACAGTTTGAATACACAAAGATGGACCAAACAAATACATTTATTTCTCCTTTATTCCAAATTGCCATTGAAATAGGAAAATATAGTACTTATTAAAATAACTATGGAAAGTTGAGAAGAATTCTACCAACAGACTAAAGAGTAAGCAATTTCTGAAGGACATAAGTCATATCAGAGGCACTTTAGTCTTTGGCCATAATAGAATTATTGGAGGGACTTGCCTTTTCACTATAAACAATGATAAAACTGGGCAACATATATGAGGAACCAGATTTTATGCATCAAACAAGAAGTACAAGTTTTTCATACTCAAGAGAGAAGAAAGCTGTGAGGTAAGTACCACATTTAACCAGAGAATGTGACTAGGGGCACTTTTTCTCCCATTAAACAAGGAGGCAGACTCTAAAAATAATGAGTTTAGAGGAAGAAATTAAAGCTTAAAGCTCTCATTTTGTAGGTTGTCTGCTTATTTGTTGATAATTTCTTTTGCTATGCAGAAGCTCTTAGTTTAATTAGGTTCCAAAAAGAGGTAGGGGTAGAGGGACAAGAGCCAAGGAACTTCCTGTTAGGTATTCAGTTCACTACCTGGGTGACAGGATCAGTGGAAGCCCAAACAGTAGCAGCAAGCAATATAACTTTGTAACAAACCTGCACATATACCCCCTGAATCTAAAATTACAATTAAATCTCTATCTATATCATCTCTCTCTCTCTCTATCTATCTATCTATCGATATTTGTAAATAGCTTACACTTGCTTAAGTGGTTGTTATTTAAGAGCTGCTGAAGTGGCTGAAATTTGTATAGGAAAGGAAAAAGAGGCATGGGGTAGGCCTACAGAAGCCAGAATAAGTATTTGGCACCAATTTCGTCAAAAGCTGCTCTATACCTGAGCAGGGTTAACATCTGCAAGACCTGCTGAAAGCAGATACTGTGGGAATAAGATATCAGTAGTAACAGGACAAGGAGATGTTTGGGTTACTGACTAGCCACAGGGAAGATATTTTACGGAATATTCCAGGCATTAAGAACAAGGACTATTTCTTTCAGTAAAGACTATGTCCTATCTTTAAGAACAAAAATGAAAGAGATTTTCATTAACAAATAATGAAACCAGGCATGGCAGATCAAAAGGATCTGGAAGCCACTTAACAGCTTTCAAAGGACTATCTTAGGGCCTTTTACAAGAAGACAACGTCTAGATTTTCTACAGTGTATTAGTCAAAAATACAAGTTACGCAAAGAAGCAGGAAAATTTAATAAATAATCAAGGGGAAAAAAGCAGTCAATAGAACATACATCATAATGACCCAGGCATTGAAATCAACAGATATATATTATGAATATGTCCTTAGACTATGGAGATATTGTCACAATGATAGAACGAAAAAGGTAATTTTGAGAAATGAACATTGTTGAAGTAACAAGTGCAAAATATACAATGAAAGAGTCACTGGCAGGGTATACTCTCAGATTTCAGCTCTCTGAAAAGCAGACAAATAACCTTGAAAACCATTTTTGAATTTATCTAATCTCAAACAAAAGAGGAAAATGATTAAAATAAGAGATTGAATGACATGGGATATCAAGCCATCAAACCTATACACAAATGAAGTCTCAAAAGGATGAGTCAGAAAATGGGAAAGAAAAAATATATTTGAAGAAATAATTGCCAGTGTTTTCAAATTTTGATGAAAAATTTCAATGCAGAGATCCAAGAACATCGAATCAACAAGAACACATGTATGAAGGGTATAAAGCCAATAGCATAATTAAAATGAAATATTGAAAAATATCCATTTACTCTAAGGAAGGTAACACTGAACCGGTGAAGAAAGAAATATCAACAACCAAGGGAAGAGAACAACACCCAAATAAGAAAATAGTAGGCAAATAGTAACATGGTAGATTTAACAACACTGACATCACTGATTAAATGTAAATGGATTGAACATTTATATTAGTTTCCTAGGGTTATATAACAAAGTACCATAAACTAGGTGCCTCAAGCAACAAAAATGTATTATCTCAAGTCCTGAAGGCTAGAAGTCTGAATTCAAGGTACTGGTTCCTTCTAAAGGCTGTGAAGAAGAATCTGTTCTAGACATCTCTCCGTGGCTTTTAGATGGCTTTCTTCATGTTCATATGTTGTGCTTTCTGGTGGCATTTTTGTGTCCAAATTTCCCCCTTTCATAAGGCCACCAGTCACATTGGATTACAGGCCACTCTAATGATCCCATTTTGACTTGATTACATCTATAAAGATCCTATCTTTCAATAAGGTTGCATCCTTAATTACTGGGGTAAGGACTTCAACGTATGTTTTTTTTGGCAGACAATTCAACCCATAACACACTTAAATTAAGAGCTAGCAATTTTGAGACTGGATTTAAAAAGGACAAAACTATATGCTCTGTATAATGAATGCATTTTTTTTTTGAGATGGAGTCATAAAATTGGTTGAAAATGAAAGGAAGTAAAACTGATGTAGCTGGCTAATACCAGAGAAAGTAGGATTCAAAATAAGCTGAAATATCAGAGATGGAATGATAAAAGGTTAAGCTCATTAGCAATGCATTATAATTCTCAATGTTTATACAACTGATAACAGAGTGTCAAAATGCATGAAGTAAAAACAGACAGAACTAAACAGAGAAATAGACTTTCACTCATAGTTGAAGATTTTAATCATCGGCTCAAAATAAACAATAGATGAACATATAAAAATTAGTAAGGATTTGGAAGATTCTAATAATACTATCAACTAATGTAGTCTAATTTCAAGTTTTAGAACACTACACAAAAAATTTCATGGAAATATTTTTATCAAATTTACATGGAATGTTTACGAAGGACTGTGTAGTCTCGGTCATTAAATAAGTCTCAATAATTTGCAAAAGATTAAAAATTATCTTCAGAGGTGAAACAATGGTTTTTGCGTTGATTGAGATATTGATTAAATATGTACATTTGTGAAAACTTACTAAATTGAATGCTTAATTTCTGTGCATTTTGCTGTATCTCAATTCTAATAGAAAGACAGGCAAACATATAAATACCTATTACAGACATACCTACACACACACACGTGTGTGTGTATGTGCGTGTGTGTATGTGTGTGTATAAGTCATTTGCATATATACTGGCAGTGAATCCCAGTAAAGGTGAGGAATACATATTCTCACACTGGTAGAAATGATGACTTTTTACAGTCTGATTTTTTTTGTGTTTTAATCCAGAAATAATCCCAAAATTAGAGATACAAGGGAATGGTAATTGGTCCATAGAATAAGAACTGTCCAAGAAGTTTATAGCACATGACTCCCTGTCCCACGCTCAATTGAGGTTTGTTTTATGTCTTTGCTCTGGGAAGAAAGCCCCCAGTTTAGCTTTCTAAATGATGAGTTCAGAATCTACTCACAAGCATTAGAGATTAGTAAAGTTCCTTGTATTCAGTAGAGTTCCTTGCAACAAGCATGAGCAGTAGAGATGCTGCCACTTTCAAAAGACTTACATATGGACCACTGAAAAGAAAGGCATTATGTGGTCAATTTTAGAGCATGTGCCATGTGGAGATGAGAAGAATGTATATTCTGTTGTTTTTGGATGGAGAGTTCTGTAGATGTCTATCAGACTCATTCGGTGGAATGTTGGGTTCAGATCCTGAATATCATTGTTAATTTTCTACCTTGATGATCTGTCTATGACTATCAGTGGTGTGTTAAAGTCTCCTACTATTATTGTGTGGGAGCCTCTTTGTACTCTAAGAACTTACTTTATGAATCTGGGTGTTCCTGTGTTGGGTGCATATATATTTAGGTTAGTAAGGTCTTCTTGTTGAGTAAAACCCTTCATCATTATGTAATGCCCTTCGTCTTTTTTTTTTTTTTTTTTTTTGAGACGGAGCCTCACTCTGTCGCCAGGCTATAGTGCAGTGGCATAATCTCAGCTCACTGCAATCTCCGCCTCCCAGGTTCAAGTGATTCTCCTGCCTCAGCCTCCCGAGTAGCTGGGACTACAGGCACACACCACCAAGCCCAGCTTATTTTTTTTTTTTTTTTTTGGATTTTAGTAGAGATGGGGTTTCACAATGTTGGCCAGGATGGTCTCGATCTCCTGACCTTGTAATCCGCCCACCTTGGCCTCCCAAAGTGCTGGGATTACAGGTGTGAGCCACCACTCCCGGCCCCTTCTTTGTCTTTTTTGAACTTTGTTTGTTTGACGTCTGTTTGGTCTGAAATTAGGATGCAACCCCTGCTTTTTTCTGTTTTCTACATGCTTGGTAGATTTTCCTCCATTCCTTTATTTTGAGCCGATGGGTGTCATCACATGTGAGATAGGTCTCAAAGACAGCATACCATTGAGTCTTGCTTTTTTATTCAGCTTGCCCCCCTTTACCTTTTAAGTGGGGCATTTAGCCCACTTACATTCAAGGTTAGTATTTGATATGTGTAGATTTGATGCCCTCCCTCATGACTCCTATTCAACATAGGAAATCCCAGCCAGAGTAATCAGGCAAGAGAAAGAAATAAAGGGCATCCAAATAGGAAGAGAGGAAGTAAAATTATCCCTATTTGAAGCTGACATGATTCTATATCTAGAAAACCCCATAGTCTCAGCCGCAAAGCTCCTTCTGCTAATAAAAAAAACTTCAGCAAAGTTTTAGAAAGAAAATCAATGTACAAAAATCACTAGCATTTCTATAAACCAACAGTAACCAAGCTGGCAGTCAAATCAGGAAGGCAATCCCATTCACAATTTTCACAAAAAGAATAAAATATCTAGGGTAAAATACAACTAACCAGGGAGGTGAAAAATCTCTACAATGAGAATTACAAAACACTGCACAAAGAAATCAGAGAGGATACAAACAAAATGGAAAACATATCATGCTCATGGATAGGAAGAAGCAATATCATTAAAAGGCCATACTGCACAAAGCAATTTACAGATTAAATGCTATTTCTATCAAACTACCAATGACATTCTTCACAAAACTAGAAACAACTGTTTTAAAATTCATGTGGAACCAAAAAAGAGGCCAAATAGCCAAGGCAATCTTAAGAAAAAGAACAAAGCTGGAAGCATCAGGCTATCTGACCTCAAACTATACTACAGGGCTATGTTAACCAAAACAGCATGGTGCTGGCACAAAAACAGGGACATAAACCAATAGAACAGAATAGAGAACCCAGAAATAAAGCCACACAGCTATGATTATCTGATCATCAATAAAACTGACAAAAACGAGCAATGGGGAAAAGACTGTCTTTTCAATAAATGGTACTGGGATAACTAACTAGCCATATGCAAAAGATTGAAACTGGACCCCTTCCATACACAATATACAAAAATCAACTCAAGATGGATTAAACACTTAAATGCAAAACACAAAATTAGAAAAACCCTGGAAGACAACCTAGGCAATACCATCCTGGACTTAGAACAGGCAAGGATTTCATGACTAAGATGTCAAAAGCAATTGCAACAAAAGCAAAAATTCATAAATGGGAACTTCATTAGTCCATTTTCACACTGCTATAAAGAACCACCAGAGACTGAGTAATTTATAAAGAAAAAGGTTTAATTGACTTGAAGTTCAGCATGGCTGGGAAGGCCTCAGGAAACTTACAATTATAGGAGAAGGTGAAAGGGATGCAATGCACCTTTTTCACAAGGCGGCAGGAAGGAGAAGTACCAGGCAAAGCTGGGAAGAGCCCCTCATAAAACCATTAGATCTCGTGAGAACTCATTCACTATCACAAGAACAGCATGGGTGAAACCACCCCCAGATTCAATTACCTCCACCTGGTCTCTCCATGTGGTGATTATGGAGATTATAATTCAAGATGAGATTTGGGTGGGGATACAAAGCCTAAACATATCAGGATCTCATTAAACTTATTAAGAGCTTCTGCATAGCAAAAGAAACTATTAACAAAATAAACAGACAACCTACAGAATGGGAGAAACTATTTGCAAACTATGCGTCTGACAAATGTCTAAAATCCAGCACCTATAAGGAATTTAAACAAATTTACAAGAGAAAAACAACCCCACTAAAATGTGGGCAAAGTACATGAACAGACACTTTTCAAAAGAAGACGTACATGTAGCCAACAAGCATGTGAAAAAAAAAAAAACTCAATATCACTGATCATTAGAGAAATGCAAATTAAAACCACAATGAAATATAATTTCATACCAGTTAAAATGGCTACTATTAAAATGTCAAAAAATAACAGATGCTGGCAGGTTGTGGAGAAAAGGAAACACACACTGTTAGTGGGAGTGTAAGTTAGTTCAACTATTGTGGAAAGCAGCATGGCAATTCCTCAAAGAGATAAAAGCAGAACTACCATTCCAACCAGCAATCGCATTACTGCATATATACCCAGAAGAAAATATATCATTCTACCATAAAGACACATGCACACAAATGTTCATTGCAGCAATATGCACAATGGCAAAGACATAGAATCAACCTCAATGCTCATCAATAAGAGTTTAGATAAAGAAAATGTGGTATATAGACACCATGGAGCTATAAAAAAGAATGAGATCACGTTCTTTGCAGTAACATGGATGGAGCTGGAGGCTATTATACTGGGCAAATTAACACAGGAACAAAAAACCAAATACTAGAAAATACTGCATGTTCTCACTTACAAGTGGGGAACTAAATTATGAGAACACATGGACACAAAGAAGGGAACAGCAGACACTGGAGTCTACTTGAGAGTGGAGGGTGACAGGAGACAGAGGAGCAGGAAAAATAATTGTTGAGTACTTGGTACCTAGGTGACAAAATGATCTGTACAACAAACCCTGATGACACGAGTTTACCTATATAACAAACTTTCACAGGTACTCCCAAACCTAAAATAAAAGTTAAAAAAAAAAGAAGAAAGCAAGCCCAAACCCATGCTGTACCACATGGCAGCATGGCATTGCAATTTTCAATTACTTGGGGGAAATAAAGATTCTCATGTGATTAGAGGAAATAATCTTTATTTAATAACAATGCTTAATAAGAACACTTGACAATAGATGGCTGAGAAAACCAAGAATCACCAAATATTTAAATAAAAATAAAAAATAAAGAATATCCTATCTATGAAATGATATAAACACTAAGAAAATAGAATTAACAGAAGAAACTAAAGAAAATGTCAATAGCCTTGGTGTCCATACAGGAATAGGAATCACAAAAATAACCATAAAATATTTTTAAAAATACCTTTTACGAGCAATACTCCAGAATGTCAGAAATTAAAAATATCATTAGCAAAATAAAATGTAGTAAACAGAATAAATAATATAAAAGATAAAACTGATGTCTAAAGATTACCCCAGAATCTGAACTGCATGAGGGGGAATAATAATTACATTACTGGATATGAGAACAACTATTTAATAGACACATCTACTTGGACGACAATGCTTTTTTTTAAATGTCAAATTTCCAGTTTATTAATTTTAATACATTTCTGATCAAAATTACTCATTTCTTTTTGTGCCCTTATTTTTTGCATTAATTTTCATTTTTTACATCTCCATGCTGAATTGAAAAAAACTTCTACTGACCTGTATTTCAGTATATTAATTATTCCTTCAATGGTATCTAATCTGGTGGTAAATTATCTATTATATTTAATTTAAGTAATCACATTTGTATTTTAAATGTTTTGCTTATTTCATCCACAATATAATACTAACACAGTTTTTTCTCTACAATTAGTTTAAGCTTTTAACTAAATTTTTAAAGAGTAAAATATTTATTATCTTTCTCTGATATTGTCCAATGTTTGAAGTCTTTGTGGGTCTAATTATGTTTCATGTTGTTTTTGTTGATTTTAACTTATTTTGCCTTGTTTCACTGTGTTCTTGAGAATATTGTAAGATTTAGCTTCAGGGTATTTTTATAAAGCATTCAGATTTGCTTCTCCCTAACACCTGGGCATACGAGTAGGACCACCTTAAAAAAATGTTCAATTTTTGAGATTACCTGAGTCACGCAGTCACACAAACCCAAGTAGTGGATCCAAGCTACCACTGCTTTAGGTCTGTCTGGTTCACCTTATGCTGAGGGTATAAGATTTGGTCATCTCAATCTTTTAAGGGAGGGCTCCTTAAGAAGACTTAACATATGCTAGTCTTCGGTTTTGGTTTCTTTCTCATTCACCCTGAAACTGTCAAAATAAATATTAATATTTGTAGAGATCGGCAAATTGCAACTGGTAAGGTTATATCCTTACCTCTCTGGGTTCTTCTTTTCTCTTCAAATTTGGTTTGATCACTTATTAAAATTTTATAAGCTCTCAATGCTTTTTAAAAGGTGTTTTAAATGTGCAATCACTAGCATTTTTTAAAGTTTTTTCATTGGGAATTATAGTCTGAATAATATCCCACCATAACTAGAAAATGAAATACCTACCTATTACAAATGCAATACATTTTATATATTGAGTAATTTGCCTTTTTCTAATTAATTTTATTTTAAAACTCATATTAAAATCTATATTTTATAAGAAAAAAAAAAGCTTGACATTTGATTAAGACCAACTTAGCTTCACAAATCTCTACCCGAATGACCACAGGCAAGTGATCTGACATTTGCAAGTGCCTATTTTTTTTTTTTTCATTTATAAAATGGAAATACATAACTGAGCTTAATGTGGATCAAAGAAATTAATATGTAAAAAAAATCAAACACAGAACCTGAAAATGATAGGAAGTCAATTATTCAGCCTACCTATCCACTACTAAAATAATTCTTGGTTATGAACTTCACAAGGGAACACACTGTATTACTACTCTACTCAATAACATGAATTTCATTGTGTATCTTCTGGGGCAAGTGCTTCTTCCAAACAAATTAAACCATGCCACTCACACAATGTTCATCTATCTCATAAGTTTTTGCTATTCTCCTGTTGATTTTACATTTAATGAGGGATAAATTCTATTTTCACAATCATAATCAAATAGTACCTAGAGAATAAAAGCTACTAAGACAAGACAACCCTCAATTCAATTAATAACTAATCCCTCTCTTTTTCAGAGGTACATCAGTTGTTCCTCCAGGATTAAAACCCCTCCTGTTTTACAATAAAAAAGCAGACAGATGACAGGATCTCATTAAACATCTATTGTGCACCCACACAAAAAAAATTAAGTAGGCAGATGCTCTGATTATTTAAAGCAACACACAGAGTTTTAGGATGAAGTTTTATTTCTGAATTTTAACTTATGCACAACTTGTAAAATGTTACTTCATTTATAAATAAAGCAGCACTAACTTGGTAACTTGGAATCACTGTATTTTTCTTCATAAAGAATAAAGTCAGGATAACAGTTAGCTCTCTTTGTTTCTGAATAATGATTCAACATTAATTTAGATATTAGAAGCTCTCACATGCAAGTGTGTGTGCATGCACTCACACACACTACTCTGAAGAGGTAGAATATGAGGAAATAAGATACACATACACAGAGAAGGAATATGTAACATTTAATTTTAACCTCAATGACAGGAGGAGGAGCACCAATAATCTAAAAAAAAAAAGAAATCCCAAAAGTTTTGGATTAGCTGCCTCTCTAGCTAAGTATATATTTTATTGCTAATCAATATGGCATGACCAAAATTATAGCAATGAAAATAGTCATAATTATCATCAAGTAATGAAAATAATATTTATGTGCTCAACAGTATTACTTATATATTCTGATTAAATCATGTGCTATTGAAAGCAGGATGAAGTAGAGCTTATTTTATATCTTAGAATTCTTTTCCATCAATGTCAGTTTAGGAAATGAAAGTTATTAGAATTTCAATGTAATTAATTCATTTGCAATTGGTGTCTATTTGGTTATGTATTTTTTCATAGATATAGTCTGAGAGACATTATCTGGTAACTTTTATCATGTCTCTGAGAAACCAATTTTCTGTAAGGCCTAATTTTTTTTCTTAAATAAATATGTATCTGCTCATGCATATACCAACTTCATGGATTCCAAACAATAAAAAAGTTAATTGTAAGGATTGGACAGAATCTACATTTTAAATGCTATTTAAAACATTATCACACTGTAGTGGAGGAATCATAAACTGCAGAAGTTTTTCAACCATGCCACCACAAACTACATCTCTACAAAATGTTTTGTACTTTTACTTTAAAGAACTAAAATTGGAAACAAAGAGTGGAGAATTATTTCTTCCCTTTCTCTTCCCTTCATCCTCATTCTAGCACCAGTCATACCTGACCATGATTTTTAAAGAGTATAAATTACTCCTCTTCTCAGAGGTAGAAATACACAGAAAAATACACAAAAACCAAATTCTGTCAAAATATATTTAAAGAGGTTTATTCAGAGCCAGTATAAGTGACCAAGGCCTGGGTTACACTATCTCAAGAGGTTCTGAAAGCGTGCCCAAGGCAACCGGGTTACACTTTGGTTTTATACATTCCAAGGAGACAACCAACTGCAGGTAATTGCAGGTAGGTCAGGGTAGGAGCTTGTACGTCATAAGGGGCTTTTAGGGATCCTTTAGTTGACAATTGGTTGAGAGAGTTATGCTATCGTCTAAAGTCTTGAAATCGATAGAAAGGAATGCCTGAGTTCAGATAAGAGTGGGGGAAAGACCAAGGATCTTATTAAGTAGATGAAGCCTCATAGGTGGCCCTCAGAGAGAATAGATGGTAAATGTTTCTTTTCAGACCTTTAAAGGTATCAGACTCTCAATCACTCCTAGGTCCTGGAAAGGCATAGAAAGGGGAAGCATGGCTGCATTAATGAAGATTCTCCATAGATGCAAATTTCCTCTACCTCAGTTTGCTGGCCTTGCAACAGCCATTTCAAAAGACATCAAAGAAATATATTTTAGGGCAAAATATTTTTATATCCTTCAGGGTCTGCTGTCTGTTATGTGATGCTGTACCAGAGTCAGGTTGGAAAGCAAGCCACATTATATAGGGTTAATAAAAAACCCATGTAAAGAGATGTTATCATTCGTAGGGCTGACTCCCAGTTTCTTTAAATAGGAATTTGGGCAAGATGAAAAAAAAAAATCAGAATTTAGTCCTCAACTCAAATATTTTATTCATTCAAACGCTTATTCAAACTACCGAATCCTCCAATAACAGAAAGTATAGTGTCCATCCTGAAGACTTTCATCCCATCTCACAGCATGTTTTCTCCTAGTACACCCTGATTGTCCAAGGACTTCTGAGAACACCATTCCAGAAGAGGTCATGATCTCAACAACTGTCACAGAAAGAAAGAATACAGGAAGACAAGATGCGAAAGTTATGTCAGTGGCTTTCATTCATCACACCACTACGTACTGGTTCTCTAGTACTGTGCTGTTATGATCCTCCTGACTTTTACCCTGTGAATATCCTAGTGCTTTTATATCAGTCTCACATCCTCAACACGCTGGTTTCCATAAAAACGCAACCAAGTCAGATGGCTGTGATCTGGTGGGATTCTAGTTCCATTTGCAGCCTCCAAAGCAGTCTTTTACCTAAGAACACTCAGGCCTCCAAGGTTAAGATAACAGTATACTCCAATGCAAAATTCTCTACCTCCCTACTTCAGGTCCCAGGGACTCTCAACTGCCAGTCACTCTTTGAACAATAAGAACAGACACTTAAATGATGATAACTAATGGCAGCAGCACTAATGTAAGAACGCTGGAACTATTAGTACTCTCATCTTCCAGATGAGAGAACTCAATAACATGATTTACATAAACTGCCTGAAGATACAGTAGAATAATAATAATGAAATCCAGGCATTGTGGACCTGAATGCTGCTACCTAGCTACTCCTCTTTGTGGCTTCTCCATTGTCTTTTCCTGCCAGTTCAGTTCTAACAGGAATAAACAGACGCTATTCAAAAGCTTTTCAAGTCTGAATGAAGATGTACCTAGGGTTGGTGTTGATGAACTTTCCCTCACTCTTCCTTAAGGAAATTTGTTCTTTCCTGCCATTTGAGAGACATGTTCTTCCTCTTCTTCTTCAAAGAGCTAAAATGCACCTTTATTTGCATAATGAAGATAGTGCAGTGAAGTACTTTCTTGCGTTGTCAAGGAAATGAGCTCCAAAGGAACTTCCTTTTAGCATAGAGAAAGCTGCTGTTTTTATTTACTTGCATTTTGCATATGAATATATTTTAATTTAGTTTCAACAGGTAACTGAATTAGAAAGTGAAATTATAAAGTCATTTCTCCAAGAAAGAAGGTAGAGCTTATAAATATTAGTAATCTTAGCTGGGCACGATGACTTACGCCTGTAATCCCAGCACTTTGGGAGGCTGATGCGGGCCAATCACCTGAGGTCAGGAGTTTGTGACCAGCCTGGCCAATATGGTGAAACCCTGTCTCTACTAAAAGTACAAAAATTAGTCTCTACTAAAAATACAAAAATTAGCCATATGTGGTGGCACGTGCCTGTAATCCCAATTACTTGGGAGGGTGAGGCAGAAATTGCAGTGAGCTGAGACTGCACCACTGCACTCCAGCTTGGTGAACAGAGTGAGACTCCGCCTAAAAATAAATAAATAAATAAATAAATATTAATAATCTTTTAAAGAAATGATTGTGGCTATTTCTAGGTCTAATGATACTTGCTTAATCGTATTGAAAACAATGTTATTTCTTTGAATGGCAATGGAATGTAAAATATTTAAAAACGCAATTTGACTTTTTTTACTTTTTAAAATTTATGTAGCTGGGCCGGGCACCCTGGCTCATGCCTGTAATCCCAGCACTTTGGGAGGCTGAGACTGGAGGATCACAAGGTCAGGAGATCGAGACCATCCTAGCTAACACGGTGAAACCCCGTCTCTACTAAAAACACAAAAAAATTAGCTGGGCGTGGTGGTGGGCACCTGTAGTACCAGCTACTCGGGAGGCTGAGGCAGGAGAATGGCATGAACCTGGGAGGTGGAGCTTGCAGTGAGTTTGAGATTGCTCCACTGCACTCCAGCCTGGGTGACAGAGCGACACTCTGTCTCAAAATAATAATAATAATAATAATAATAATAATAATAATAAATAAAATAAAATTTATGTAGCTGATATATTACTATAACCTCACTTGCATTTTTAAATTATTTTACTGGTTCTCTCTTTTTACTTTTATCTTACCTATGCTGTATTTGAAGTTAGTTTTATATAGACAGAATTTTAAAAATTATTTATTTATGGGGTACAAATGCAATTTGGACAATATTGTTGGCCATGGTTTTTCGTTTTTGATTTTTGTTTTTTTAACTACTCTGCCAATCTATGTTTTTTAGTTGGTTTCTATAGGCCTTTTATGTTTAACAATTTGTATGTTGTGGTTGAAGTCTACCACTTTGTTATTTGTTTCTGTTTCTTATTCCTCTGTGTCTTTTTCTTGCTTTCCAATGGGTTACATAAACATGTTAAGTTTCCATCTTAATTTATTTATAGTGTTTTAAATACAATGTTGCATCACTTAATGACAAAAATTACATTCTGAGAAATGCATTAGGCAATTTCTTCACTGTGTAACATCATATAGTGTATTCTATGTGTAAATAGAGATAGCATAACCTACTACTCACCCCAGGTTATGTGGTACAGCCTACTGATCCTAGGCTACAAACCTATACAGCATGTTACTGTGCTGAATACTGTAGGCATCTGCAACACAACGGTAAATATTTGTGTATCTAAACATAAAAAAAAGGTACAGTAAAAAATCCAGTCAAAACATCAAAAATGGTATACCTGATTAGGGCACTTACTATAAATGAAGATTGCAGGGCTAGGAGTTGCTCTGGGAGAGTTAGTGAGTAAGTGGTGAGTGAGCGTAAATGCCTAGGGCATCATTGTACAAAACTGTAGACTTTATAAACACTGAATTTATAAAATTTATAAAGAAACTTATTTCTTTCAAAATACATTAAACTTATCCTACAGTAACTTTTTTACTTTATAAACTTTTTAACTTATTTTTAACTTTTTGACTCTTTTGTAACAACACTTAGCTTAAAACGCATATTGTACACAGAAATACTTTATTTCCTTATATCCTTATTCTCTAAGATTTTTTTGTAATTTTACATCTTTTAATTTTTAATTTTTTTGTTGTTGTTGTTAAAAACAAAGACACAAATGCACATACTAGCGTAGGCCTACACAGGGTCAGTATGATCAACATCACTGTTTTCTACCTCCAGATCTTGTCCCACTGGAAGCTCCTCTAGGCCAATAATGCATATGGATCTGTCGACATCTATGATAACAATGCCCTCTGAAATGCCTCGTGAAGGACCACTGTGAGGCTGTTTTACAGTTGCCTATTACTTTTTTTTTTGTTTGTTTTTGAGACAGAGTCTCGCTCTGTCGCCCAGGCTGGAGTGCAGTGGCGTGATCTCGGCTCACTGCAAGCTCCGCCTCCTGGGTTCACGCCATTCTCCTGCCTCAGCCTCCCGAATAGCTGGGAATATAGGCGCCCCCCACCAGGCCTGGCTAATTTTTTGTATTTTTAGTAGAGATGGGGTTTCACCATGTTAGCCAGGATGGTCTCCATCTCCTGACCTCGTGATCTGCCCGCCTCGGGCCTATTTCTTTTAATAAGTAGAAGGTGTACACTACAATAACAATAAAAAATATGGTGTAGTAAATACACAAAAATGTAATATATTTGTTTATTATTATTACTAAGTAAAATGTACTTGTATTAGTCCATTCTCACACTACTATAAAGACACTACCCGAGATTGGGTAATTCATAAAGGAAAGAGGTTTAATTGAGTCACAGTTCTGCATGGCTGAGGAGGCCTCATGGAACTTACAATCATGGTGAAATGGGAAGCAGTCATCTTCTTCACAAGACAACAGGAGAGAGAAGGATTGTGTGTAGGAGGAGCTGTGAAACACTTAACAAAACCATCAGATCTCCTGAGAACTCACTCACTATCGTAAGAACAGTATGGCGGAAACCGCCCACATGATCCAATCACCTTCCACCAGATCCTGCCCTCAACACATGGGTATTATGAAGATTACAATTCAAGATGAGATTTGGGTGGGGATATAGAGCCAAACCATATCATTCCACCCCTGGCCCCTCCCAGATCTCACATATTTTTTACATTTCCAACCCAACATCATGCCTTCCTAACAGTCCCCCAGAGTCTTAAATCATTTCAGCAGTAACTCAACAGCCCACAGTTCAAAGTCTCATCTGAGACAAGGCAAGACGTTTTGGCCTATAAGCCTGTAAAATCAAAAGCAAGTTAGTTACTTCCTAGATACCATGAGGGTACAAGAATTGGATAAATGCTCCCATTCCAAATGGGAGAAATTAGTCAAAACAAAGGGGATGCAGGCCCCATGAAAGTCTGAAACCCAGCAGGGCAGTCATTAAAACTTAAAGCTTTAAAATAATCTCCTTGTCTCCATGTTTCACATCCAGGGCATGTTAATGCAAGGGGTGGGCTCCCATGGCCTTGGGCAGTTCCTTCACAGGCTGGCATTGAGTGTCTGTGGCTTTTCCAGGTGCACAGTACAAGCTGTTGGTGGATCTTCCATTCAGGGGTCTGGAGAACAGTGGCCCTCTTCTCATAGCTTCACTAGGCAGTGCCCCAGTGGGGACTCTGTGTGGGAGCTTCAACCCCACATTTCCCTTCTGCACTACCCTAGCAGAGGTTCTCCATGATGGCTCCACCCCTGCAACCAATCTCGGCCTGGACATCCAGGCATTTCCATACAACCTATGAAATCTAGGCAGAGGTTTCCACACCTGAATTCTTGACTTCTGTGTACCCTCAGGCCCAACACCATATGGAATCCTCCAAGGCTTGGGGCTTGCACCCTCTGAATCAACAGATGAGCTGTACATTGGCTCCTTTTAGCCACGGCTGGAGCTGGAGTAGCAGCAGCTGGGACACAGGGCACCAAGTCCTGAGGTTGCCCAGAGCAACGGGGCCCTAGGCCCAGCCCATGAAACCATTTTTCCCTCAGAGGCTGCTGGGTCTGTGATGAGAAGGGCTGCCATGGAAGTCTCTGATACGCCCAAGAAAAATTTTACCATTGTTTTGGCTACTGTAATAACATTTGGCTTCTTGTTATTTAGGCAAATTTCTGTAGCCAGCTTGAATTCCTCCCCTGAAAAATGGGTTTTTCTTTTCTACTGCATGGTCAGGCTGCAAATTTTCCAAACTTTTATGCCCTGCTTCCATTTTAAACATAAGTTCCAATTTGAGATAATGTTTCTCAAATTAAAAGTTCCACAGATCTCTAGGACAGGGGCAAAATGCTTCCAGTCTCTTTGCTAAGGCAGAGTAACAGTGATCTTTGGGCTCTAGTTCCTAATGAGTTCTTGTCCATCCAAGACCACCTCAGCTTGGACTTCACTGTCTATATCACTATCAGCATTTTGGTCAAAACCATTCCACAGGTCCCTAGGAAGTTTCAAACTTTCTCACAACTTCCTGTCTTCTTCTGAGCCCTCCAAACACTTCCAACCTCTGCCCGATACCCAGTTCTAAAGTCACTTCCTCATTTTCAGTATCTTTATAGCAGTGCCCCACTCCCAGTACCAATTTACTCTATTAGTCTGTTCTCACACTGCTATAAAGATACTACCCAAGACAGGGTAATTTATAAAGGAAAGAGGGTTAATTGACTCATAGTTCTGCATGGCTGGAGAGGCCTCAGAAAACTTACAATCATGGTGGAATAAAAGCAGTTGGCTTCTTCAAAAGGCAACAGGAGAGAATGAGTGTGTCTAGGAGAAATTTTCAAACACTTTTAAAACCATCGGATCTCATGAAAACTTACTCACTATCATGAGAACAGCATGAGGGAAACTGCCTCCAGGATCCAATCACTTCCCACCGGGTCTTGCCCTTGACACGGGAGGATCATGAGGATTACAATTCAAGATGAGATTTGGGTGGGGACACAGCCAAACAATATCAGTACTAGACAGAATTTTATGTGCTACACTTTTATATAACTGGCAATGAAGTAGGTTTGTTTACACCATCATTGCCACAAACAGGTGAGAAATATGTTAGACTATGATGTTAAGACAGCTCAGCTGCAATGTCACTAGGTAATATTCATCTCCATTATAATCTTATGGGACCACCATGATATATGCAGTCTACTGCTGAGCAAAACATCGTTATGCAGTGCATGATTGTACATGATTTTGTTTGGTTTTATTAATTGCACTGGTTAAAATAATATATGTGTAATGTCAAGATCTACTGTTAATGATGTTTTACCTCTTTGAGTGAAGTGTAGAAAACTTGTTTCCATATGAGTCTCTTTACTATCACTACTTTTTAGATATAATTATCTTAAATACTTCCTCTATGTTCCTTGAGCATCTAACCAGATAGGTCATTAATTTTTGCTTCAACTATTAGAAATGGCTTAAAAACTTAAGAGAAGTTTGATTATACATTATATTTATGCTTAATTTTACCCATTTAGATGGATGTTTGTAAAAGCTGCAAACCTTCTTCTTTTATCATTTCTTTTCTGTTTAGAGAACTTATTCTTTAAAGGTAAGTTTGTTAGCAACACATTACCTTAGCATTCTTTCATTAGACAATGTTTTCTATGTCACTTTAGTGCCTGAAGAATATTATTGCTGGGTATTGAATTTACAGTTCACAGTTCTGTTCTTTCAGTACTTCAAAAATATTATCTGTTTCCTTCCAACCTTCATGGTTTCAGATGGAAAATCTGCTGTGGTTTACATTATTGTTTTTCTGTAAGAAATGTGCCATTTTTCTCTGTTTGCTTTCAAGATTTTTAATTTTTTTTTTTCATTTCCAGAAATTGAATGTATTTGGGTGTATTCTATTTAGGGTTTGCTCTGTTTCTTGAATATTTAGGTTTATGTCTTCCATCTAATTTGGGAAGGTTGAAGTCATTATTTTTTAATAGTTTTTTAGTCCCACATTCTATCTCCTCGTCTTCTATATCTCCTGTGATTATGAATGTTAGCTCTTTTATTATTGTTCTAAAGTTTCCTGAAATGCTGTTAAATTTTTTTTTTATCGGTTTTCTTCTTCTTGTTCAGACAGTAAATTCTGTTGGCATGTTTTCAGATTCACTGATTCCATCTTCTGCTCTGTGCTCTCTTCTTTTGTGACCATCCTCTGCATCTATTATTTCCATTATTGTATTTTAATTTTATTTAGTTCATGTTTACTTTTTATAACTTATAAGTCATTATTGAATTTATTTTTAATTTTAACTTTTATTTGTTCCAAGAGAATACAATATATAATTGCTTATTTAAACACTTTTATGATGGTTTCTTCAAAATCCTTGTTAGATAATTCCAACCTCTTTTTTTTTTTTTTTTTTTTTTTTTTTTGTCTGAAACAGTCTCACTCTGTTACCCAGGCTGGAGTGCAGCGGTATGATCTTGGCTCACTGCAACCTCCATCTCCCAGGTTCAAGTGATTCTCCTGCCTCAGCCTCCCAAGTAGCTGGGATTACAGGCATGTGCCAATGCACCCAGCTAACTTTTTATATTTTTAGTAGAGGCGGGGTTTCACCATGTTGGACAGGCTGGTCTTGAACTCCTGACCTCAAGTGATCCACCCATCTTGGCCTCCCACAGTGCTGGGATTACAGGTGTGAGCCACTGCGCCCAGCCCCAACCCCTTTTTTATGTCTGTGTTGGTGTCTGTTGTCTTTCTCTCATTCAGGTTATGATTTCCTAGTTCTTTTGTCTTATAAGTGATTTTTATTGTGTCCTGAATTTTTTTTTATATTATGAGAATTTTTCTCTCTTATTATTTCGTAGATGGTTCCCTATTGATGTGTAACCTGAGAGCTGGGTGGGTGTGCGTGTTTATCTTCCTGATGGGACCTACTAATACCATCCTACCAAAAGTAGAGTACTAACTTATACTTCCTTCTTGCAGACTGGTTAGGTGGAAGTTTGTCTTCTCCCTCCACCCACTGGCAACCTCATGGCAAAAGTAGGGTACTGAGTTACATATCTTTGTTTCCTCCAAGTGAAAAAATAACCTCACTTCCCTGATGTGGTCCACTGACACCAGGGAGGGGGTGAGTAGGGGCCAACTCATACCACTTGGTTGCTTCCAAGGAGTAGGAGTGGGGAGAAGCTGTGTAAGAACAGAACTGATCATTAAAGACCCTATTATAAATTCTTGCTTTTATAGTACTTATTCTCGTGGCTTAAATATTCCACACCAATTAATCACCACGGAATATATGAGACATTATATTAATTATTAAATTTTACATGGCAACACTAACAATATTAACTCCCATTTTCTATCTCTTTAATTGAGGTCATTCTTTAGAAGTTTAAGTATAATCCATTCTTCTGTCCTACACGACTGAGTGAAAGAGCATGTAGCAGCAACATATAGTACCAGTATGTAATCCTAATGCAATGGCACACCCCAGATGACCCTTTTGTGTATTGGGATTGACCATGGTTTTTCAGTTTAATCAAAGTTTAATTGATTAAACTCGGGGTTCACATTTTCTTTCTACACACCAATATTGAAGAGAAGTACTACAAAATACATAGGAGCACTAAACTGGTAGTAATAAGAAAAACATAAAATATTTAAGATAATGTGTTGCTTTTATTTCTAATATTAGCTACTGATACAATCAAAGCACTGCGGCTCAGTTTTCTCTTTTGTAAGAGGACAAGTTTGTATTAGTTAATCTTTAAATGTCTCTACAATCTGATTCTGAGATTGTGAATAAATAGATCTAAATACTGTTATAGGTATATAAATACAGATATAAATGCAGGTATGGGTAAAATTATGGCTATGGGTCCCAGCCTTAAATTCTTATTTTTTTATAACTAATTGATGTTCAGGGATAGATTTATGTGATCTGCTCATTTGCAGGGGCCCATCACTTGGCTAATTCTTTGGTGTCATTCGTGTCAAGTTTTAAATAATTTTTGAGGAAGATGTCCTATATTTTAATTTTGCACTGAACACTGCAAATTTTGTAGCTGTTCCTGTTAATTTGTTAATGAAATTTCTCTTTAGAAACTATTAAATTAATAAGACAATAATTAAGCAAATAATTATTAAATTTTACATGGTAACACTAGCAATATTAACTCCCATTTTCTATCACTTTAATTCAGGCCATCCTTTAGAGGTTTAAGTATAATCCATTCTTATGTCCTACACAACTGAGTGTGTAGTACCAGTACGTAATCCTAATGTAATGGCACACCCCAGATGACCTTTTTGTGTGTTGGCATGGTTTTTCAGTTTAAGCAAAAGTTTAATTGATTGAAACTTGAAGTTCACATTTTTTTTTCTACACACCAATATTGAAGAGAAGTCCTACAAAATACTTATTCTATGGAAAAAAACAAAGTCCACTTTAGATCTAAAATGGTTGCATAAAATTTTGAGAATAACTTAAATGTTATATGAATGTAAGTAAAAATTTTACTGTAAACTTTGTAAATGCTAACTATAAACAGAAAACAAGTATATCTTATATAAAGAAATGTGTAGACTCTCTGTATTAATCCATTTTCACATTGCTATAAAGAATACCCGAGACAGGGTAATTTACAAAGGAAAGAGGCTTAATTGACTCACAGTTCTGCACGGCTGGGGAGGCCTCAGGGAACTTACAATCATGGTGGAAGGGGAAGCAGGCACGTCTTACATGGCAGCAGGGGAGAGAGAGCATGTGAAGGAGGCACTGTCAAACACTTGTAAAACCATCAGATCTCATGAGAACTCATTCACTATCATGAGAACATCTAGGGGAAACTGTGCCCATGATCCAATCACCTCCCAACAGGCCCCTCAACACATGGGCATTATGGGAATTACGATTCAAGATGAGATTTGGGTGACAGCACAGAGCCAAACCATATCACTCTCTGTGCCTTGTATTTCTCATACTAGTCAATGCCAACTCATTAAAATTATCTGGAGATATAACATTTTTGGGGGATTATATATTGCCACTACTGTTATATTTTTGTCAGGATAATGTAGCAATTCCCAAATAAGTCATACTTAAACCTCCACAGAAAAGATAAATAGAAATGAGAATTCCATTGCCAGCATTGCTTTGAAAAACGTTTCAGAACTTTGAATATATATACTCATAAACACACACACATACACAGATATATATTTCTGCATGTGTATATACATATATGGATACATATGTTCTTAAACTTTCTTTTAACAGAAAAATTAAAATAGAAGGAAAATAATAGAGCACTAGTTATATAACTAGTATTATATAAATAATGTTATGTAACTAGTTATATAATTAAAAATATAAGAACCTAGGTGAGAATGAGAAAGTCTAGATTTAGATTTACTACTTTTCCTAATACACACCCACACACATATATATGTGTGTGTGTGTGTGTGTGTGTGTGTGTGTGTGTGTGTATACTGTATTTGTCTCATAGTGGCTGGAGCACATTACTACCAACTTAGTGGATTAAAACACCACAAATCTACTATCTTACAGTTCTGCAAGTAAAGACTAAAATAGAGTCACATAGGTGAAAATCAAGAGCTTCTACTCTCTTGAGGCTGCTTGGATTCTTGGCTATAACCCCTTTCTCCATCTTGAAATTCTGTCACTCCAACCTCTGCTTTCATAACACATCTCCCATCTCCTTCCTAACTCGAAGGCATCTTCTCAGTCTTACAAGAACTCCACTTGGGTTCACATTTGGAACACCCAAATAACCCATCTTAATATTCTCATCTCTAGATCCTTAAATAATTGCTTCTACAATGTCCTTTTTGTCATGGAAGGTGACATTTTCACAGGTTCCAGAAATTAGGACGTCGACATTTTAGTAAGCCATTATTCTGTCTACCACAGTGGCCTTGAATAGAAATCCTTCAGTTTTCATATACAGAAACAAAACATTCTTCCAAATGAGGAAGCTAGATTGGGAAAAAAAAAAGTCAGCCACACAGGTCTCCCCATTAAAACTTAAAGATGGTTACATATTTTATTCTGAGTTAAAATGGAGAGTCTTCCTATATAACTCTCTTTCCACTGTATGATTTATCACTTAATAGCTCTCCCTTTCCGTTGTATGATTTGTCACTTAATATCTCTCTCTTACTTGAAGTCAGAGAACAGCAAACAGTTTGCAAAATATATAAATAGTCTATAAGTTGTGGTCCAAATAGTTCTTAGAATTCAGCTACATCTAAGTACACAATTACTTATTTAAGCTTGATTCAGTGAAACAGATTTTCAGTTGAGTTTCTTAATGGGAATGACCAGTCACATTTTTCAAATTTGGCTTTATGCATAAATTGACAAATTATTTATAATTTGAAACATCTGGGCTCATTTTTTAAAAACAACTCATAAAATAAGAAATCATTTTATTGGTTCAAGCACGCATGCTATTAAATGACTCATCTTAATTTTTATCTTTTCATAAATGTTGAAAAATCTCAAGAAACCGTTATGTTGTCCTAAAAATGGGCAAGCAAGGTTAATTTGTTTTTGATGTTTAGATAGTTAGGTTATTTCTCATTTTTCTTTTAGGGATTACGTTGCTATCCTAAAGCTTGACATTGGTTAGAGTCAGCCAATGTCAAATTTTTACCTATAGATAGTCTTAGAAAGATATTGCAAATTAGTGCTGCTTCTAGTAGCTAAAATAACCTGCAGCTAGCTGGCAGGCAGCAGTGAATATTTTAAAAGGTGTACCAAATTACATTTAGATTTTCAGTTCCTTTTGAAGTGAAAAGAATATTCAAAGCTTGGAAGTCTTTGACTCTCATAAGCCTAGTAGATTTCAAGTATAAACATAGATTTAAAGATAGTTTACAGACAAATTGTGGATTTTATGTTATAATCTCAGATTAATGATTTTTTCCTTTTTGTGATTTTTTTCCCAAAGTAATTGTAAAGGACTGTGTGTGTGTGTGTGAGAGAGAGAGAGAGAAACAGAGAGAAAGAAACAGAGATAGAGACATTGTCCAAATGTACACGTAAGATTTTCTGTGACAATTACACATGGATTATCTAGTAACAAGTTGAACTACATGAAGCAATTGTATATCATCAGATATATACTATATGAAACAACTGTGTATAATCAGATTTATACTACATGAAGCAACTATATATAATCAGATTTACACCACTTTCTGAAGAAAACTACAATTAATTGGATACTAAAGTGGTTTCTGAAAGCCTAATTATTCTCAAGTCCATATGTGTGTTTGGTGGGATGGCAGTGAGTTTTTGGAACAAGCTTAACTGTTTTTTGAAATAGTTGTGAACTTCACAAGTTAGATGAAATACATGTCACAAGAAATTTTCCATGTGGAGACAATTTAGTAGTATTTCCACATTTATGTTCAATAAGTGTAAATTATAAAATGATATTTTTGCTCAAAAATAAATGAAAATAACACATTTGAAACAAAAGTAGACTCACCCACCCTCCAGAATGATATCCAAAGACCAAAGGAAGTTTGGCCTTTTTTAGGCATTTGAGACTTGCTTTCAGTAAATCATATCATCATATTTATTTCTATAACTTTTCTTTTTTTTTGAGATGGAGTCTCGCTTTGTCACCCAGGCTGGAGGGCAATGGCGTGATCTTGGCTCAGTGCAGCTTCCGCCTCCTGGGCTCAAGTGATTTTCCCACCTCAGCCTCCCCAGTAGCTGGGATTACAGACGTGAGCCACTATGCCTGTTTATTTATTTATTTATTTTTTAAGTAGAGATGGAGTTTCACCATGTTGGCCAGGCTGGTCTAAAACTCCTGACTTCAAGTGATCCACCCACCTTGGCCTCCCAAAGTGCTGGGATTACAGGCGTGAGCCACTGGGCCCGACCTCTGTAACTTTTTATGTTACTGTTTATCATGAGTACGCACAAAAAACCACTTTTTGAATATCTTTTTCTCAGATATTTAATTATTAAGAACAAGGCAAAAATGTGTATACATTAGGTAAAAACTGCGAAAGCATGTCCAAAGAAGAAATAAAGTTCTGTAAATACTCAGAATCAACAGTTGAATAGGTATTCAGGTTTTCAGAGTTAAAAGCACAAATGCATATTTTAGTCTCTTTTCATTTTATTTTAAATATGACTATCCATAGAATGACTATTGCACAGTTTCATATAACTCCCTTATTTGTGTATTTAGTAACTGAGATTCATTATTTTTTAATTAGTACCTAAATAATTACTAGTAATCTGAAACTAATTTTCTTTTATGAGGGCAAAATGCTTTTTCTTTTAATAGGAAAAACCAAAAAGGAAGTTAGTTTAAGTATTTTTTAAATAAAAGAAATTGACAAAATAAAAAGCATGTTAAATTTAATTGTAACCCTGATGTATGTAAAACCTTTATTAAAAATATTTTTCCAAAGTTCTTATTAAGCTTTAATTAGCTATTTGTATATATTACCTTACTGGCATTTTAAAAGTATAATTATTACATATTGTGTGGAAAGATTTAAACATTCAGAAAATATAAAACTCAGTGCAACTATTTTTTCCTACTCTTCATGTATTATAATTCAGTCTTTTTGATAATTTTATATATATAGAAGGTATGATATTTATATTACATTTAAAATTTAGTACAACTTTTATTAAAGTGTACATATTATTTATACAATGCTTTTTTCTTTTCTATATCTATACAGCTTACCCATTTTTGAGAAGGCTGCATTTTTTTCTATAACATGTATATGTTGTACTTTACTTGTCTATATCCCCATTAAGAGATATGTTGCTTCCAGGTTTCATTATTATAAATACTGTTTCAGTGAACAGCTTTCAATATACATCTTTGTGCCCATGTGACAATAAAAGTATTTTTGTATGCATCTGCAAGTATAATAGTTATAGTGTCCATGCATTTTCAATTGGGTAGTTGTTTCAAAATAGCCCTACATTTTTCAAATAATTCTAATTCAAAGGACTGCTCCCCTTTCAAACCTGGTAAATATTGAAGTCCTTAATGCTTTTGCCAGAATTAGGCTGAATTGACAGAGCACTGATATGTAGAAGATATATATATATATATATATATATATACATGTATATTATATATATAATATATTATAAATATAATATATATATATAAAATTCTTAAAATTTAGCAAGTAACTGAACAACAAAAATGACAGATAAAAGAAGCAGGTCATGCATAGCCTATCTGCCTGAGATTTATTTAACCCTTCTTCAGAAGAGGCTTTGATTCTTGTCTCTCTGTGTCTACCTATAGACAGCATTTCTCCCAGGAAGCTTGCCCTGACCTCCTAGAATTGGTTATGTACCATTTATATATTTTTCATATTCCAATGTACATAACTCATAACAGAAATTATCACAAGGGAACAGCTGTGGTTTTATTGTTATGTCTAGCTATCCAGCTATCATCTTCACCAGACTGTAAGCTCCTTGAAGGCAGAAGCCAGATTTATCTTCATGACCTCTGTGTTTTAGATGAGGTCTCAGAGATAGAGGTCAGAATTTTCCCTCTAGGTAAATTAATTAGATTAACCTCAACTTATACAAAACAGTAGTCATTAAATTTATCCCCAGCCATCAGGAGCTTAACTACTCTGGAGAGAGAGCCAGGTGTTGGAGTAGGCAATTAAGACATCAAGACAAAAGGACATTAACAAACCTTTGAGGTTAAACTGGAAAAAGCCCTGACGGTCCAGTCCCCATCCTTTTTTTCCTTCATGAAACAGCTCTATCAAGGATCACATGGGTCAGCACAGATGTGGAGTTGTCTCACTATCAAAGGAACCCTGAACAACAGGCTCCTGCCTGCAGTTTTATGGAAGGTCAGGAAAAGGCTGGGAGCGGAAAAGCACTGAGTATTGAATCAGAAGGAAGACAATTGTCTTCAAGACTCCTCCTCCTCTCCCCATGAAAAGGAGGTCTTGGGCAAACATGCCTGGGGAAGGTCTGCCAAGGTCCCACAGTGGAGAGGCCTCCAGGGGAGGCACCAGTCAAGTGATGCTGATCTGTGTGTGAGCATGGCCCTGCAGCCCTTACTGAAACTGCCATTAGAGGACTATGCACTAGTGTGGGGAGGGCAGCTCTCCCTGTGGGACCCACTTGGTCAAGTCTTTGTCATTGTTTATGGATGGGCCCAAAAATCACATATAGGATTGAGTCTGGGGCTGAACTCTTTACTGCTCTGTCTGTATTCCCTGTCTTGGTTGACACCTAATACATGACTAAGAAACTAAGAAATCATTTTAGACGTCGTTTTTGTGTCTGTGTTTTATGCTTTGTTGGCTTGAAAACTTCATCCAATAAAACTTTAGTTATTTTTATTACCATTTCTTCCTTTATGACCCCACAGCATCCTCCATGTGCCAGGGTCCAAATCATCTTTAACCCGGACTATTCTATCAGTACCCAAATATATTCTTTCATCAAAATATATTCTTTCTCTTCTCTGGCTGTAATCTCATTCATTTCCAGGCTACTTCTTTTCAAACTAAAAAGCAAATATAATCACACTATTCTCTTTCTTCAAACACTTTCCCAATTCCTAGAGTAAAATCCCCCTTTTATAACATATAAGGCCTCAGTGACCTACCCTCAGGACTTCTTTAATTATTCTCCCATATTGTCCTATTATGTACCTGTTCCATCATCCTTACAACCCTCAGAACTCCCTAATCTGTTTTAATGCCACATTGTTATGCTCTTAATTTCCTTTGATAAAATGATTCTTTCCATTCATAAACTAGTTGATTACCACAATTTCTTAAGTATTCTATTGAAGTTTATCTTATTAGTCCATTTCACACTGCTATAAAGATACTACCTGAGAATGGATAATTTATAAACAAAAGAGGCTTACTTGACTCACAATTCCACATGGCTGAACTTATAAGTGAACTTATAATTAAACTTATAATCATGGTGGAAGGTGAAGGGAAAGCAAGGCAAGTCTTACACTGTGGCAGGTAAGAGAGAGAGCATGCAGGGGAAACTGCCACTTATAAAACCATCAGATCTCCTGAGAACCCCCTCACTATCACAAGAACAGCATAGAAAACCACCCTTTTGAGCTAATCACCTCCCACCAGGTCCCTCCCCATGACACATGGGGATTACAATTCGAGTTGAGATTTGGGTGGGGACACAGAGCCAAATCATAACATGTATCTTCTTTGCCAAGATTTTCCTTACAACGCAAAGTAGATTGACATATTTTAATTTCTTCCATCCCACCCCACCATAATATTCTTACCTCTATGACAGTGCTCATCAAAATTTGTAGCTATTATTTGTTTAAATGACTTCATTATGCTTCTTAAGAGGCATAAACTTTCTGCTATATTCATCTTTGTATGCCTGTCACACATTACATTGGCTGAGACAAGGTAAATATTTAATACATATCTATTAAATAAGAAACTTAAAAAAATAAAAGAGTGAATGAATAACTGTATCTAGGAAGTATGAAAGTGACTTATCTTTTAGCATTTTTCATCAAGGAATTAAGAAATGTGTGGGGAAAAAGTTAAGAGGCCCCAGTTAAAATGGCTTTTATCCCAAATTCAGGCAATAACAAAAGTTGGCGAGGATATACAGAAAAAGGAACCCTTGCACACTGTCAGTGGGAATGTACATTAGTATGACCCTTAAGGAGAACAGTCTGGAGGTTTCTCAAAAAGCAAAAATTGAGCTATCATATGATCCAGCAATCCCACTCCTGGGTGTATAACCAAAAGAAAGGACATAGTATATCAGAGAGATATCTGCACTCCATGTTTATTTCAGCACTACTCACAATAGCCAAAATTTGGAATCAACCTAAGTATCCATCAAGAGATGAATGAATAAAGAAAATATAGTACATATACAAAATGGAATACCATTCAGCCATAAAAAACAATGAGTTCCTGTCATCTGCTACAATGTGGATAGAACTGGAGGTCATTATGTTAAGTGAAACAAGCCAGGCGCAGAAAGACAAACTTCGGATGCTCTCACTTATTTGTGGGAGCTAAGGCTTAAAACAATTGAACTCATGGAGATAAACAGTATAAAGGTTAACAGGCTGAGAAGGGTAGTGAGGGTTTGGGAGGAAAGCGGGGCACACTAATAGGTACAAAAACATAGTTAGAAAGAATGAATAAGACCTAGCATTTGCTAGCACAACAGGGTGACTATAGTCAAAAATAATTTAATCGTACATTTAAAAATAACTAGAAGAGTATAATCAGATTGTTTGTAACACAAAGGATAACTGTGTGAAGTGATGGATATTCAATTTACCCTGATGTGATTATTATGCATGTATCAAAACATCTCATGTACTCCATAAATTTTCAAAAGAAGTATGTATAGCATAACGCTTAAAATAATATACTGTAATAGTCTACAACTTGGCAAGAAATTAAGCTTTCGTTTATTTTTGTCACAACAGGTATACTACATGCAGATTAAAATATATATTTTTTATATATATATATATATATATATATATACCATCTATTTTTTAAGGGCATTTTTCATAACCTTGAAATATAAACAATAAAAATTATGAAGCAATAATTTATTTTTTTAAAAAAATCCACTTGCCAAACAAACAAGATACTCCTTCCAGGATGTCAGTAATATCAAGATAAAATGCCAGAGAATTTTAGCTCAGTATAGGAAATCAAACAGCTAATTTTTAACTTTGATGGAGGAGAAAATTAGATAAATTCTGAAAATTCATCCATTTATTTTTCTCTCTCCATATATGTTAACAACAAGCAAACACATTAAATCCTTAAATTTGGTTACTAAGTTCACAAATGTCATGGACACAGTGAGGTAATATTTACAGACTGAATACTGATTTACTATCCTTTGAGTTTATTTCTACATTTCATAGAGTAGATGCTCTTTATAGATAAACTCTTTTGGAAAAAGTCCAGATAACTGGATAATTAACTATTAATATCACTTTTTGAAAATTAAATAGTAATATGTTTCTTCCAGGAAAAATTATTTAACAGGTTTTATTCAGACTACTAAGACATATGAAAACCTGACATTAACTCTTTGGTTTTCTAAAGATTCTCTTCAGGAAAATATGCCATCAGTCTTTCTAAATGTATTCAATTTTATCTCAGCAGTCTTGAGCCTCCATCTACATGATGTTAATATACCTCCAAACAGCCATTCACATTTCTTAAGGTGATGAAATATGTATTACCTATAATATTCTTAACTAAGTTATTGTAAGGCATATTTATCATGCCACATAATCCTGGGCGAAAATTGGATATAATAACAATTCCCAAAAATGCCTCTTGACAAAGAGTTGGAATTCAACTTTTTTCTTCTACTGCTAAGGATGTTTGCATCATGTCTTTGGAAAAATGTATCTCATAATTGCAAAGCCCTAATTCCTGATGCTCCATTAACAATATTACTCAAGATATTGTTGCTGATGTGGCTGCTTATATTATTCCCAAGTGAATTTGTAGATATTTAGCAATAGCTGAGGCCATCTACAACGTAAATTCCTATCTATGTTACTCCTCTTGAGAATCTACTCTTGGTACATTTAGCAAAGGAAGACACTTTTAGCAACACAGCAGTCCCCCCTTACCAGCGGTTTCACTTTCCCCAGTTTTAGCTATCAGGGGTCAATCATGTTTTGAAAAATATTAAATAAAAGTTATAGAAATAATAACTTTGAAATTGTGTACCATAACGTGATAAATTCTCAGGTTGTCCATCCTACTCCCTGTTTTCTTTATCACAAAAAGAAAAGTAGATAATAATAAGGTATTTCAAGAGAAAGAGAGACCACATTCACATAACTTTTACTACAGTATATTGTTATAATAATTCTATTATTAGTTATGTTCATATAATTATTAGTAAAAGGAATATAATTATATTCCTATATAATTATAGAAGTATACTACTCCTATACATAATATATTAGTATAACTAATATAATTCTATTATCATTAGTAGTGTTAGTTTAACTAATAAACTAATAGAATTATTAAACTAATATAATTAGCCTATTAGTTTAATACTACTCCCATAATGAGTATATTAGTTTAAACAAATACTACTACTATAATAATTAGTAGTAGTTTAACTAATAAACTACTATAATTATTAGTTAAATTTCACTATGCCTAATTTTTAAATTACAGTCTATTATAAGTATGTATGTGTAGGAAAAATAGTACATGTTTACTATCCACTGTTTCAGGCATCAACTGGGGGTCTTAATACATATCTTTTTACAGATAAGGGTGGAGCTACAGTTACCTTCCAAAAGGTAGTATTGCCACTGCCATTGTTGCCTGCTAATGTAAATTCCAAAGAAGTAGATGATTTTGGGAAGGGCAGAAAATAAAAATTTTCATCAATATTAATGATTTTGCCATTAATGCAGATTACCATTGCCATAGTCTGAGAAGTGACATGAAACTTGAGATTGCTAGAGCTCATAGGACAGTAGAACAGTGAAGACATTGAGGTTTAAAGTGTTAATGTTATGAAGATAGCTAAAAACAGGACTTGATCAGTATAATCCTCTACCTAACACAACTTGGAATGGGGCAGAGAGTAAAGAAATGGACCTCGGTAAGGACGTGCATGAGCACTAAGAGATAGTGCTTGATGCAAGAGCAATAATAACAACAATAACCACAACAAAGGTATATTATTGGGAGCATTAGAGAAGAACAACAGAAAACTAAAAATGTTGTGGATGTTACCTCCAAGCAAGAAAATGGGACTAGGGACACAGGCCCTTTTTGTTTTTTGCTTGCACATTCTGTAATTAGAAAATGTTATTTTATAGACACACATATCAAATAATAGGAGAAAAAAGATATTTCATGTAAGATTAGTTTATTCTCAATATTCTGAATTAGAATATTGGATTAAAACAATATTTAGAATGATAGAAGCTGGATTAAAACAACTTTAAAACAAGCATTTGTACTGCATTGACATCTCTATACAAGTTGCTGTCATACTAGTTGAGAAGAGCTTGGGGACCTGGACTTGGGAGATTTAATGGACCGATAAAATTACTCAGAGGGGTAACCTTATAAAGAATTCTGAAACCAAGAATTTGGAAGTCTAAGAAAAGAAGGGACAACAATGCAAGTTGTCCAACCAAAACCTCTCTTCCCTACTTTCTTGTTTCTGAATGCCATTTTTGTTTGAAAGAGCAATGTGTCCTGCCAAATAACTACAATGCCCAGTCTCCTTGCCCTTGTGGCTGGTGACATGTTATAGTCCTGTAGAAAGATACGTGGGCTGAAGTTGTTGAAAAGGACACT
This sequence comes from Homo sapiens, assembly GCF_000001405.40. Classification (NCBI taxonomy): domain Eukaryota; kingdom Metazoa; phylum Chordata; class Mammalia; order Primates; family Hominidae; genus Homo; species Homo sapiens. Next base: position 701,549 of record NT_187651.1, read on the forward strand.
TTGTTCTTCAACTTCTCCCTTCCTGCCCTGATATAAAAACATGATAACACACTACTTATTACTCTAAATATGCATAACTTTTATATGCACTAGGAAGTGTATATATCAATACTTAGAGATACAATTTCAGAAATGGTCAAATTAAAGAAAACAAGTTAAAAGTTTACAAGTTCTTATAATAATTATAGAGGCAAGATAAATTACAGATTCAATTTTTTAAACTAGTAATTTAATTAATCACATCATGGATAATGTTTAGAGCTAAAATTTATTCTGTATTTACATAATCAATATTGTAATTAAAAACCACTGAGTATTTTTTGTTGCAACTGAATGTTGTGTCCCCTCAAAATTCATGTGATGAAAACTTAACCTTCAGTATGATGGTAGCAGGACCTATAAGCTGCATATTTATAATGAACTTTGGGAAGTAATTAGCTTATTATGGTGGAGGCTTCATAAATTAGATTGGTGCCCTTAAAAATGACTCTTGAGAGCTCTTTCTGTCCACCATGTGAAGCTGCATTGAGAAGGCAGCAGTCTGAAACCCAAGAGAGCTCTCTCACCAGAACCCAATTATGCTGGCACTCTGCTGTTGGACTTCCAGCCTCCAGAACTGTGAGATGTGCATTCCGTTATTTAAAAGCCACTCAGGTTATGGAACTTTATTAAAGCAGCCTGAACGGCTGAAGATGGAAATTGATCATGAGAAGTGGGAGTGCTGTTATTATAAATACCTAAAACAAAGTGAAAATGGTTTTGGGCTCAGTGATTGGCAGAGATTGATGAGGTTTTATGCAAAATGCTAGATTACTGTGGAAGAAATTTAAAAGCCAATTCTCGTGAGGGCTCGGAAAGAAATATAGAAGAAAACGCTGTCTTCTCAGAAAATAATTAAATAATCATGAACAGAATATTGATAAAATATGGACAGTAAAGGTCATTCTGTTGGAGTCTCAAATGGAAATGAAAATGTTATTGGAAAATGGAGCAAAAGCAATCCATGTTGAAAAGTGGAAACAAACTTCTTTGAATTGTATTCATGCTCTTGTGTTTTGCGGAAGGTGGAACTTGTGTGCAGTGAAATTGGACATTTAACCCAGCAGATTTCTCAGCAACATGTAGAAGCAGCAGCTTGGTTCCTTCTGAATCCGTAGAGTCAAATGTAGAAAAAGAAAAAGGTTTGAAGATGGAATTGTTAAGGAAAAAGTAACCATAATTTAAGATCTGGGAAATTCTCAGCCTGTCCATATTGCAAAAAAAGTGAGAAAGTGTGTTCTGAAGAGAACATGAAGAGTGTTTCGGACCCTTACTGATTTGATTAATATGGGTGTGAACCACAGGCTTAATCAAACATCTCAACACAAACCATGACTAGAAATGGGATTATACCAGGAGAAACACTGCCAGTTGGGACTAAAGGAAACAGAGATAATGGGACGAAATAAAGGAAGACATTCGGAATGCTTAAGCCCTACAGGCCCGGACCCGAGAGCTATTCAGTTGTGGATGTGTGCTATTCTCTCCTTCAAAATTACGGAAGAAGGGGCGCAAAGGGGATTTGGAGACAATTACAGCTGCTGCTTTTACCAAAAATCCAGAGGGTATGGCAAGGTGGGCCAAGGTTACCTCCATTTTGATTTCAAAGGACAGAAATGATGCTCAGAGGAGCTGTGTGGGAGGGCCATCCAGTGAAGCCCTGGGTGAGTGACCTCAGCCCTGACAAAAGACTGTGCCATAAGTGGGTCCAGTGCATAGAGTCAGCAGCGAGCAGTGCCTCACTGAGCTGTCGGGGACTGTCTGGAAGGTGAGTCATCAAGCCAAAGAGGATGCTTCTTGAACCTTAGGGTTTGATGGAGTTTGCCCTGTTAGGTTTTAGATTTACTTGGGATCCAGCATTCATATATTTTATTTTTTTCGAATAGTGGTTCTTTTTGGAATGGGAATGTTTATCCTATGCCTGTCTCACCATTGTATTTTGAGAGTTCATGTTGTTTGATTCCACAGGTTCACAGATGAAGAGAAATTTTGTGAGAATGAACTGTACCGTGAAGCTCACCTGCATCTGATTTAGGTAATATTTAAATAAGACCTTGGACTTTAGACTGGACTTGAGGCTGGAATGAGTTAAGATTTGTGGATTTGTTGGAATGGAATGACTGCATTTTGCATGTGAAGACATGAATTTTGGGGAACCTGGGGCAGAATGTTACGGACTGAATTTTTAAAGTGTACCCTCAAAATCTGTATATTGAAATCGTAACTGTCAATGTAATGGTATTAGTAGTGGGACCTTCAGGAGGTAATTAGGTTGTCATAGTAGAGGCCTCATGAATAGGCTTAGTGTTCTTATAAAAGGGACCTAAGAGAGCTCTCACTTCTTTCCCCATGTGCTTATACAAAAACCCAACAGTCTGCAACCGCAAAAGGGCCCTCCCCAAAACCAGAACATCCTGGCACTCTGACTTTGGACTTCCAACCCCTAGAACAGTAAGAAATACTTTTTTTGTTATTTGTAAGCCACTCAATCTATGGTATTTTGTATAGCAGCCCAAACTAAGACACTCCTCTACACTACAGTGTACACCACATTCTTCTGCCTCTTGGTATGCTTCAGTCACATTGAACTATATTTTGTTTACTAAACATGGCAAATTTATTACTGCACTATGGTTTTGCCATATAATTTTTCCTGTCTTTTCAAACAGAAATTATTTCACAGCATACGCAGCTATAGGCAATTATCTAGCTTATGTATAAAATTACTTTCCTGATATTTGTCTCATTTTTTGTTTTTAAATGTTTTAAATAAACAAATAATAATTGTTTTGAGGGGTACAGTATTATGTCTTCGTATATATTTATATTGTGGAATGATTAAATCAAGCTGCTTAACACATCTCTTATGTCACATATTTATCTTTTTGTTGTGAGAACACTGAAAATAGACTTTTTAGCAATCGAAAAAAGGCAAACCCTTAAAAGTAGAGAGTAGAATGCTAGTTAATGCTGGAGGCAAGGGATAGGGAATGGGGAGATGTTGTTCACAGGGTACAGTTTCAGTTAGACACAAAGATTGAGTTTTAGAGATTGACTTTATAGCAGAGTGACTATATTTAAAAATGACTTCTTGTACATTTCAAATTTTCTATTTAAAATACACGTAGTATCTGTATTCCCAGTTCTTAAAACATGACCTATTAAATAACAGATTTGCAAGACTGAATGATTTTTTTTTACCTTGTCCTGATCTCGATTTTTTTTAAACTTTATCTCATTAATTGCTAATTCTCTCTTTATGAATGTTAAATACTTAAAATAGCACCAAACATAACAAAACAAAACAAAAACAAAATTTGTTTTTTATTTCAAATGGCATGTTCCATTGCGTTCTAAGACTGGACTGTCTTGGAGATAAAGGAGACTTCATTATTTTATGTAATATTCCTTTGAGAAATCCTGAGCTTTGTGCAAAAATGACATACTTCATTTTTTTTTTGCATAATTTTGTCACTCCATAGAGCCCAGATCGAGTTCCTAAGTTCTCACTAAGGCACATGGGTCTAATTCCATTACATTTTTGGCCTGTGTCAATTAATTTTCTTTTCTCAGATAATAAATTTACACTCCTATTCCACTTCTGAGCAGTTAGACATTTTCAGCATGGAACATTCTATTAAAATGAAATGGCAAATTGCCTTGTAGCACACACATTTTCAAAGAATGTTTTGTCTGATAATGTAGTTCTTATGAGTTTCTTTCCAAAGTAATCCATTTACACAAAATACATTATTAATTTTGTGCATTTACAAACTACACATAATTTCAAAGTGATGTCATTGTTCCACAAATACATCTAGGTTTCAAAGTGATTGATTAAATTCTGTTTAAAATTTTGCACAGAAGTGCAGTATATAATCACATTTTATATCCCTCTGTGCAGGATATAGTTTTCTAAATCATACTCCGTTGTCAGGAGCATGTTCATCTTCCATACAGAACACACTGACTGAAAATAAGATCAAGTCTACACATTTGGGATATAAATTTTTGAGATTACTGCTCTTGGTATAATATATCTCTCTTGTACTTGAGCCTCTAGATCTTGCTGTTTTTAACACTTTTGTGCTCGCAAGATTTACGCTTCTGTATACTTTGTTTATATTCAGCAGCTAAGTATATTTTGTCCTGTTATCATGACTCAACCTGTGATTTGTTTCAAAAGTACAAGTAAGATTTTAAACATAATTATAGTGTAATCTCTTTAAATTTTGCTGCATTATCACTCAGAATGAGAAAAATATAAATTAAAAGTGTGTGCACATGTATACACATTGTTCAATATACAAACTTAGGTATCATGTTAGATTCATCACGATTTGAAAATGAAATCTGATTATAATACTTGCAAGATGACTTACAAGTTAATATTTATATGTACACTTACAATTTTTATAATTTTTAAAACCATCCAATATGTTAGTTTTCTTTGATTTCTAATGATAACAGTAGAAATATCTGGCCCTGGTTATCACATCTGGTTGTTATGATCAATAGAAACGATATATGCAAAAGCAAATACATTTTAAAACTTTTTAATATTAATTTTTATTGTTACATATTCTGAATAATGCAGTTTTATAGTTATTATTATAACATGACACAAATGGTAGAGATTTTGATGCCTACATTTTTAATAAAAATGTTCAAAACCATATTTCACAAGATGTATCATGCTGTAAGGTTGCAACAGCCCTCTCAAATAGAGTTCTGCCTTTCTCTTGCCATTTAAACTAATGCTATCTGAGAGTGCAACAGAAGGCCCTCATTACATGCTGGTATCTTGATCATTGACTTCCTTGCCTACAGAACTATCAGAAAATAATTTTCTATTTTTTATAAATTACCCAGTCTCAGGTATTTTGTTACAGCAGCACAAAACAGACTAAGACATAAAGTGTAAAATTATCCTTCCATATTGCTGCAAGTGAAATGATGTTATTTTTTATAGCTGTGTAGTATTCATTGTGCGTGTATGTGTGTGTATATATGTATATATGTATATCACATCATTTTCTTTATCCAGTTATTTGTTGATGGACACATGTTGATTCAATATCTTTGGTATTATGAATATTGCTGCTATAAATAAATGAGTGCAAATATCTTTTCTGGTATAATGATATTTTTTCTTTTGGGTATACACCCAGTATAGGATTGATAGAGTGAATTGTGGCTCTTTAATACTTGAAAAAATTTTCATACTGTTTTAATAGAGGTGGGACAAATTTACATTCCTTCTAATTATACTATAAGGCTATAGTAACAAAAACAATATGATAGTGATATAAAAATGGACACAATACTCAATAGAGCAAAATAGAAATTCCAGGAATAAAGTGACAAAGGCACTTTGTCACTTTATTAGTGGATATTTATAAAGGGACCTACCTACAGTCAATGGATGTTTGACAACATTGAAAAAAACATACACTGGGAAAAGGATATCCCCTTCAATAAATAGTGCAGGGAAAATTGGAAAGCCACATGCAGAGGAATAAAACTGGGCCCCTATCTGTTGCCATCCACAAAATTAACTCAGGATGAATTGAAGAATTAAATATAATACCTGAAGATATAAAAGTACTCATAGAATACCTGGAAAAACTCTTCTAGACATTGGCCTTGGCAAAAAATTTGTGACTAAGACCTCAAAAGCAAATTTAGCAAAAACAAAAGTAGACAAATGGGACTTAATTAAACAAAAAAGTTTCTGCACAGCAAAAGAAATAACTGAGAAAACAGATAACCTGAAGAATGTGAGAAAATATTTGCAAACTATGCATCCAACTAAGTACTAATATCCAGAATCGACAAGAAATTCAAACAACTCAACAACAACAACAAAATAGATAACCCCATTAAAAAATGGACAAAGTACATAAACAGGCATTTCTCAAAAGAAGACATACTAGTGGACAGCAAACATATGAAATAATGCTCAGTCTCATCATCAGAGAAATAAAAATTAAAACCACAACGAAATGTCACCTTATACTAGTCAGAATGGCTAGTTTTTAAAAGTCACAACACATCAGGTATTGATGAGAATGCAGAGAGAAGTGAGTGAATCCTTATATAGTATAGGTGACATTTTTATTTATAGAATATCAAAATAGTTACTTAAAATTCATTTGAATTATAAAATATTAAAATGTAGATTTATGAATACTTTGTACTTTCTAAAAGTTTAACCACAATAAAAATCCAAACTACCACTGTTGTGTCCATAATAATTCATAATTGTATGTGATGATGTTGAGAAATCTTCCTAAATATTAGGATGAGTCCCTCATTTATTTTAATGAAAATATCATTCTTAAAAGCATGTCAAGGAATATAGCTCAATAATTCAACAAATAACATTTGCAAATTGATAATCCATGGTTCAAAGATGTCAAGATGAACTCAAAGTCTACAGGGATACCCTTTTGATTCAAGGAAATAATGTTACCCTAAATGAGAGAAGATAGGGAAGACCATGTCAAATGAATCACTTTTTGATGTGGTTTGGCTGTGTCCCCACCCAGATCTCATTTTGAATTTTAGTTCTCATAATCCCCATGTGTCATGGGAGGCACCTGGTGGGAGGTAATTGAATCATGAGGGCGGTTACCCTCCGTGCTGTTCTTGTGATAGTGAGTGAGTCTCACAAGATCTGATGGTTTTATAAGGGGATTCCACATTTGCTCGGCTCTCATTCTTCTCCTTCCTGCTGCCATGTGAAGAAGGACTTGATTGCTTCCCCTTCCACCATGATTGTAAGTTTCCTGAATGTTCCCCAGCCGTACGGAACTGTTAGTCCATTAAAGTTCTTTTCCTTATAAATTACCCAGTCTCGGGTATTTCTTCATAGCAGCATGAGAACAGACTAATACACACTTCAATATTGATTTACATTTCTATGATCATCAGTGATCTTGAGTATTTTTTAATGTTTGTTGGCAACCTGCATGTCTTCTTTTGATAAATGTTTGTTTATGTCATTTGCCTACTTTGTAATGACATAATGTGTTTATTATTTATTGGGTTCCATGTAGATTCTGGATATTAGTACTTCGTTAGATGCATAATTTGTGAATATTTTCTCCTGTTCTGTAGGTTGCCTGTTTACTCTGTTGATTATTTCCTTTGCTGTGCAGAAGATTTTTAGTTTACTTAGGTCCCATTTGCCTATTATTATTTTTGTTTCATTTGCTTCTGATGACTTAGTCATAAATTCTTTGTCAAGGCTGATATTCAGTAAAGTTTTCCTAGGTTTTCTTCTAGGAATTGTATAGGTTTTTACATTTGAGTATTTAATCAATCTTGAGTTAATTTTTATATATGGTGAGATATAGGAATCCAGTTTTACTCTTGTGTATACGGATATCCATTTTTTCTAGTACAATTTATTGAAAAAGGTATCCTTTCCACATTGTTTATTTGTGCACGCTTTGTTGAAGATTAGTTGGTTGTAGGTATGTGGCTTTATTTCTTGGTTCTCTATTTAATTTTATTAAACTATGTATCTGTTTTTGTATTGGTACCATGCTGTTCTTGTTACTATAGGTTTGTAGTATAATTTGAAATGGGGTGAAGTGCTGACTCCAGCTTTGTTCTTTTTGCTTAGAATTGCTTTGGCTATCTGGGTCATTTTTTCAATTCAGAATTTCATATACACTTTGGGATTGTTGTTTTCTAATTCTGTGAAAAATGACATTGGTAGTTTGATAGAAATTGCACTGAATCTTTAGATTGCTTTGGACACCATGGTCATTTTTAATTTTTTTTAATCCATGAACATGGGATATTTTTCCATTAGTTTGTTTTATTTCAGGTTTCTTCCACCCATCTTTTGTAGTTCTTATTGTAGAAATATTTTACCTCCTTGGTTAAACGTATTTCTCAGTTATGTGTGTGTGTGTGTGTGTGTGTGTGTGTGTGTCTATTGTAAATGAGATTGAGTTCTTGATTTTGTTCTCAGCTTGAATATTATTGCTATATAGAAATACTACTGACTATTGGACATTGACTTTGTATTCTGAAACTTTATTGCAGTCTTTTGCCAAGTCTAGGAGTCTTTCAGAGTCTTTAGGGTTTTCTTTGTATAAGACCATGCCATCTCTTAATGTAACTTCTATCCCAACTTTTGTGGTAATTTTTTTCTTGCATTTTTCATAATTTTATTTTCTAATTTGTTTATCCAGAAATACCATTTAGTTCTGTTTGGTATTAGACTTGAAAACAGTGCAAATTTTCTTTCTTAATAAATAATGAAAATAAATTTCGTTTTTGAAATTCATCCATGTTTTTGCTTAGTTCATTCATTTTTACTGATGTATTGAGTAGTCTTAAGTTACCAATTTCATTTTTAATAGTTATGCTTTTTCCAAAAATTTTATAATAATTAGTAGTTTTATCATGACTATTCCTATATACATATTCATATAAATGCATAACCAAGAGTGCAATTGCTCATTTGGAGGGCATGCCATCTTTAGCACTATGACTATTAAATAAATTGTTTGCATTGATTAAGAGAGTGATATTCCACATCATCACCAGGACTGTGGATTGTCAGACATTTTAAGTAACTGTGGCTCCCCATACAGGATAACTTGGTTAAACTTGCTATTCACTTGGCATCCCTAGCATTATATTATTGTCATCATAAGAATGGAACCCAAAGTTCTGGAGTTTTTAATCAATTATTAAACAACAATTAATCGAATAGCGTGTAAGTTCCTAACCTTGTGCTAGCCGTTGTCCTACGTTTGTGATAAGAATAGATAAAGTGCCCTTCTACCTAGCAGTTTAGACAATAAACAAGGAGAAAAGAAATTAAATGTGTATTGTATGATAGCAGGTTAGTGATAATCACTAATAATCCAATGAGTTTATATGATACCAAAATATTGATTAGATCAGGAAATCACTGCTAAAGAGGAAACATTATTTATCAGTATGTTTATAACAGATGGAGCAATGAGTATAAAAGTCATGTGTTAGGGTATGCAAGATGATGATATAGAGCAGAGTAATCAAGGCAAAGGATAATGGTAGGTGGAGAAGCCAGCTTATAGTTCTGAGCAAGATTATATCTTTAGCTTTTATTAGGCATGTAAATGAAATACTTTTGAGATTTTCAGCTGGAAAAATGAAACTAATGTGAAATGCATTATATTGCCAGAGATGACTTCCATTGCCTGGTGGGGAAGAGACTGGAGGAAGGATGGATAATGGCAGCACACAGATGCTGCTGAGAAGCTATTTTAGTAGTTCATGTAAGAGACAATTGTCAAATTTGCAATAAACTTCCAGGTGAAATGGAATTGACTTTCTAATGGCTTGGAATGGTGTATATAAAACAGCTGGTAATGACTCCATGTTTTGAAGCTTTAGAAAATAGATTAATAATGGCTCAAATTACTGAGTGAAAAATTACTGGGAAAGAAGCAGGATTGGCAGGATGCAGATAAAGAATTCTCTTTTACTTACTAAGGTTGAGATGCCTATTTGATATTCAAGGCAGTCGCAAATGAGATGAGTGTTCAGGAATGAGATATCAGCTAAAGATATAAATTTTAGTCTTGTGCCCATATCTTAGCTGCAAGGAAGGATTTTATGAACTGCTGGTGAGACTGTAAATCAGTGCAATCAACGTAGACAAAGAAATAAATGCATACACCATGTCATCTTGTAATAACTCCCAACCCCCAACACCTAAAGAAGAGACTGTGTGTTTAAGTTGGGAGTGTATTGTGGAGTAAGAATAAGAAACAGGATGGGTGCTATAGGGAGAGAGAGTAAAATCTAGAACACATTATTAAGTTAGGTGATGGAATACTATATGACCATTCACTGAAGTGAAACAACGGGGGAAATATGTATCCATCAGCTCTAGGAGTTCCATTTTTCAAGCATAGCCTCATGGATGCTAACTTCTCGATGTGTCTAGACAGTGCATTTATGAGTAACAAGCAAAATGCCTACAACAATCCACACAACATTGTCTGAGAAATCCCGCAGCAGAAAGTGAATTCTTGCTCTGGTCTGAAGCCACATACTATCACTTCCATCTTTATGAAACTGACCAAAGTCTACATAAAAATAGTAACCAAGGCTCTGACTGGAACAAGAGGTAATGCTGAGAGGGTCTGCAGTGATGTAAGATCCAATACACCCTATGATTTTTAAATTTTGTTCCTGGGTTTATATCCTAGAGAAACTCTGACATATATATGTGTATATATATATACATTCATATATATACACATTTAATATATATATACACACATACACATTCATAGCAGCTTTTTGTTGAAATAGCAAAAAATGAGAAAAAAACTAAATGGCAATATAATGAACAAAAGGGAGCTGTGTTTTGATATTTTTATATAGTACAATGCTAAACAGCATTTAAAATAATTGATAAGAATTATATGGGCCAACATAGATGGACATCATCAATGTCATATAAAACAAAATAAAGCAGAAGGTAGATAGACACTTTTTTTTTGAGTCGGAGTTTTTGCTCTGTTGTCCAGGCTGGAGTGCAGTGGCGTGGTCTTGGCTCACCGCAACCTCCGCCTCCCGGGTTCAAGCAATTCTCCTGCCTCAGCCTCCTGAGTAGCTCGGATTACAGGCACCCTCCACCACGCCTGGCTAACTTTTGTATTTTTAGTAGAGACAGGGTTTCACCATGTCGGCCAGGCTGGTCTTGAACGCCTGACCTCAGGTGATCCACCCACTTAGGCCTCCCAAAGTGCTGGGATTACAGGCATGAACCACCACGCCCTGATGATAGACACGTTTTTAACTTCTAAAAATATATGATCATGATTGTGTCTGTGGAGACTTGCACATATACTAAATTTTAAACAATTAGAGATATTTGTTCATTACCACATTTTGGGAGTCATTATTTCCTCTATGAAGAGAGAAAGGAATTTGATACAAGTTCACAGGGGCTTCCAGTAGATTGAGACTTTTATTTCTAGCTGAGCTGCTGATGTATGAATTTTTTTTGTTATTATGACTTTCATATGTATTAAAAATAAAATGAAAAAACAAGGATTAGGTGAGGAACCTATACGTCTCTAATATGCAAAATACCACAGAAATAATGACTGTTGGGAAATTAGGCCTTAGCTCTGATGTTTGAACCATCCCCTCAATGTTTCCCAGTGCTTCTTAGAGTATTTTGATCACCTCTGTGTTGGTGCTTTAGAACTAGAGAAGAACGTTTTGTTAACTTTTTTTTTTTTTTTTTTTTTTTTTGAGACAGAGTTTCACTCTTATTGCCCAGGCTGGAGTGCAGTGGCACAATCTCGGCTCACTGCAACCTCTGCCTTCTGGATTCAAGCGATTCTCCTGCCTTGGCCTCCAGAGGAGCTGGGATTACCTGCCACCACATCTAGCTAACTTTTTGTATTTAGTTGGTCGGGCTGGTCTTGAACTCCTGACCTCAGGTGATCCACCCATGTCAGCCTCCCAAAGTGCTGGGATTACGTGTGTGAAACACTGCACCTGGCCTTTTGTTAACTTTTAGTTTAAGTTCAGCAGTACACGTGCAGGTTTGTTATACAGGTAAACTCGTGTCATGGGGATTTGTTGTACAGGTTATGTTGTCACCCGGGTATTAAGCTTAGTACCCATTAGTTACTTTTCCTCAACCTCTCCGTTTTCCCACCCGCTACTCTCAGGTAGGTCCGAGTGTGTGGTGTTCTCCTCTATGAGTCCATGTGTTCTTATCACTTGGCTCACATTTATAAATAAGAACATGCTGCATTTGTTTTTCTGTTCCTGCGTTAGTGGGAGCTGAGGATGGGTGGAGCTGAGGATAATGGTCTCCAGCTCCACCCATGTTCCTGCAAAGGACATGATCTTGTTCTTTTGTATGGATGAATACTATAAAGTCTTCCAAACTGTTTTGGTTTTGGTTTGTTTTCTTTCTTGAGAAAGGAAAGACAAAACAGAAATAAAAGAGTAGGCCGAGCGGGGTGGCTCACGCCTGTAATCCCAGCACTTTAGGAGGCTGAGGCAGATGGATCACTAGGGGTCAGGAGTTTGAGACCAGCCTGAACAACATGGTGAAATCCCGTCTCCACTAAAAATACAAAAAATCAGTCAGGCATGGTGGCACATGCCTGTAATTCCAGCTACTAGGGAGGCTGAGGCAGGAGAATCGCTTGAATCTGGGAGGCAATGGGTTGCAGGGTGTGCTGGGATGGCACCACAGCCTGGGTGAAAGAGTGAGACTCTGTCTCAAAAAAAAATAATAAAATAAAAAAGGGAGAGAGAAAGAGTACCAATGTATGGCAGAAATCAAGAGAAGAGTTTGCTTTTTTGAATAACTACACCCTGGACATTAGTTTCAAGAAACCGTCTGCTGGAAATATAACTATATGTTTAAGTTGACGGATCATTATTACACGTAGCAGAAAGAAAGTCACTCCTTGCTAGAAAGCCCTGTGTAGGTCATTAGGCATCACAGTGTGGAGTTATCTAAGCAAGCACCAAGGTAGGATATCTGAATAACTGATTTATTTCCATGTTTACTGACAATATTCATTGCAACAAGTCAGTAGAGAAACAGTAAAGAGGGCAGGCATGGCTATGCTTCTATAGAATCTAGTGAAGAGGAGATAATTTCAAATAACCCAAGAAGGTAAATGAGTAGTCAAATTTTCAAAAGGACTATTAACTCACAAACAGGAAACTATAATAGAAAATAGTTGGTTGAAGGCAGAATGCCCAGTTCAGAAAAGATTCCTCTGAAAAGCAATATATAAGCATAGACTTCGAGGATGAAGAGTCACTCATTTTGAAAGAGCAGATGAAGAAAGTTTCAGGACAAAGAAACAGCCATCTGCAAAGACCTCAACAAAGATATCACACAGAAAATGCTGTATTTAATCTGTTGCTAGACAAAAGTGAGCTACGGATCACATGGTCTTGGATGAGGGAGACAGATGATATAGTTTGGATGTCCCGCCCAAATCTCATGTTGAAACCAGATCCCCAGTGCTGAAGGTGGAGCTTGGTGGGAAGTGTTTGGATCATGAGGTCGAATCCTTCGTGACTTGGTGCTGTCTCCATGGTAGTGCACCTACCCCAACACACTCTCTCTCTCTTGTTCCTGCTTTCACCATGTGAAGTGCCTGCTCCTGCTTTGCCTTCTGTCATGAGTAAAAGCTCCCTGAGGCCTCTCCAGAAGAAGATGCCACTGTGCTTCCTGTACAGCCTGCAGGACTGTGAGTCAATTAAACATTTTTATAATATCCAGTCTCAGATATTTCTTCATAGCAATACAAGAACAGCCTAATATAACAGATAAGCAGGGACTAAAGTCATCAAAATTAGAATTGTGCATTTAATTTTGATTGCATTTAATTTTCATTGCATTTAATTTTGATTGCATTGAAAAGGCAGATGCTTTGAGGCTAGAATGAGGTAATAACTGTTTTGTTTTGTTTTGTTTTGTTTGCTCTTAACAAATTAGTCTGACTTCAGTCCATAGTAAATTGGAGAGGAACTGGTAGAACATAAAAGAACTGGTAAAAAGCCATTGTAAACACTCAAGTTTCAAAAACAATTTTGTGGTAAGGGCAAATCCTCAGGTCAAGAAAAGTGTGTTACTAAATTCCGTTAGTTTCCAGAAGAAAGATAAAGTCATATGACACAGATTTTACTCCTTACGTTAGAGAGTGTGCTAAGGATACCACCCACATTTTCCAACATTTATTTCCATCATGTTTTATGATCTTCATCTATATTCCATCCTCGTTATTTCTAGCAAGTCTATGAAATTTCTTACATTAATAGAAATAATGTATTAATATTCAGCAATGTGCTAAACATTGTTGAAACATTGTCTCAATATTACTCTTGGAAGAGCTCTAAGGTAGACAATATTTCCAATATATGAGTCATGAGGAAACTGAGGAATGGAAAGATTAAACAACTTGTTGAGGGTAGCATAATTGTAAATGGTGAAGACATAATACAAATCCTAATATCTATGACTCTAATGCTTTAAAAAATCATTATATACACTACGCTGTCTCTGATGTGTGAATCTACCCACTTCTAATTCATTATAACAAGTATTTGTTGCCAGGTAGCATTCTAGGCTTTGGGGATACATCTTTGGAAAAGCTTACAGAAATCTCTGTCCTCAGGGAACTAATATTCTAGGGACTATACAATAAACAATAAGCAAAAATGTAACATGTATAGTGTGTTAGACTGTAGTAAGTACAATGGCAAAAAATTAAGAATGGAGAATGTCTAAGGGGACAGATTGTTTGGAATTTGAATAAAGTGGCTATGGAAAACCTCACTGGGATAATGGCATCTGACCAAAAGCATGAGGAAGATATAGAACAAACCGTATCTGTTGCATGTTTAGTAATAACCAAGAAAATACTGTACGTGAAGCTGAGTGAGAAAATTACATAGTGGAAGGAGGGAAGTCCATAGAAGAATTGGGGGCTTCATGTGGTGGAGCATCTATAAAGCATTGTGCAAGATTCTGACTTTTACAATGAATGAAACGAGAGATCAGAGTTTTACACAGAAGAAGGTAATAACCTGATACATGTTTTAAAGTGATTATACAAATTGCTCTTTTGAGGATGTACTGAAGGGTGCCTTACGCAGAATCAGAAACACCTGTTTGCTGGCCATTTCAATAACCTGGGCAATAAATGATGGTGGTTAGCACCAGGATGCTAGTGGTGAAAGTAGCAAAAATGATCAGAATTGAGCTGCATTTTGAACATACAGTTATTAAGTTCTGTGGCATGACAGAAAAATGATTCCATAATATTTCTATTGAGCAACCTTGTTGATGTGATATTCAAACTAAGTCCTAATATTAAACAATGTAGGAATTTCAATGAAAATATGACCAAAGGGAGAAAATGGCTCCCAACCTACTGTAATTAAAGTTCCCTTCTGTTGTTTTAAAATGCTACTATGGATAGAGAAAACAAGATATGGATTTGGAAGAAAATTACCCACAGTCTAATTGTCAGATTTATTGACTTAAAGATGTTACATGGCAATAAAGTTGAAAGAAAAATAAGAAGAAATTCTAAAAGCCAGCATGTTAGATTTATTCCCTCCACAAAAAGAATTGCTAATATTTATAAAGTGAGATAATAGGCCAAATACTTGTACTTGGCATAATTGCATTTTCTCAACAAATCCTATATAATCAACATTGTTTTATTTGTATATGTGTGAAAAATCATGACACCTGCAGTTTAAGTTACATTTGTATGAAACAGTCAATATGTGGCAGAGCCAGAATAAAGCCCACGTTTAGATTAAAGGAATTCTCTTTCCATTGCACCCACCCGTATTGCCTGTGGAAACCCTAAACAAGCCATTTAAATTTGTTGGAATTCCGTTTTTCAACTTTTTAAAACCTCTTAAGAGTCCAGTCCTAAATCAAGTTAATGTTTAAATTCTTCACTTATGCTTAGTATGTACATTATTCCAAAATGTGAATTGGTCCCAAATATCATATTCATTCTAACAGAGGACATTAAAAGTTTAAAAGATATCTGTTATATGGCTGAACTGATTATATTTTATCGGAAAGTGAAAGGAACGGAAAGGAACTACTCAGCATATTTCTAATGAGTATACAGAGGAAAAGTACTTTGCCTCATTTAATTTTGTAAAATCTCTCTCTGGCACATAATTCACAGTCTTTTTTTGCCCACAGGAATAGTGAGGCAGATATGTATTAATTCATGTCATAATACAAGAATAGGTAGCGATAAAACACTGGCATTTTCCAAATTGCCAGTATAAAGAATTGCCAGAAGAACATGGGTATTAGCTTCAGATTCTCCAAGGGGTTAACATTTATGTTATCTGTTAAATATGAATTATGTATTAACTTCTCATATTTCATATATAAAACTTTATGCTTTGGTCCTGTTCCTCGGGATGACCTTGATGTAATCAGAAATAATAGTGTTCTTTACCAAAGACATTAATCAATAACTTTATAATACGAAGCACTATGAATATTTAATGGCTTCAGCTTGAATAATTCAAATCCCGTATTACTAAAAAATAAAGTCAGTTGAGTGACTGAGAGTTCCATATTCCACAATTCCTACTCTGCTTACTACCTATTCTATTTACTATTCTCTTTACTATTTGAGAAGGGTATGGAGTTGTGTATGTTGCAAACATCACGTAACTTTTGTTCGACTTTCTTGAACACGTCATATTATTTTTTTTAGTTCATTTTCTGAATATAAGTAATTTTTGGTGAATTAATACTTTAAACAAGAGTTCACCTGGAAAGCAGTAGGCAAAATTTCATTAAAAATATTATTTTATTAACATACCTTAAAAATGTAATAGGACAATGCCTCAAAGAACAATTTCAAAATAAAAACACAGAAAACAAATGACCAGCAAAATTGCTCTGAAGTCTTAAAAACAGAAATAAATACTTCAATAATCATAGGTAATATGGAAATCCAATGTATGACTTACCTATAGAAAACCCTTCTGGAATTTCATTTAAATCTAACGTCAATATGAGCTATGTAGGAAGTCCATTAATAAATAAGAATATTATATAGGTACACATGTATATATTAATTTTAAGCCATATGCAGCCCTATTTGAAAATGTTAAAAAAAATCATCAGGATTAGTCCATACTGATTATTAAAAAATAAAATTGTCACTGCTCATTGTAGAAGATAAATGTCAGCTGTGCAGCAGATGTGTTTATAGCCACCCAGTAATCCTATCGCCTCAATAATGCATTTCCCTTTTTTTAGTTAAAAACTTAATTACATTAAGAAACTGTATGTGTTTAGGAATATGAATATAGAAGGAGTAATCATCGTTTAGTAAAATAAGTTTTACTTGCATATTAAAATTTACTGTGTTTGTGAAGATGCTGATAGTACATTACATATGGAGATCCAAGTGCACATAGTCACTAATTCTTTAAACTATGTTTGATATTAGTAATAATTTACTTTACATATATATCGGAATTTAATTGAAAAATAGTAAATGACTGCTAATATACATTATTCTTCTGAGTTGCATTTTTGCTTAATGAAATAGAATTTTTAAAAAAATTGTTTATCTTTATTCCTACTAGATTATACATTTCATGAGAAAAGCATTATCTCTTTATTAGTATATTTGTTTACCTGTATTAGAACTTGACTTTGAAATAAACCAGATATAATACCATTGTTGTAGATGTATTTATTGTAGTAAAAATAATATTCTGCATCTGAGTTTTGAGCAAGGAGATTTTACAGTCTCCTTTCAGTTAGAAAACTACAAGACCCTCTTAACTGATGTTGGAAATGTAAGTAAAGAAGATAAAAATTAAAATGATAAAGAAAAGCATTTGGGGTATAGTAGCACTGTGCTTCCCAGGAGAATGAGTTGTTAAGTGCTCACTCCGCATTTTTCAGTAACATATACTTAAAGTAAGCACACAGGGGCTACAGACGCTATTTTTTGGTTCAACATGACCTGAGCAGTTAATTATTTGTAAAGGGAAGAAGCAAGAATAGGCTCAGGGAGGGAGACAGAGAAAGACTGGGTAGGGCGGGGAGGGAGGGAGAGTTTCACCTGTATCTAAAACAGATCAGAAGCAATTTCTTCCTCCAACTCCTCACTTGTCTATTTCTACTAATAAAGAGCAAAACCAGACAAAATAGATTATTGTGTCATTTTTGTTTTCTTATTTTGTAATACACAGAAAAACTCAAGCTGGAGACGGAAATGAACAGATGCACATGGCTGGAAAGACTCAGTGCTAATCTCTACAATGTTGTTTTAATAGAATGGAGACAGGACCACATACTTTCTTACAATAATGAGGATCAATAAAGACAAAACTGACACTTTGTAATGAATAATGATCTGAACACTCACCTGAGAAAGTATCTCTTTGTTGCAGGTTTTTGGAAATGGGCTATATTTTTTGAATCATAACCGATATGTACTGCCATAAACAAGAGGATTTCAAGCCAGCTCCATCTGGTCGAAAATTATTTTATTTATTACTAAGAGAAAAGTGTAAGACAAGTCCTGTGGTAAAAACAGATTTATTGCCTCTGCTATTCACCTGTGTTATTTCTTCATATATTACCATTGACATATATTATCCATTCTTCACAGCAATGGCTTTGCCGTGGCAAATTAAATATCTCATTGTCCTTCTCTGTCCATTTTACATTATAATGTTTCTGAGCAGACTTTTATAGCTCTCTCACAGAATTATAGCAAGTCTTTAAATAAAAACAAAATTGAAACAAAAATTTTAGACTCAACTTAAAATCCCTCTTTATTTTATAATTTGGATTTTTAAGTAAAATATGCTATATCCTATTTAACGAGAACTTTCATATGTAATGTATCAATGGAATTATCTAAAGCTCATTTGGTTTTGCATAAAAACACAATTAGAGTAAAAACATTCTAAAATAGACACTGGAATAAAAACAATGAAAGCAAAACTATTAATTTTACATTTTTCATTCAAGTATTTTGATTTTTACTATATTATATTATTATATTAGGTATCAGAGTAATCATTGATCGCTTTCAAAACCCTGCTCCTTTCTAGGTGCAATGAAGAATTTTTATTTTATTGAAAAGTTATCTTAAGATGTAAGACTTGTGAATGATAGTAAAGATTTAGTAGACCCAATGTATTCTCAGATAAATGTAAAATAAGCAAGATATGAATTAAAGGATAAATATAGAGTTTAACAGCATAGATCTTAAAATCCATTATCATAAGGTAGAAGGATGTATAATTTATCATGATTAAAATATACTAAATATTCATATCACAGCATTCTGATTTCTGATATCTACAATTTAGGTGACATATATACATATGTGTGTATGTATATATAACTGTATTATTTGATATTTTAAAAGATAAAAGAGTTATATATTCAAATACCAGTATAGATGTTGCTCTGAAAGTATTGTTAGATGAGATTAACATGAAAATCAGTAATTTCTGAGAAAAGCAGATTATTTTCCAAAATATTGTAGGGCTCATCCAGTCAATTGATTATATTAAAAGACTGAGATCCCTCAAGGAAATAATTCTGCCTGCAGATTGCCTTTCGACTTGAGACTGTAACATCAACTTTTCTCTAGGTCTCTTGCTTGCTAGCCTACCCTGCCAATTTTTTATACATTAAAAAATATTTTTCTCAAATATTGTAGTTCTGCTATTTCCAGAAACGCTTGAGGATTGTACTTCCAAGTTCTTTTAAAGTTGATCATCGTCATGAAACTCATCATCAAATGGCATTTGAGCAAAATCTTTATTAATTAAACATGAGTGGAAGTTTAAAGGCCAAAGCACAACTCACTCAGGCATTGTGAACTATGTGTGCAGACAGATCACAACTCATCCTTGGTCTCTGGGTGTGTCTGCGTCTATTACTGACTTACCCTGGATATGTAAAATGAATAAGAAAAACTTTTTGTGTTAGCCACTGGGATTTTTGGTTTGTGTATTACTTTAGCATATTATCTCATTTTGAATGCTATAGTTTAGGACACTAGTTTAAACTACTGAAGTTAAAATGTTCTCCTTATTTCAGAGGAGAGAAGGATCTTACAGTGACAGACATCCATTAGTAAGAATTAATTTCTAGAGATAAAGTGAATTCAGTAACCACAGTGTCAGTAGAGTCAGCATGGTCAAAATAGTCTACATGGGAAATGTTTGGTGGCTCTTAGTTGATCATGGAGTCTCTAGAACCAAAAGTTATGAATGCCAATTAAGTTTCGATTTGGCTTATATGATCTCAAATCTTCAGGTTTACAAAACATATCTTGAGCCACCACCCAGCTCTGTCACCCAGGCTGGAGTGCAGTGGCACCATCTCAGCTCATTGCAGCCTCCGCCTCCGAGGTTTAAGCGATTCTCATGCCTCAGCCTCCTGAGTAACTGGGACTACAGGTGCTCACCACCATACAGGGATGTTTTTTCTATTTTTTTGGAGAGACACGGTTTCACCATGTTGGCCAGGCTGCTCTCGAACTCCTTACCTCATGATCCGCCCACCTCGGCCTCCCAAAGTGCTGGGATTACAGGCGTGAGCCACGGCGCCCAGCCCATTTTTTCTTTTCACCCACCTCGGCCTCCCAAAGTGCTGGGATTACAGGCGTGAGCCACTGCACTGAGCCTACAGCTCATTTCTTAACACATAAAGCTTTGCACCTCTCCACAAAACTGCCATCAGGGATGTCCCCAGAAACCATTCATCCCAGGTGCCACGCAGAGAAGAGTTGCTTGTTCTCCTTTTCCCTTTACCTCTTCCCTCTCACCTCATCATGTTCATTCATTCATCCCTTTTCCATTCTCACTTTTAAGCTTTAACCTTTCAAAAGCCTATCTTCCCCTATAAGTAATGTATTGTAACTCCCGCCATCACCATATCCTTCTCCAACCAACCAAACTGCCATCCTGAGTTTATGGAAAGTCCATAAACTAAGAAGAAATGGGAAACATTCATTGCTAACTTGGCAGCCCCTCATCCACCCTACGTGAGAGCACAGATCTTATTGTCTTTGAAGACCCTTTCTTTTTTTTTTTTTTTTTTTGAGAAGCAGTCTCACTGTCGCCCAGGCTGGAGTGCAGTGGCACAATCTCGGCTCACTGCAAGCTCCAACTCCTGGGTTCATGCCATTCTCCTGCCTCAGCCTCCCGAGCAGCTGGGACTACAGGCACCCGCCACCACGCCCGGCTGATTTTTTTTGTATTTTCAGTAGAGACAGGGTTTCACTGTTAGCCAGGATGGTCTCGATCTCCTGACCTCGTGATCTGCCTGCCTCGGCCTCCCAAAGTGCTGGGATTACAGGCATGAGCCACCGTGCCCAGCTCCTTTTTTTTTTTAAAGACAGGTCTCACTCTGCTGCCCAGGCTCAAGTGCAGTGGTGTAATCATGGCTTACTGCAGCCTCCAACTCCTGTGCTCAGGCTATCCGCCTGCCTCAGCCTCCCAAGCAGCTAGGACTACAGGCACACACCACCACACCTAGCTAATCTGTTTAGTTTTTGTAGAGATGGGGGTCCTGCTATGCTGAACAGGCTGGTCTCGAACTCCTGGCCTCAAGCAATCCTCCCACCTTGGCCTCCCAAAGTGCTGGGATGACAGGCATGAGCCACCATGCCTGGTCTGAAGACTTTTAAATGCTGCCATATTCAAGACGCGTTGAAACTCACCTGTATTCGATGAGCCTGCTTTTCGCAAATGAGTAACATAAAACAGACTGAAATACCTTAAGCTTCTCAGCCTTTTACCCTCCTCTGGAATAATGAGTGTATCCCAAAAGTAAATCCATAATGAGGTCCAGTTTTTCCTTCATCCTTGGCTATGAAATAGACAAGAAAAAGGCAAGCTAGCCATTTCCATCTCACTATAGCAGACTCTCATGTTTGCTTTTTGACCGTACGTGGGAAGCGGGGGCCTGACTGCTTTCCTACTTCCTAAGCACAACTTACTTTTCCTAGGAAATTCTCAACACAACCTACATGGATTAAACCAGGTTCCCCCCTTTGTTTCCAATATTCTTACAGCCAAAATGTCCAGAATGGGCAAGGCAACCTGAAAAAATGAGGACGGGTACATTATCCCATGCGCTAAACTGCCACTTACACTGGTTAGTCATGAAATCGGCAAAATTCCAGATGAGCTCTCCAACCACGTATTTTCTGCGTTTTTGATCCAGACCCAGATGGTACTGCTCTAGCAGACTTTTCCGGTCCTCTTCACTGAACATCAGAGGTGGATCCTGGGATTCAAGGCAAAGAGAATTAAGAGTAAGAACTGGCAGAATTGTAAATGTTAGATAAAAATAAAGATCCACTTGATGGTGACCAAAATATCTGTCCTCACTGGGGGCTGTAGGGACTGCAGGACTCACTGATGCTAGGGTAAAGACAGCCAGGGAGAAATTGGAAATCATCATTCTCAGTAAACTATCGCAAGAACAAAAAAACAAACACCGCATATTCTCACTCATAGGTGGGAATTGAACGATGAGATCACATAGACACAGGAAGGGGAACATCACACTCTGGGGACTGTTGTGGGGTGGGGGGAGGGGGGAGGGATAGCATTGGGAGATATACCTAATGCTAGATGACGAGTTAGTGGGTGCAGCACACCAGCATGGCACATGTATACGTATGTAACTAACCTGCACAATGTGCACATGTACGCTAAAACTTAAAGTATAATAATAATAATAAAAAAATACAAAAAAAGAAACGACAGCCAGGGAATGATGTAACCCAGAATTAAAAAGGAGGTTTAAAAAAAAACCATCAATTAGCAACTGCTTTATTTATAAATATAAACTGATACTCAATTTTTCTTACTTTTCCGTCTCTGTCTGCTGATACAGTCTTAAGGCTGAACTACACTAGAAGGAAAAATATGTCTTTAGGTCAGGCGCGCTGGCTCATGTCTGTCATCCAAGCACTTTGGGAGACCGAGGTGGGAGGACTGCTTGAGCCTAGGAGTTCAAGACTAGCCTACAAAAAGTACAAAAGTTAGCCAAGCATGGAGGCACACACCTGTGGTCCCAGCTACTTGGGAGGCTGAGGTGGGAGGACTGCTTCAGTCCCGGAGGTCAAAGCTGTGGTTTGCACCACTACACTCCAGCCTGGGTGACAGAACAAGACCCTATCTCATGAATGAATGAATGAATGTAAAATGAAATTAAACTAAACCAGGCTGGGCATGGTAGCTCAGGTCTGTAATCCCAGCACTTTGGGAGGTCGAGGCAGGAGGATCACTTGAGCTCAGGAGTTCAAGATCAGCCTAGGCAACACAGTAAAACCCAGTCTCTATAAAAAGGCTAAATATTCGCTAGGTGTAGTGGCGCATGACTGTGGCTCCAGCTACTTGGGGGGCCGAGGAGGAAGGATCACTTGAGCCCAGGAGGTTGAGCAGTGAGCTGTGATTACGCCACTGCACTCCAGCCTGGGCAACAGAGTAAGGCTGTCTCAAAAAAAAATTTTTTTTAATTAAACCAAATAAATTCAGTTATCCTAGTCATATATCAAGACCTCAATAGCCACATGTAGCTAGTGGCTACCATTTCAGACAGTGCAGACATGGGGCATTTCCATCATTGCAAAGGTTCTTTTTTGAAACAAGGTCTCACTCTGTCACCCAGGTGGGAGTACAGTGGTGCAATTATGGCGGACTGCAGCCTTGACCTACTGGGCTCAAACAGTCCTCCTACCTCAGCCTCCCAAGTAGCTGGGACTAGAGGCAAGCACGACCATACCCAACTATTTTTTTTTTTTTTTTTTGAGACGGAGTCTTGCTCTGTCGCCCAGGCTGGAGTGCAGTGGCACAATCTCGGCTCACTGCAACCTCCACCTCCCCAGTTCAAGCGATTCTCCTGCTTTAGCCTCCTGAGTAGCTGGGATTACAGGTGCATGCCACCACACCCAGCTAATTTCTGTGTTTTCTTAGTAGAGACGGGGTTTCACCATCTTGGTCAGGCTGGACTTGAACTCTTGGCCTCGTGATCCACCCACCTCAGCCTCCCAAAGTGCTGGGATTACAGGCGTCAGCCACTGCACCCAGCCACAACTCATCTTAAATATTTTGTAGAGATGGGGTCCATGTTGTGCAGACTGGTCTCAAACTCCTGGGCTCAAGAGATCCTCTGACCTCGGTCTCCCAAAGGGCTAGCATTCCAGGTGTGAGCCAGCACACCCAGCACTGCAGAGGTTCTATCAATGCTCACCTAGACCCTCTCGAGTTTCTTAAGAATTCAGAACTGGGGCTGGGTATGGTGGCTCATGCCTGTAATTCCAGCACTTTGGGAGGCCAAGGCAGGTGGATCGCTTGAGGTCAAAAGTTCAAGACCAGCCTAACCAACATGGTGAAACCTCATCTCTACTAAAAAAAAAAAAAAAAAAAAAAAATTAGGTGAGCATGGTGGTGCATGCCTGTAATCCAAGCTACTTGGGAGGCTGGTGCAGGAGAATTGCTTGAACCTGGGAGGCGGAGGTAGCAGTGAGTCAAGATTGCACCACTACACTCCAGCCTGGGCGACAAGTGAAACTCCTCCTAAAAGGAGAAAGAATTCAGAGCTGGTTACCTTTTCAAAGAGAATGAACAAGGGTGCATATCCACAAATCACTTCCCCCTACTTGACTAGTTTGCAGAAGTGTCATTCTGTAAGCACGATAAATTTAAGGGTGCAAACAGAACAGTGCAGTCCATTGTGGGTGGCTGTTCCCTGTGTGTCAACGGGAGTCCCAGGAGCTGTGCAAAAGAGTGTGAGCTGGCTGGGGAGGGGACAAGGGGCTGGATGGGGTTCAGGAATCCACATGAAAAAAACCCCACAAGACAAAGCAACATATCTTTGGTGAGAAGGACAAAAAATGAGATGGATAAACAAATGAGGACAGGCCAGGCATGGTGGCTCAGGCCTGTAATCCCAGGATTTTGGGACGCGGAAGCAGGCAAATCACTTGACGTCAGGAGCTCAAGACCAGCCTGGCCAACATGGCAAAACCCCACCTCTACAAAAATACAAAAATTAGCTGGGCATGGTGGCAGGTGCCTGTAATCCCAGCTGCTTGGGAGGTTGAGGCAGGACAATCGCTTGAGCCTAGGAAGTGGAGGTTGCAGTGAGCTGAGATCACACCATTGCACTTCAGCCTGGGTGACAGAGTGAGACTCCATCTCAAAAAAAAAAAAAAAGACAAAGTGAGTGATTAAACATGGCTCTAAGATCTCACCCATGCCCTCAATAGGTATTATTTAGCATGTACTGTGTCAGCTATTGCAGAGTACCTGGGAAACAACAATAAATAGGACTCCTGTCTCCTGAGCCCACAGTCCGATCAAAGAGAGAGCCAAAGAAATAACAACGGTGCCTGGCGAGAATGTTGGGGGAGCCAGGTTCCGGCTGCAACAGGGCAGAGCACGGGGAAGGTTCCCTCCGCCTGGGGCAGGCAGGGTAAACCTCCCCACAGAGGGGACAGCTATGAGGAGACTCAGATGCCAAATAGGAATCTTTTCAGCCACGTGTCGTGACTCATGCCTGTATTCCCAGTACTTTGGGAGTCCAAGACAGGAGGTGAAGACCAGCCTGATAGCGAGACTCATCTCTACAAAATATTTTAAAACTAGGCTGCACATGGTGGTGCACGCCTGTAGTCCCAGCTACTCAGGAGGCTGAGGCAGGAGAATTGCTTCAGCCCAGGAGTTCGAGGCTGCAGTGAGCTATGATGACACCACCACACTCCAGCCTGGGCAACAGAACAAGACCCTGTCAGGAAAAAAATAAAAAATAAAAAAAGGCTAGCACAGTGGATCACACCTGTTAATCCCAGAACTTTGGGAGGCCAAGGCAAAAAGATCAATTGAGTCCAGGAGTTTGAGACCAGCCTGGGCAACATAGCAAGACCCTATCTCTAAAAAAATAAAAAGAAAAGGATCTTTTAGTTGGTGATTATGGTGCCAACTTGGGCATTCCAGGCAGAAAGAATAGCTCAAGCAAGAGCAGGAGAGCAAATGAGGGCAGTGGAAACAGATCAGTGGCCAGGAGTGAGAAGAGAAGAGGATGAAAACCCAGGAGAGAGCAGAGGACACTGAGTGTCCTGACTAGGGGTTAGGACTTTGTCCTATGGGCCTGGGGGAGCCAATGACAGGACTCAAAAATTTTGATTTGTGGCCGGGCACAGTGGCTCACACCTGTAAATCCCAGCGCTTTGTGAGCCTGAGGCAGGAGGGTCACTTGATCCCAGGAATTCAAGACCAGCCCGGGGAACACAACAAGGCCCCATCTCTACAAAAGTAAAAAAATTAGCCAGGCATGGTGGCCTGTGCCTATGGTCCCAGATACTCAGGAGGCTGAGGTGGGAAGATCGCTTGGGCCCAGGAGGTTAAGGCTGCAGGGAGCAGTGATCGCACCACCGCACTCCAGCTTGGGTGACAGAGAGAGAGGCGGTCTCAAAAACACATAAAAATTTGGATTTCTTAGAAAGACCACTTGGGCACGGGTGATAGGAGGCTGTCTGGAAACAAGGCCAGTAAGGAGTCCACCTTTGAGGACCAAGCGAGTGGGGCAGAGGCCTGGCTGCTGGTGAGAAGGGAACGTGGACAGGGTAGCGGGAGGTGAGCCCAAAGCTGAAGCAAGGGGAGCACTGCAGTGGGCGCAGGGCAGGGTGGGGGAGGCAAGTGGCATCTCTGCCCAGAGAGAATACACAAGCAGAAAGTTCAACACCGCTTACCTGGTGAAGCCTTACAAGCGTTTCCACTCCATACGCGCTCTGAATAATGGGATTGTGATGTCTTACACCAATTCTCAAACTGGGCGGCCAGCTGCAGCTGAATCAACTCCAGGTGCCCGTAGTTGCGATACCAAGAGTAGTAGCTGTTCACACGGATCACATCCACATACAGAGCCTAGGACCAGAGCAGCAGAGCCCGTTCAGCAACCACAAGACCGCATGACTCAGTACTCACATGCTGTGGGGGCTCCTCTGACAGAGAAGGTAAGAAGGGGATGTAATCCCAGCACTCTGGGAGGCTGAGGCAGGAGGGTGGCTTGTGGCCAGGAGTTCGAGACCAGCCTGGGCAACACAGCAAGACCCCAGCTCTACAAAAAATAGTATCAAGAAAATCAGCACGGCACAGTGGCTCATGCCTGTAATCCCAGCACATTGGGAGGCCAAGGTGGGAGGATCACTTGAGCCCAGGAGTTTGAGACCAGCCTGGGCAACATCGTAGGACTCCATTTCTACAAAACAAAACAAAAAGCCTACAACGGGAAGAGCTGCCTCTCGGGGCTGAGAACATCCAACTGCACCAATTTAGATCCTGAAATTACCCTGCCCCACAAGCAAAAAACATGGTCACAAAGTGGCCCAAAGGAGGCAGGCCTGTGATTGCACACTGACGCTCACGACGTGTGCAGCTGGGAAGGGCTGTGAGAGGCAGAGCAGCTGCCAACACGCAGTCCTCAGCCAAAACCCAGGGCCCCCGCCACTGGAACTGACTCCTCTCCAGGCAGCACTCCCAGCACTGGGCATCCCCTCACCTTGCCCTGGAGAAGCCCTCCCACCCAAGGGGCCAATGCAGTCATTCTCGCAGATAATCTTTTTCCGCTTTGTTTGGAAGACAGAGTCTCGCTCTGTTGCCCAGGCTAGAATGGAGTGGCACAATAATGCAACCTCTGCCTCCCACGATCAAGCGCAGGCGTGGTGGCATGTGCCTGTTATCCCAGCTACTTGGGAGGCTGAGGCAGGAGAATTGCTTGAACCTGGGAGGCGGAGGTTGCACTGAGCTGAGACTGTGCCACTGCACTCCAGCCTGGGCAACAGAGCAAGACTCTATCTTAAAAAAATAATAAAAAATAAAAAAGAATGCTAGTATCAGCCAGGCACGGTGGCTCATGCCTGTAATCCCAGCACTTTAGGAGGCTAAGGCAGGAGGATCACTTGAGCTCAAGAGTTTGAGACTGGCCTGGGCAACATAGTGAGATCCCATCTCTACAAAAACATTTAAAATTAGCCGGGCACAGTGGTGTACACCCGGAGTCCCAGCTACTTGGAAGGCTGAGGCAAGAGGGTTGCTTAGGCCCAGGAATTCAAGGCTGCAGTGAGCTGTGATCACACCACTGCACTCCAGCCAGAGCAACAGAGTAAGACCTTGCCTTCACACACACACACAAAAAAACATAAAACTCAGGTTCCAACCCTGGAGTTACTAAATCAGGATCTCAGAACGCAGAGATCTGGCATTTCAATAAAACTTCCCCTGGAGATTCTGATCAGCCAGGTTTGGGCCAGATGAACTCTAAGCTCACTTAAACCTTTGACATTTTATGAGTCTATTAAATCGAGTACAAAAAATGCTGAGTCCAAACCGGGCAAACAAATCCCATCTCCCTATGCCCAGCCTCCTTGGATTCAGAAAGCCACACTGCCTGGAGAGTAAGCAGAGAGAGAATTGTCATTAACCCAAAGACCATCTTTGAAAACAGACTGGCTGCGGCTGAGTGCGGTGGCACACGCCTGTAACCCCAGCCCTTTGGAAGGCCGAGGCAGGAGGATCACTTGAGCCCAGGAGTTCGAGACCAGCCTGGGCAACATGGCAAGACCCTGTCTCTATCTTTCTAAGTAAAACAAAATAAAAAGCTCAGACTGGCAGCACATGGTTCTTTCCAGCTGTTCCCATGAGCAGGCTTCAGGACAAGCCCAGGCAAAGGCAGGGAGAAATGGGGTGGGGACCCCCAGGCTCACCCCCTTGTCTGCTGCGTAGGTGGAGTTGGTCACAAAGGTCACAGGCTGGGAGGGGTCCAAGGCTTTGGTGTGAGCAATCACCATCCTGTCCACAAAAGAGAGAAGACACAGGTTCCGTCAGTCCGGGAAAGGCTCAGACACCCTCCCATCCTCTCTGTCCCATCTTCCCCTGCCAGAACACAACTGGGGGCCAGGCACGATGGCTCACGCCTGTAATCCCAGCACTTCAGGAGGCTGAGGCAGGCAGATCACTGAGGTCAGGGGTTCAAGAACCGCCTGGCCAACATGGCAAAACCCCATTTCTACTAAATATACAAAAATTAGCCAGGCATAGTGGCACGCATCTGTAACTCCAGCTACTCGGGAGGCTGAGGCACAAGAATTGCTTGAACCCGGGAGGTGGAGGTTGCAGTGAGCCGAAATCACGCTACTGCACTCCAGCCTGGGCCACAGAGCAAGACCCTGCCCCAAAACAAACAAACAAACAAACAAACAAAAAAAAAAAAAAGAAAGAAAAAAAAGGAAAAAAAAAAAAAAACAAAGCACAGAGCCGCTGCTTTCTTCCCTAACTTGAGATGTATTTTACATAAGGGCACGTTCCTCTAGTCCTAGACCGAGCTCTCTAACAACACTCTTTCTCCCCCACCCCTGAATCCAACTCCCCCAGAGGCGTAGCCACCCTGCCGGGTACACAGAGCTGAGGTCACTGGACTGAACACTGCCAGAAATGAGGTTCACTTCCTGAAATAGCTCTTGAACACAGGAGTGAATGGGCTGTGGATTCAGGTGGAATATTTATTAATGCATCAAGCAAACAGGTAGTGCGAGGTGGGAGGTAGGCATGAGGCTGGGTGCTAGGTGCTCAGTAATGACTCAAATCTAAGTCCACAGGTCCTGGGCAGTGGGAGTGGAGATGCATGCACAGAAAAACGGTGCAAGTGCCAGGCGAGGTGGCTCACGCCTAGAACCCCAGCACTTTGGGAGGCTTACTTGAGACCAGGCGCTTGAGACCAGCCTGGACAACATAGCAAGACCTTGTTTCTACAACAAATTTAAAAATTAGGGCCGGGCATGGTGGCTCAAGCCTGTGAGCACTTTGGGAGGCCAAGGCAGGTGGATCACGAGCTCAAGAGTTCGAGACCAGCCTGGCCAACATGGTGAAACCCCATCTCAACAAAAAATAAAGAAGAAAACTAGCTGGGCATGGTGGCGTGAGCCTGTAATCCCAGCTACTCGGGAGGGTGAGGCAGGAGAACTGTTTGTACCCAGGAGGTAGAGGATGCAGTGAGCCAAGATCGCAACACTGCTCTCCAGCCTGGGAGACAGAGCAAGACTCTGACTCGTGGGGAAAAAAAAAATATTAAAATTTAGCCTGGCAAGGCAGCGCACGTCTGTGGTCCCAGCTATTTGGGAGGCTGAGTGGGGAGGATCGCTTAAGCCCAGGAGGTCGAGATGGCAACGAGCTATGATTGCACCACTGCACTCCAGCCTGGGCAACAGAGTGAGACCCTGACTCTGAAAAACAAACAATGAAAGAAATGTTGCGAATGGAAATGACAAGTGGTGGCAGGAATTGGGCACTCTATGAGACAACAGACACATCCCCGATTGGAGAGTCAGGGACAGGCTCTTAGAAGAAATGGCCTTTATGCTGAGTCAAGTTAACCAGGAGGGATGAAGGGAAGAGGCTCCCAACAGAGGGACCAGTCCGTGCTCAGAGCTCCCAGCATCTGCCCAAGGCCTCCACAGAACAGACTGTTGTGTTTTTGTTTTGTTTTGTTTTGTTGAGATACAGAGTCTCATTCTGTAGCCCAGGCTGGAATGCAGTGGCATTATCTCAGCTCATTGCAATCTCTGCCTCCTGGTTCACCTGAGGCGATTCTCCTGCCTCAGCCTACCTGGTAGCTGGGATTACAGACGTCCACCACCATGCCCAGCTAATTTTTGTATTTTTAGTAGAGACAGGATTCACTACCTGTTGACCAGGCTGGTCTCGAACTCCTGACCTCGGGTGATCCACCCACCTCAGCCTCCCAAACTGCTGGGATTACAGGCGTGACCCACCGCATCCGGCCTAGACCGTTGTTGAAGCTGGTTTTCTTCTTCTTTCCTCAGTTCTTTTCTTTTACATCTTCCCCCCATCATTGCTCTGCCCATCCGAAGGCTGTGGCTGGCACAGGACAGAATAGAACCTCCTAGCCTCAAGTTCCAAACCCACACTCTCCAATAGCCAGGCTCTCAGATGGGAAGCTTCAAAGCCTTGTGACAGCCTGGCTGAACCTCTCCAGCCTGGGCCCTCCCTCCATTTCCTGCCCCGGAAACAGGCATCTCCTCTGGCCACCTCCCAAAGCCTGTCTGGAAGCCTCAGGCACCCGCTCCTGGAAGCCTGTACGATTCACAACAAACGGCCTGTCCACCCAGTCGTGCTGAGCACACCCCTATTCCCCCGAGCTCTGAACTGTCCTTTGCCCAGGCTAGGACAACATCTCAGAGCCTTCTGCCTGCTGCAGACTCGGCTCAGCCCAAATCACTCCATGAAATTGGGGTGTGGCATCTGCCTCAAGGAGCATTTCTACAACCTCTGCTGCCTCTACCGCAAATGAAACTGGCTCTCACCCACTGGCTCTCGGTGACGGGCACAGTGCGGAGCCCCACAGGGAGTGTGTAGAAGTCAAAGGCCCCAGTGACTTCTGTGCAGTCAGCCGCACCTACGACAGCCAAAGCGCCAGGTGTGAGCGCCCCGACAGCCTGAGCCCCATCTGGCCTGCCCTACAGCAGGAAGACCCCTCGTGCATGCACCCCAGAAGTCGCCACTGGGCCTGCAGAGAAGCAGCAATCAGAGGCTCTGCCCTTCACTGGCTGACCCTGGGACCTGCCCTTCAAAATCAGGCCTTCTCCTTGACCAGACGAGGTGGCTCATGCCTGGAATCCCTACACCTTGGGAGGCTAAGGCAGGAGGATCACCTGAGTCCAGGAGTTCAAGACCAGCCTGGGCAACCTAGTAAGACCCCAACTCTATAAAAAGGAGTTTTTTTTTTGAGACAGTCTCACTCTGTCACCCAGGATAGAGTGCTGCGGCATGATCTCAATTCACCGCGGCCCCTGCCTCCTGGGTTCAAGCAATTCCCCTGCCTCAGCCTCCCGAGTAGCTGGGATTACAGACGTGCACCATCATGCCCTGCAAATTTTCATATTTTAGTAGAGACGGGGTTTCACCATGTTGGCCAGGCTGGTCTCCAACTCCTGGCCTAAAGTGATCTGCCCGCGTCAGCCTCCCGAAGTGCTGGGATTACAGGTGTGAGCCACCATGCCCGGCCTACAAAAAAAATTTTTTTAATTAGCCAGGCATGGTGGCATGTGCCTGTAGTCCCAGCTACTCAGGAGGCCAAGGTAGGAGGATTGCAGCTCAAAGCTGCAGTGAGCTGTGATCAGGCCATTGCATTCCAGCCTGGGTGACAGAGTGAGACCATCACAAAAACAAACAAACAAACAAATAAATAAATAAATAAATAAATAAATAAAAAATCTGGGCCTCCCACCAAGGGTGGGAAACATCAGAAAGCTCAGAGGACCACACCTGCCCGTTCACCTGTCCTGGGCTCCTGCTGAAGCCAGGGCTACCAGATGGGGGCAAAAGACCTCCCTTACGCAAGTCCCAAACCACCATTACCTCCCACGAGTACAGGTAGGCGGGGTGTTCGTGCATCAGGTACGGCCACCAGAGGTTGGCACCCAGCACCTTCAGCTGGCCCTGGGTCCCAGCCTGGTTGTCCACGACTTTGTTTTCTGCATTCAAAAGACACACTTCCAACTTGAACTGGTTACTGCACTTGACGGAGATCTGGTAATTCACCAGCCCTGCAGGAGGCAAGAGAGACCAGGGCTTAGGGAGGGACATGACCTGGGTCACACAAACGGGAAGGCCCCACAATGACCACTCCCAGGCACTCTCATTTGCTTCTGTTGCTTTTTTTTTTTTTCTTTGAGATAGAATCTCGCTCTGTCACCCAGGCTGGAGTGCAGTGGCATGATCTGGACTCACTGAAACCTCTGCCTCCCAGGTTCAAGTGATTCTCCTGCCTCAGCCTCTGGAATAGCTGGGATTACAGGCACCTGCCACCACATCCAGCTAATTTTTGTATTGTTAGTAGAGACGGGGTTTCACCACATTAGCCAGGATGGTCTTGATCTCCTGACCTCGTGATCCGCCTGCCTCGGCCTCCCAAAGTGCTGGGATTACAGGCTTGAGCCACCGTGCCCGGCCCTGAACCAATGCGCCCAGCCCGCTTTTAATTTAATTTTTTAATTTTTTTTTTTTTTTTTTTTTTTTTTTTTGAGATGGAGTCTCACTGTCACCCAGGCTGGAGTGTAGTGCTGCGATCCTGACTCGCTGCAACCTCCACCTCTGGAGTTCAGGTGATTCTCCTGCCTCAGCCTTCCGAGTACCTGGGAATACAGGAATGCACCACCATGCCCGGCGAATTTTTCTATTTTCAGTAGAGACGGAGTTTTGCCATGTTGGCCAGGCTGGTCTCGAACTCCTGAACTCAGGTGATCCACCCGCCTCAGTCTCCCAATAGATTAGATATATTATTAATGAATTGCTTCCTTTAACACCCTATTCATTGAATTTTCCAGTAAACCACAATTACTAATTACTCCTGAAATCAGAAAAGAGGTTAAAAAGATTTTATAACAGTATCCTATGAAATCTACTACTTTCAAGTAATAGTAGTTGAATTACCAAAACCCGTCACTCAAGCCAATGACTACAATTAAGATATGAGTAACATTTCCTAGATAAATAAAGTCAATTAATTATATTTGCATCTGGGAAATAGAGAAAGTACATATAAGCCATGATTTTGAAGTCAAAAGAGAGAGAATATTTGCCAAGGAGGGGTGAGTTATAGTATGTAATTATAACATACAGAAGTTTTTTGTATGCTGGTAACTAATTTTAATTTCCTACATTTTTATGTAGATTTCTGCTATTCTTGTCCTATTTTCCTAATCATCTTTCTATATGAATGACTACATAATTCTGAGAATACCAAAAGAGACAGACACAGAACCAATCGGATTCCTTTCTTCTTGAAGCTTCTGCACAGCAAAAGAAACTATCAACAGAGTGAACAGACAACCTACAGAATGGGAGAAAATTTTTGCAACAATGCATGTGACAAAGATCTAATGTCCAACACTGATAAGGAACTTAAACAAATTTACAAGAAAAAAAAAATCTCATTAGAAAGTGGGCACAGGACATAAACAGACACTTCAAAAGAAGACACACATGCGGCCAACAAGCATATGAGAAAAAGCTCAATATCACTGATCATTAGAGAAATGCAAATCAAAACCACAATGGCATACCATCTCACACCAGTCAGTATGGTTATTATTAAGAAGTCAACGCTGGGCATGGTGGCTCACGCCTATAATCCCAGCACTTCAGGAGGCCAAGGCAGGCAGATCGCATGAGGTCAGGAGTTCCAGACCAGCCTGGACAACCTGGCGAAACCCCGTCTCTACTAAAAATACAAAAATTAGCCCAGCGTGGTGGCGGGTGCCTGTAATCCCAGCTACTCAGGATGCTGAGGCAGGAGAATCGCCTGAACCCGGGAGGCAGAGGTTGTAGTGAGCCGAGATCATACCACTGCACTCTCCAGCTTAGGTGACAGAGCGAGACTCTGTCTCAAAAAAAAAAAAAAATATTTGAATTTTGTTTAAATCGCTAACACATACTGGGCATTTAATAACAAAAAAAAAAGGACATGAGATTGTGATCCTTATGAAGGTTTGAGAGGCATTTCACTAGGGTTCAACATACAGCAGTCTGAAACATACTGTAATAATTTAATCCAATGGCTCATCTACAGCACCTAAAAAGATTACAGCAGATTCTCATTATTCAGTGTAGTTACGATCTACAAAGTTCCATGAACAAATAAAAAGTTAGGTTTCAGCAAGCTACTGGTCACACTTTTGTAAGCTTACCAACACCTACTTTTGTTGTATGTGTGCTTATTTAATATATATTGTTGGCCAGGCACAGTGGCTAACGCCTGTAATCCCAGCACTTTGGGAAGCCAAGGCGGGCAGATCATTTGAGGTCTGGAGTTCGAGACCAGCCTGGCCAACGTGGTGAAACCCCGTCTCTACTAAAACTACAAAAAAAAAAAAAAAAAAAAAAAATTAGCCAGGCATGGTGGCGCATGCCTGTAGTCTTAGCTACTTGGGAGGCTAAGGCAGGGGAATCGCTTGAACCCAGGAGGCAGAGGTTGCAGTGAGCCAAGACTGCACCACTGCACTCCAGCCTGAGCAACAGAGTGAGACTCTATCTCAAAAAAAATAATAATAATAATTAATTAAATGAAGAATAAATAAATAATATACATTGTTCATTCATTAACATTGAACTCACAGCCAACGGCACTACAGCACTCACGCCTGAATGGAGTTTATTTAATGCATGTATTTTCTCTGTAAGACACATCACAGACTTCTTGGACTTGTGAATGCTAAGCAGCACTTCAGCACTATGCTTGGGGGTTAATTTAAATGGCAAAACAACCAACAAACAGCACAAAAACAGGAAAAGCATGGCATTAAATAGACCACAAAAAGGATACCTGACTATTGTATGAGAGCTGAAAAAGAAGGCAGAATATCATCCTGTTCAAACTCAAATTCTTTGACACTCTGCGCAAACACATGACTATGAAAGTGCTGTGAGTACTGATTTGGGGGTTACAAAAAATAGTAGGTGAGTTCACAAATACAAAAGCTGAAAACAAGGAGGATCGACTGTATTTTCGTAGACAATCTAATCTCAGAAGATTTCAGTTCAGACAAAAATCATGATAATTACTGTATTACAAAAGGGCACTAGATAGGGGGAAAAGAGTAAAAATCACAATTAAAACAAAGGTTCAAAATTCTGCAGCAACCATATCCAGTTACACTTTAATATGTTTGTGGCAGACTACATTATTGTTCCCAACTCATCACCCCTCCCTATATCTAAAACCTTTCCCCAAGACAATGCAGTTCCTCCTGCTAGAGATCAGGTATATTTATCTATACTATCAATGTTAGCCATGGACAAGGTATGTGCTTTGGCTGACTGAATGTTAGTGGACATGAGAGAAGCAATGGCTTAAAATGTACTTCCAGAACTGGAGTTTCCTTGTGATTCTATCACTGTGACAAAAACACATTCTCAGGTAGTCCACTGATCCAAGGGGGAACAAACACACAGAAAACATACCTAGACTCTATCTGCAGCTTGCAGCCTCACCAAGCCAAGAACAGTCAACTCACAGATATGTTAGCAAAAATAAATGTTTTTCATACCTTAAGTTTTATATAATTATTGACCTACAGTTAACTGATATACAATATACATTAATCTTAAAATATCATTATCCCATTAAAAATACTTACATTAAAAACTGAGACCACTTTCTTTCCTTTTTTTTTTTTTTTTTTTAAATTAAGAGACAGGGTGTCTCAATGTTGCCCAAGCTGGAGTTCAGTGGCTAGTGGCTATTCACAAGAACGATCATCGCACACTACCTCAAACTCCTGGGATCAAGCAATCCTCCTGCCTCAGCTTTCCAAGTCGCTGGGACTATAAGTGTGTACCACAGCATGTCAGCTCTCTCTCTCCTTCTTGACCTAAAGCCTAGCATAAAATTAGCTAAGTAGAATGTTTCCAAAGATGCCTGCATCAGTATCTCCCATCCCACATAATTTCTGTTTGATTTTGCCATTCACCCATAAAATGGTGGGATCTACCTCCCCTCCTTGCAAATTTGAGCTGGCCCTCTGATCCTGTCTAAGATCTGAAGCCAGATATTAAGGTACTTCATTAATTTCCATGTTTGTCCTCTATGCAACCTAGCAATCAAGCAAGAAGTCAAAACATACTGACATAGTTTGGATGGGTCCCCACCCAAATCTCACCTTGCATTGTAATAATTCCCACGTGTCAAGGGTGGGGCCGGGTGCAGATAACTGAATCATGGGGATGGTTCCCCCCATACTGTTCTCGCGGTAGTGACTAAGTCTCATGAGATCTGATGGTTTTATAAATGGGAGCTCCCCTGCACATGCTCTCTCCTGCCTGCCACTATGTGAGACATGCTTTTGCACCTCCTTGCCTTCCACCATGATTGTGAGGCCTCCCCAGCCATGCAGAACTGTGAGTCAATTCAACCTCTTTCCTTTATAAATTACCCAGTCTCAGGTATGTCTTTATTTGCGGTGTGAGAACAGACTAATACAATAAGTTGATACCAGTAGAGTGGGGTGCTGCTGTAAAGATACCCGAAAATGTGGAAGCAACTTTGGAAATGGGTAACAGGGAGAGGCTGGAACAGTTTGGAAGGCTCAGAAGAGGATAGGAAAATGTGGGAAAGTTTGGAACTTCCTAGAGACTTGTTGAATGGCTTTGACCAAAATGTTAATAGTGATATGGACAACAAGGTCCAGGCGGAGGTGGTCTCAGAGGGAGATGAGGAATTTGTTGGGAAATGGAGTAAAGTCACTCTTACTATGCAAAGACACTGCAGGCATTGTGCACCTGTATTAGAAACGGGCATAAGATAGGCGGGAAAGAGGGAAAATAAGAATTTCTTTCTAGAGTTCCCTACAGATCTGTGGAACTTTGAACTTGAGAGAGATGATTTAAGGTATCTGACAGAAGAAATTTCTAAGCAGCAAAGCATTCGAGAAGAAGCAGAGCATAAAAGTTCAGAAAATTTGTAGCCTGATGATGCAACAGAAAAGAAAAATCTATTTTCTCAGGAGACTGGGTTGTAGAAATTTGCATAAGTAATGAGGAGCCAAATGTTAATCACCAAGACAATGGGGCAAATGTCTCCAGGGCATGTTAGAGACCCTCACAGCAGACCCTCCCATCACAGGCCAGGAGGCTTAGAAGGAAAAATGGTTTTGTGGGTCCAGAACCCCCTGCTGTGTGCAGCCTAGGAACTTGGGGCCCTGCATCCCAGCTGCTCCTGCCATAGGTAAAAGGGGCCAAGGTACACCTCAGGCCATGGCTTCAGAGGGTGCAAGTTCCAAGCCTTTCAGGTTCTAGGTGGTGTTAAGCCTGCAGATGCACCAAAGTCAAGAATTAACGTTCATGAACCTCCGCCTACATTTCAGAAGATGTATGAAAATGCCTGGAAATCCAGGCAAAAGTTTGCTGTGGGGGGGAGGGGAGGGGGGGGCCCTCATGGATAACCTCTGCTAGGGCAGTGTCAAAGGGAAATATGGGGTTGGAGCTCCCACACAGAGTCCCCACTGGGGTACTGCCAAGCAGAGCTGTGAGAAAAGGGCCACCATCCTCCAGACCCCAGAATGGTAGATCCACTGACAGCTTGCACTGTGTGCCTGGAAAAGCTGCAGACACTCAATGCAGCCAGAAGGGGGGCTGTACCCTGCAAAGCCACAGGGGCGGGGCTGCCCAAGACCCTGGGAACCCACTTCTTGCATCACCTAGATGTGACACATGGAGTCAAAGGAGGTCATTTTGGAGCTTTAAGATTTGCCTGCTGGGTTTTGGACTTGCATGGGGCCTGTAGCTCTTTCGCTTTGGCCAATTTCTCCCATTTGAAACGAGTGTATTTACCCAATGCCTGTATCCCTGTGTATCTAGAAAATAACTAACTTGCTTTTGATTTTACAGGCTCATAGGTGGAAGGGACTTGCCTTGTCTCAGATGAGACTTTGGACTATGGAATTTTGAGTTAATGCTGAAATAAGAGTTTGGGGGACTTAGGGGAAGGCATGATTGCTTTTGAAATATGAGGACATGAGATTTGGGAGGGGCCGGGGAAGAATTATATGGTTTGGCTCTGTCCGCACCCAAATCTCATCTTGAATTGTAACAATTCCCATGTGTCAAGGGTGGGGCCAGGTGGAGATAACTGAATCATGGAGGCAGTTTCCCCCATGCTGTTCTCATGGTAGTGAATAAGTCTCATGAGGTCTGATGGTTTTATAAATGGATGTTCCCCTGCACATGCTCTCTCCTGCCCACCATGTCTGACTAAATTTTGTATTTTTACTAGAGACGGGCTTTCACTATGTTGGCCAGGCTGGCCTCCAACTCCTGATCTCGTGATCCGTCCACCCCGACCTCCCAAAGTGCTAGGATCATAGGCATAAGCCACCACACCCGGCCTCTTTTTTTTCTTTTTCTTTTTTTTATCTGGAGACTGAGTTTTGCACTCGTTGCCCAGGCTGGAGTGCAATGGTGCGATCTCAGCTCACTGCAGTCTCCACCTCAGCAGGAGAGCAGGAATCTTCAGTGATCCACGGGCAAATATGCAGCCATTGTGGGCACCTGTTCCTCCCGCGACCTTTGTGCCCACGTCTCTCCCTCCAGTACCTACTGCACGACCCCCCACGTCCGCCTCCTGCCATTGCCAGCAGGTGCCTTGCGCGGGTACCTGGCTGCGCTTATTCATCCATTATGGTCGCTCTGTCACTGGTGCCATTATGTGCTCACATGCCCACTCCCTCAGGTTTAGAAGTCGCGTTGCCCGGCAACAGAACAATCTGCTGGCTTAGCCTTTGGCCAAGTTGGCAGCTGGACGAGGACGCTCAGAGCCCAGCTCTTGAGAGTTCAAGTATCCGACAGTTCCCCACTGCTCCCAGGAGCGGTTACCCGGGCACTCTGTGCCCCTCATTCCTGTTTGGGCCAAGGCCGAGGACCTGCGAGTAGGGCTCAGTTGCCTGGAGCCCCTTCAGCCCATCCCCCAGTTCACTTTGCTTGTGGGATCTCCCCGTTGCTCCTGCCCCTGGACTGAGTGGCAAGCCATCCTACAAACACCCGGACACTCGACATCACTGGTGTCAAGACAACTCTAAGAAGGTTTTCCGTGATCCTGCAAGACCTGTGTTCCATCCTGGTGATTCTGTCTTCAATTTCACTGCACAGGTACCACAGTAAGCCAGTGCTGTGTGCTCTGAGTTCCAGGGCATCCCCCAGCTCAGCCACTACACTGAGCACAAGGACTCTGTGGGGCCCAGGAGCAGGTAGTCACCCCTTTGGGGTCCACAACACCTGGCGGTCCCCAGACTTGTGTCCAGGGAAGATAGTGTTGAGGGCCCTCAAGGAGAGCGGGGCAGGGATGCCTGAGCAGGACAAGGACCCCAGAGTCCAAGAAAATCCTGATGATCAGAGAACGGTCCCCGAGGTCACCGGGGATGCACGGTCTGCATTTTGGCCCCTGCGGGACAATGGAGGCCCCTCTCCCTTTGTGCCCAGGCCCGGGCCTCTGCAGACAGACCTCCACGCCCAGAGCTCAGAAATCAGACATCCTGGACGAGCTCGAGCACCAAACGAAATGCCATCTCCAGCTCCTACAGCTCCACGGGAGGCTTGCCGGGGCTAAAGCAGAGGAGGGGGCCAGCCTCATCCCGCTGCCAGCTGACCCTCAGTTACTCAAAGACAGTGAGTGAGGACAGGCCTCAGGCTGTCTCTTCGGGTCACACACGGTGTGAAAAGGGGGCAGATACAGCACCAGGGCAGACAATCGCCCCAACGGGTGGCTCCCCCAGATCCCAGGACTCTAGGCCCCGTAGACGCAAGATTCCCCTGCTGCCACGCAGGCGAGGGGAGCCTTTGATGCTGCCACCTCCCTTAGAGCTGGGGTACCGGGTCACGGCTGAAGACCTGCACCTGGAAAAAGAGACGGCATTCCAGCGCATCAACAGTGCACTGCACGTTGAGGACAAGGCCATCCCGGACTGCAGACCCTCACGGCCTTCCCACACTTTGTCCTCACTTGCAACAGGGGCTTCGGGTGGGCCTCCCGTTTCTAAAGCACCCACTATGGATGCACAGCAGGACAGACCCAAGTCCCAAGACTGCCTGGGCCTAGTGGCCCCCCTAGCATCTGCTGCAGAGGTCCCCGCTACAGCTCCCGTGTCTGGGAAGAAGCACAGACCACCAGGACCCCTGTTCTCCTCCTCAGATCCCCTTCCTGCCAACTCTTCCCACTCCCGGGACTCAGCCCAGGTCACCTCGATGATTCCTGCCCCCTTCACAGCTGCAAGCAGGGATGCCGGCATGAGAAGAACAAGGTCGGCTCCTGCAGCTGCCGCAGCAGCCCCTCCCCCCTCCACATTGAACCCCACGTCGGGGTCACTACTCAATGCAGTGGATGGAGGCCCCTCACATTTCTTGGCCTCAGCCACAGCTGCAGCACGTGCCCAGAGGTCAGAAGTGAGATATAACCAGAGATCCCAGACCTCCCGGACCAGATCGTGCCTCAAACGAAATGCCAGCTCCAGCTCCCACAGCTCTACGGAAGGCCTCCAGGAAGTAAAGCGGAGGAGGGGGCCAGCCTCATCCCACTGCCAGCTGGCCCTCAGTTCCTCAAACACAGTGAGTGAGGACGGACCTCAGGCTGTCTCTTCGGGTCACCGCTGTGAAAACAAGGCAGGTACAGCACCAGGGCAGACACTTGCCCCCAGGGGTGGCTCCCCCAGATCCCAGGCCTCTAGGCCCCACATCAACACTGCACTGCACGTTGAGGACAAGGCCATCTCGGACTGCAGACCCTCACGGCCTTCCCACACTTTGTCCTCACTTGCAACAGGGGCTTCGGGTGGGCCTCCCGTTTCTAAAGCACCCACTATGGATGCACAGCAGGACAGACCCAAGTCCCAAGACTCCCTGGGCCTACTGGCCCCCCTAGCATCTGCTGCAGAGGTCCCCTCTACAGCTCCCGTGTCTGGGAAGAAGCACAGACCACCAGGACCCCTGTTCTCCTCCTCAGATCCCCTTCCTGCCACCTCTTACCACTCCCGGGACACAGCACAGGTCACCTCGCTGATTCCTGCCACCTTCACAGCTGCAAGCAGGGATGCCGGCATGAGAAGAACAAGGTCGGCTCCTGCAGCTGCCACAGCAGCCCCTCCCCCCTCCACATTGAACAACACGTCGGGGTCACTACTCAATGCAGTGGATGGAGGCCCCTCACATTTCTTGGCCTCAGCCACAGCTGCAGCACGTGCCCAGAGGTCAGAAGTGAGATATAACCAGAGATCCCAGACCTCCCGGACCAGATCCTGCCTCAAACGAAATGCCAGCTCCAGCTCCAGCTCCCACAGCTCTACGGAAGGCCTCCAGGAACTAAAGCGGAGGAGGGGGCCAGCCTCATCCCACTGCCAGCTGGCCCACAGTTCCTCAAACACAGTGAGTGAGGACGGACCTCAGGCTGTCTCTTCGGGTCACCGCTGTGAAAACAAGGCAGGTACAGCACCAGGGCAGACACTCGCCCCCAGGGGAGGCTCCCCCAGATCCCAGGCCTCTAGGCCCCACATCAACAGTGCACTGTACGTTGAGGACAAGGCCATCTCGGACTGCAGACCCTCACGGCCTTCCCACACTTTGTCCTCACTTGCAACAGGGGCTTCGGGTGGGCCTCCCGTTTCTAAAGCACCCACTATGGACGCACAGCAGGACAGACCCAAGTCCCAAGACTGCCTGGGCCTAGTGGCCCCCCTAGCATCTGCTGCAGAGGTCCCCTCTACAGCTCCCGTGTCTGGGAAGAAGCACAGACCACCAGGACCCCTGTTCTCCTCCTCAGATCCCCTTCCTGCCACCTCTTCCCACTCCCGGGACTCAGCCCAGGTCACCTCGCTGATTCCTGCCACCTTCACAGCTGCAAGCAGGGATGCCGGCATGAGAAGAACAAGGCCTGGCACCTCGGCTCCTGCAGCTGCCGCAGCAGCCCTTCCCCCCTCCACATTGAACCCCACGTCGGGGTCGCTACTCAATGCAGTGGATGGAGGCCCCTCACATTTCTTGGCCTCAGCCACAGCTGCAGCACGTGCCCAGAGGTCAGAAGTGAGATATAACCAGAGATCCCAGACCTCCCGGACCAGATCCTGCCTCAAACGAAATGCCAGCTCCAGCTCCCACAGCTCTACGGAAGGCCTCCAGGAACTAAAGCGGAGGAGGGGGCCAGCCTCATCCCACTGCCAGCTGGCCCACAGTTCCTCAAACACAGTGAGTGAGGACGGACCTCAGGCTGTCTCTTCGGGTCACCGCTGTGAAAACAAGGCAGGTACAGCACCAGGGCAGACACTCGCCCCCAGGGGTGGCTCCCCCAGATCCCAGGCCTCTAGGCCCCGCATCAACAGTGCACTGCACGTTGAGGACAAGGCCATCTCGGACTGCAGACCCTCACGGCCTTCCCACACTTTGTCCTCACTTGCAACAGGGGCTTCGGGTGGGCCTCCCGTTTCTAAAGCACCCACTATGGATGCACAGCAGGACAGACCCAAGTCCCAAGACTGCCTGGGCCTACTGGCCCCCCTAGCATCTGCTGCAGAGGTCTCCTCTACAGCTCCCGTGTCTGGGAAGA
Source organism: Homo sapiens (assembly GCF_000001405.40). Classification (NCBI taxonomy): domain Eukaryota; kingdom Metazoa; phylum Chordata; class Mammalia; order Primates; family Hominidae; genus Homo; species Homo sapiens. The sequence goes on from NT_187651.1 coordinate 744,303, forward strand.
AGCACAGACCACCAGGACCCCTGTTCTCCTCCTCAGATCCCCTTCCTGCCACCTCTTCCCACTCCGGGGACTCAGCCCAGGACACCTCGCTGATTCCTGCCCCCTTCACACCTGCAAGCAGGGATGCCGGCATCAGAAGAATGTTTCGTGTTCGAAATTGTTTGAGGGGTTTGGGTTTATTTTTGTTGGTTTTTTCTTTTTTTTTTTTGCTTACGTGGGCATCCTTCAGCTTTTAATAATCTGAAAAATTCTATTTACCCATTGTCAATGTGTATAAATTAATCTCAGTCAATTTTATACAATAAAAGGTGAACTTTTATCCATCAAACAATAATTTAACAAAAAATGTACCGGAAGAAGAATGTTCATTACAAATATAGGAAACATAAATATTACCAAATATTGGCAAGCACTAAAATGTTCAGAAATATAAGTCTATTACAGTTATAGCTCTCTCAAGCGAAAAAACAGCAGAGAAAAACTTAGTTTTCCTGAGGGGCTATTTATTTACTTAGGGATTTGTTAAAAGGTCAAATGGGGTCACACAGAATACTAAGAAGAGCTGTTCACCCAGGCCTCACTAAGAACTCTTCTTCATGCAGTAGCTATATAGTAATATGACAACTGCTCCTACGACCCAAAGAGGAACTACAGCAACTACTCTTTAGCATCTGTTGCTCCCAACTCTGCTTTGCAATTATATGACTCAAGCATTCTGGCTCCGTTAACTATTACTGCTGTTACTCCCAAGTAAATTCCCTCTAAAAAATAAAAATTTTTAAAGCTGTAATTTAAGCTCTCTGCTGCCTCATGACTTCAATTCCATCAGAGTTACGCATTGTTTCCTCTGTACATCTTTGCTCTGCTTCCATTGCTAATTCCCTAGTAAAGTGTTGTATATTCAAAGTTCCAAAGAAACAGAATATCCAAGACATCACCAATCATCCAAAACACAGTGTAGGAGGCCACAGTTAAGAGAAGCAACACCATTAGCTCTTTTTATAGGCTCGAGAACAACAGGATGCTTTGGTCCTGTATCAGCAGGACGCTTTTTGGGTAGATCCTACTGCCACCCTACTATCGGGTAGATCCTACTGTCACCCTAGCTATGGGCACATGTCAGAGTCCCATGTAATAAAGGAGACAAAAGGAAACCACCACGAGTATAAACTAAGAAAAGTACTCCAAGGTTTCTAAGAATGGAGCTGTATAACTCACTTTGCCCCATTTGTTACTTCTCCACGGTACTTACCACCACCTATTACATATATTTTGTTTATAGTCAGTCTTCCCCCATTAGAATGAAAGTTCCGTGAGGATAGGACTATACAGTCAGCCCTCAGTATCCATGGGGGACTGGTTTCAGGATCTCCTGAGGGTAACAAAGGATACTCAAGTCCCTGATATAAAATGACATAGTATTTGCACATCACCTTTGCACATCCTCCCATATACTTCATATCAACTCTAGATCACTCATAATATCCGATGTAAATGTCATGCAAATAGTTATTGTACTATATTGTGTAAGGAATAAGGACAAGAAAAAAGTCTGTACATGTTCAGTACAGACGCAATTTTTTTTTCCAATATTTCCAATCCTTGGTTGCCTTAACGGATGTAGAACCCAGGAATAAGTTCTGGTGTCCTATTGCATAGTAGGAAGAGTATAGTTAACAATAACATATTATATATTTGAAAATAGCCAGAAGAGTAGATTTTGAATTTTCTCCCTACAGAAAAATCATTATGCAAATTACCCTGATTTGATCATTACACATTGAGTACATGTATTAAAACATCACATTCTACCCCATATATATGTACAGTTATTATGTGTCCATAAAAATTTAATGTCAATGTGTGAAATAAAATGAAAAAATAAAAATTTTTAAAGCTGTAATCATCTCCATCTGGTAGGAATATATACAATCTGAAATAAAAAATATATTTGTAATTGTTAGGACAAAATAGATTATACGTTAAGTCTGCAAATTATAAATTATAAAATTCTCACAGAACCTGAAAAATTATTGATACTGTTAAATATTTAAAAAGCTGTCCTTGGAGAGAAAGAAACCTATCAGATTTACATCAACAAGTGTAATATGTCAGCCTATTACCATCTGCTACAGACTGCATGTTTGTGTTCCCTCAAAATTCATATGATAGGCCGGGCGCGGTGGCTCATGCCTGTAATCCCAGCACTTTGGGAGGCCGAGGCGGGTGGATCATGAGGTCAGGAGATCGAGATCATCCTGGCTAACATGGTAAAACCCCGTCTCTACTGAAAATACAAAAAATTAGCCGGGCGCAGTGGCGGGCGCCTTAGTCCCAGCTACTGAGGAGGCTGACGCAGGAGAACGGCGTGAACCCAGGAGGCGGAGCTTGTAGAGAGCCGAGATTGTGCCACTGCACTCCAGCCTGGGTGACAGACAGAGCGAGACTCTGTCTCAAAAAAAAAAAAAAAAAAAAATTCATATGATAAAGCCCTAACCCCCAAGGTGAGGATACTGGGAGGCGTGGCCTTTAGGAGAGAATTAGGTTTAGATGAGGTCATGAGAATAGAGCCCCTATGGTGGCATTACTTCCTTTATAAGAAGAGACACTAGAGCTGCTTTTCTCCCTACCATGTGAGGATACCGAGAGAAGATGGCCATTTCCAATCTAGGAAGCAGGCCCTCTTTAAGAAACACAATTTGCCAACACTTTGATCTTGCACTTCCAGTCTCCAGAACTGTGAGAAATATCTGTTTTTTTGTTTGTTTGTTTTTGTTTTTTTTGAGACAGAGTCTCATTCTGTCATCCAGGCTGGAGTACAGTGGTGCGATCATGGCTCACTGCAACCTCTGCCTCCCAGGTTCAAGCAATTCTCCCACCTCAGCCTCCCAAGTAGCTCAGACTACAGGCGTGCACCACCACGCCCAGCTAATTTTCGTAGAGACAAGGTTTTGCCATGCTGCCCAGGCTAGTCTCAAACTCCTGAGCTCAAGTTATCCACCTGCCTCGGCCTCCCAAAGTGTTAGGAATACAGGCATAAGCCACCACGCCTGGTCAAAATATCTACTGTTTAAGCTACCTAATTTATGGTATTCTGTTTTAGCAGCTGAAGCAGACTAAGATACCATCCTATAAGCTACAGACCAGCACTATCCAATAGAACTTTATATGACGAGGAAATGTTTTATATCTGTGCTATCCCTTATGTTAGCCACTAGCCACATGTATCCATCAAGTATTTGAAATATGGCTAGTGCAACTAAAGAACTTAATTTTTAATTTTCTTTTTTTTTTTGAGATGGAGTCTCGCTCTGTCCCCCAGGCTGGAGTGCAGTGGTGCCATCTCGGCTCACTGCAAACTCTGCCTCCCAGGTTCACGCCATTCTCCTGCCTCAGCCTCCTGAGTAGCTGGGACTGCAGGCGCCCGCCACCACGCCCGGCTAATTTTTTGTATTTTTAATAGAGATGGGGGTTCACCGTCTTAGTAAGGATGGTCTCGATCTCCTGACCTAATGATCTGCCCGCCTCGGCCTCCCAAAGTGCTGGGATTACTGGCGTGACCCACCACGCCCGGCCAATTTTTATTTTATCTTATTTAAATAACCACATGTGGCTAGTGGCTAATGTATTGAACACTACAGCTGTAGACAATACGAAATAAATATAAAGCAGTCTCAACTTTGGAAAAACAGAAGACTCTTACTGCCTCATAATATAGATGAAAAATGAAATACTAAGATAAGTAAAACGTTCTTTAAAGAACAAAAACAAAAGAAAACCTAATGAAAGCTATAAAAGTCCATTGGATAATAATGCTACCAGTACTAAGGAAGTACAGCCCCTAAGAGTGACTTGCAGTCACAAATATAAAAATGACTATTCAAGTGAACTCCTAAGGTGAAAATTTCTTATTCACCATGCTCCAAAATGGTCTGTAATATTCTTCAGAGATGGCATGGTGGGGGAGGCAAGTGGCATCTCTGCCCAGAGAGAATACACAAGCAGAAAGTTCAACACCGCTTACCTGGTGAAACCCTACAAGCGTTTCCACTCCATACGCGCTCTGAATAATGGGATTGTGATGTCTTACACCAATTCTCAAACTGGGCGGCCAGCTGCAGCTGAATCAACTCCAGGTGCCCGTAGTTGCGATACCAAGAGTAGTAGCTGTTCACACGGATCACATCCACATACAGAGCCTAGGACCAGAGCAGCAGAGCCCGTTCAGCAACCACAAGACCGCATGACTCAGTACTCACATGCTGTGGGGGCTCCTCTGACAGAGAAGGTAAGAAGGGGATGTAATCCCAGCACTCTGGGAGGCTGAGGCAGGAGGGTGGCTTGTGGCCAGGAGTTCGAGACCAGCCTGGGCAACACAGCAAGACCCCAGCTCTACAAAAAATAGTATCAAGAAAATCAGCACGGCACAGTGGCTCATGCCTGTAATCCCAGCACATTGGGAGGCCAAGGTGGGAGGATCACTTGAGCCCAGGAGTTTGAGACCAGCCTGGGCAACATCGTAGGACTCCATTTCTACAAAACAAAACAAAAAGCCTACAACGGGAAGAGCTGCCTCTCGGGGCTGAGAACATCCAACTGCACCAATTTAGATCCTGAAATTACCCTGCCCCACAAGCAAAAAACATGGTCACAAAGTGGCCCAAAGGAGGCAGGCCTGTGATTGCACACTGACGCTCACGACGTGTGCAGCTGGGAAGGGCTGTGAGAGGCAGAGCAGCTGCCAACACGCAGTCCTCAGCCAAAACCCAGGGCCCCCGCCACTGGAACTGACTCCTCTCCAGGCAGCACTCCCAGCACTGGGCATCCCCTCACCTTGCCCTGGAGAAGCCCTCCCACCCAAGGGGCCAATGCAGTCATTCTCGCAGATAATCTTTTTCCGCTTTGTTTGGAAGACAGAGTCTCGCTCTGTTGCCCAGGCTAGAATGGAGTGGCACAATAATGCAACCTCTGCCTCCCACGATCAAGCGCAGGCGTGGTGGCATGTGCCTGTTATCCCAGCTACTTGGGAGGCTGAGGCAGGAGAATTGCTTGAACCTGGGAGGCGGAGGTTGCACTGAGCTGAGACTGTGCCACTGCACTCCAGCCTGGGCAACAGAGCAAGACTCTATCTTAAAAAAATAATAAAAAATAAAAAAGAATGCTAGTATCAGCCAGGCACGGTGGCTCATGCCTGTAATCCCAGCACTTTAGGAGGCTAAGGCAGGAGGATCACTTGAGCTCAAGAGTTTGAGACTGGCCTGGGCAACATAGTGAGATCCCATCTCTACAAAAACATTTAAAATTAGCCGGGCACAGTGGTGTACACCCGGAGTCCCAGCTACTTGGAAGGCTGAGGCAAGAGGGTTGCTTAGGCCCAGGAATTCAAGGCTGCAGTGAGCTGTGATCACACCACTGCACTCCAGCCAGAGCAACAGAGTAAGACCTTGCCTTCACACACACACACAAAAAAACAAAAAACTCAAGTTCCAACCCTGGAGTTACTAAATCAGGATCTCAGAACGCAGAGATCTGGCATTTCAATAAAACTTCCCCTGGAGATTCTGATCAGCCAGGTTTGGGCCAGATGAACTCTAAGCTCACTTAAACCTTTGACATTTTATGAGTCTATTAAATCGAGTACAAAAAATGCTGAGTCCAAACCGGGCAAACAAATCCCATCTCCCTATGCCCAGCCTCCTTGGATTCAGAAAGCCACACTGCCTGGAGAGTAAGCAGAGAGAGAATTGTCATTAACCCAAAGACCATCTTTGAAAACAGACTGGCTGCGGCTGAGTGCGGTGGCACACGCCTGTAACCCCAGCCCTTTGGAAGGCCGAGGCAGGAGGATCACTTGAGCCCAGGAGTTCGAGACCAGCCTGGGCAACATGGCAAGACCCTGTCTCTATCTTTCTAAGTAAAACAAAATAAAAAGCTCAGACTGGCAGCACATGGTTCTTTCCAGCTGTTCCCATGAGCAGGCTTCAGGACAAGCCCAGGCAAAGGCAGGGAGAAATGGGGTGGGGACCCCCAGGCTCACCCCCTTGTCTGCTGCGTAGGTGGAGTTGGTCACAAAGGTCACAGGCTGGGAGGGGTCCAAGGCTTTGGTGTGAGCAATCACCATCCTGTCCACAAAAGAGAGAAGACACAGGTTCCGTCAGTCCGGGAAAGGCTCAGACACCCTCCCATCCTCTCTGTCCCATCTTCCCCTGCCAGAACACAACTGGGGGCCAGGCACGATGGCTCACGCCTGTAATCCCAGCACTTCAGGAGGCTGAGGCAGGCAGATCACTGAGGTCAGGGGTTCAAGAACCGCCTGGCCAACATGGCAAAACCCCATTTCTACTAAATATACAAAAATTAGCCAGGCATAGTGGCACGCATCTGTAACTCCAGCTACTCGGGAGGCTGAGGCACAAGAATTGCTTGAACCCGGGAGGTGGAGGTTGCAGTGAGCCGAAATCACGCTACTGCACTCCAGCCTGGGCCACAGAGCAAGACCCTGCCCCAAAACAAACAAACAAACAAACAAACAAAAAAAAAAAAAAGAAAGAAAAAAAAGGAAAAAAAAAAAAAAACAAAGCACAGAGCCGCTGCTTTCTTCCCTAACTTGAGATGTATTTTACATAAGGGCACGTTCCTCTAGTCCTAGACCGAGCTCTCTAACAACACTCTTTCTCCCCCACCCCTGAATCCAACTCCCCCAGAGGCGTAGCCACCCTGCCGGGTACACAGAGCTGAGGTCACTGGACTGAACACTGCCAGAAATGAGGTTCACTTCCTGAAATAGCTCTTGAACACAGGAGTGAATGGGCTGTGGATTCAGGTGGAATATTTATTAATGCATCAAGCAAACAGGTAGTGCGAGGTGGGAGGTAGGCATGAGGCTGGGTGCTAGGTGCTCAGTAATGACTCAAATCTAAGTCCACAGGTCCTGGGCAGTGGGAGTGGAGATGCATGCACAGAAAAACGGTGCAAGTGCCAGGCGAGGTGGCTCACGCCTAGAACCCCAGCACTTTGGGAGGCTTACTTGAGACCAGGCGCTTGAGACCAGCCTGGACAACATAGCAAGACCTTGTTTCTACAACAAATTTAAAAATTAGGGCCGGGCATGGTGGCTCAAGCCTGTGAGCACTTTGGGAGGCCAAGGCAGGTGGATCACGAGCTCAAGAGTTCGAGACCAGCCTGGCCAACATGGTGAAACCCCATCTCAACAAAAAATAAAGAAGAAAACTAGCTGGGCATGGTGGCGTGAGCCTGTAATCCCAGCTACTCGGGAGGGTGAGGCAGGAGAACTGTTTGTACCCAGGAGGTAGAGGATGCAGTGAGCCAAGATCGCAACACTGCTCTCCAGCCTGGGAGACAGAGCAAGACTCTGACTCGTGGGGAAAAAAAAAATATTAAAATTTAGCCTGGCAAGGCAGCGCACGTCTGTGGTCCCAGCTATTTGGGAGGCTGAGTGGGGAGGATCGCTTAAGCCCAGGAGGTCGAGATGGCAACGAGCTATGATTGCACCACTGCACTCCAGCCTGGGCAACAGAGTGAGACCCTGACTCTGAAAAACAAACAATGAAAGAAATGTTGCGAATGGAAATGACAAGTGGTGGCAGGAATTGGGCACTCTATGAGACAACAGACACATCCCCGATTGGAGAGTCAGGGACAGGCTCTTAGAAGAAATGGCCTTTATGCTGAGTCAAGTTAACCAGGAGGGATGAAGGGAAGAGGCTCCCAACAGAGGGACCAGTCCGTGCTCAGAGCTCCCAGCATCTGCCCAAGGCCTCCACAGAACAGACTGTTGTGTTTTTGTTTTGTTTTGTTTTGTTGAGATACAGAGTCTCATTCTGTAGCCCAGGCTGGAATGCAGTGGCATTATCTCAGCTCATTGCAATCTCTGCCTCCTGGTTCACCTGAGGCGATTCTCCTGCCTCAGCCTACCTGGTAGCTGGGATTACAGACGTCCACCACCATGCCCAGCTAATTTTTGTATTTTTAGTAGAGACAGGATTCACTACCTGTTGACCAGGCTGGTCTCGAACTCCTGACCTCGGGTGATCCACCCACCTCAGCCTCCCAAACTGCTGGGATTACAGGCGTGACCCACCGCATCCGGCCTAGACCGTTGTTGAAGCTGGTTTTCTTCTTCTTTCCTCAGTTCTTTTCTTTTACATCTTCCCCCCATCATTGCTCTGCCCATCCGAAGGCTGTGGCTGGCACAGGACAGAATAGAACCTCCTAGCCTCAAGTTCCAAACCCACACTCTCCAATAGCCAGGCTCTCAGATGGGAAGCTTCAAAGCCTTGTGACAGCCTGGCTGAACCTCTCCAGCCTGGGCCCTCCCTCCATTTCCTGCCCCGGAAACAGGCATCTCCTCTGGCCACCTCCCAAAGCCTGTCTGGAAGCCTCAGGCACCCGCTCCTGGAAGCCTGTACGATTCACAACAAACGGCCTGTCCACCCAGTCGTGCTGAGCACACCCCTATTCCCCCGAGCTCTGAACTGTCCTTTGCCCAGGCTAGGACAACATCTCAGAGCCTTCTGCCTGCTGCAGACTCGGCTCAGCCCAAATCACTCCATGAAATTGGGGTGTGGCATCTGCCTCAAGGAGCATTTCTACAACCTCTGCTGCCTCTACCGCAAATGAAACTGGCTCTCACCCACTGGCTCTCGGTGACGGGCACAGTGCGGAGCCCCACAGGGAGTGTGTAGAAGTCAAAGGCCCCAGTGACTTCTGTGCAGTCAGCCGCACCTACGACAGCCAAAGCGCCAGGTGTGAGCGCCCCGACAGCCTGAGCCCCATCTGGCCTGCCCTACAGCAGGAAGACCCCTCGTGCATGCACCCCAGAAGTCGCCACTGGGCCTGCAGAGAAGCAGCAATCAGAGGCTCTGCCCTTCACTGGCTGACCCTGGGACCTGCCCTTCAAAATCAGGCCTTCTCCTTGACCAGACGAGGTGGCTCATGCCTGGAATCCCTACACCTTGGGAGGCTAAGGCAGGAGGATCACCTGAGTCCAGGAGTTCAAGACCAGCCTGGGCAACCTAGTAAGACCCCAACTCTATAAAAAGGAGTTTTTTTTTTGAGACAGTCTCACTCTGTCACCCAGGATAGAGTGCTGCGGCATGATCTCAATTCACCGCGGCCCCTGCCTCCTGGGTTCAAGCAATTCCCCTGCCTCAGCCTCCCGAGTAGCTGGGATTACAGACGTGCACCATCATGCCCTGCAAATTTTCATATTTTAGTAGAGACGGGGTTTCACCATGTTGGCCAGGCTGGTCTCCAACTCCTGGCCTAAAGTGATCTGCCCGCGTCAGCCTCCCGAAGTGCTGGGATTACAGGTGTGAGCCACCATGCCCGGCCTACAAAAAAAATTTTTTTAATTAGCCAGGCATGGTGGCATGTGCCTGTAGTCCCAGCTACTCAGGAGGCCAAGGTAGGAGGATTGCAGCTCAAAGCTGCAGTGAGCTGTGATCAGGCCATTGCATTCCAGCCTGGGTGACAGAGTGAGACCATCACAAAAACAAACAAACAAACAAATAAATAAATAAATAAATAAATAAATAAAAAATCTGGGCCTCCCACCAAGGGTGGGAAACATCAGAAAGCTCAGAGGACCACACCTGCCCGTTCACCTGTCCTGGGCTCCTGCTGAAGCCAGGGCTACCAGATGGGGGCAAAAGACCTCCCTTACGCAAGTCCCAAACCACCATTACCTCCCACGAGTACAGGGAGGCGGGGTGTTCGTGCATCAGGTACGGCCACCAGAGGTTGGCACCCAGCACCTTCAGCTGGCCCTGGGTCCCAGCCTGGTTGTCCACGACTTTGTTTTCTGCATTCAAAAGACACACTTCCAACTTGAACTGGTTACTGCACTTGACGGAGATCTGGTAATTCACCAGCCCTGCAGGAGGCAAGAGAGACCAGGGCTTAGGGAGGGACATGACCTGGGTCACACAAACGGGAAGGCCCCACAATGACCACTCCCAGGCACTCTCATTTGCTTCTGTTGCTTTTTTTTTTTTTCTTTGAGATAGAATCTCGCTCTGTCACCCAGGCTGGAGTGCAGTGGCATGATCTGGACTCACTGAAACCTCTGCCTCCCAGGTTCAAGTGATTCTCCTGCCTCAGCCTCTGGAATAGCTGGGATTACAGGCACCTGCCACCACATCCAGCTAATTTTTGTATTGTTAGTAGAGACGGGGTTTCACCACATTAGCCAGGATGGTCTTGATCTCCTGACCTCGTGATCCGCCTGCCTCGGCCTCCCAAAGTGCTGGGATTACAGGCTTGAGCCACCGTGCCCGGCCCTGAACCAATGCGCCCAGCCCGCTTTTAATTTAATTTTTTAATTTTTTTTTTTTTTTTTTTTTTTTTTTTTGAGATGGAGTCTCACTGTCACCCAGGCTGGAGTGTAGTGCTGCGATCCTGACTCGCTGCAACCTCCACCTCTGGAGTTCAGGTGATTCTCCTGCCTCAGCCTTCCGAGTACCTGGGAATACAGGAATGCACCACCATGCCCGGCGAATTTTTCTATTTTCAGTAGAGACGGAGTTTTGCCATGTTGGCCAGGCTGGTCTCGAACTCCTGAACTCAGGTGATCCACCCGCCTCAGTCTCCCAATAGATTAGATATATTATTAATGAATTGCTTCCTTTAACACCCTATTCATTGAATTTTCCAGTAAACCACAATTACTAATTACTCCTGAAATCAGAAAAGAGGTTAAAAAGATTTTATAACAGTATCCTATGAAATCTACTACTTTCAAGTAATAGTAGTTGAATTACCAAAACCCGTCACTCAAGCCAATGACTACAATTAAGATATGAGTAATATTTCCTAGATAAATAAAGTCAATTAATTATATTTGCATCTGGGAAATAGAGAAAGTACATATAAGCCATGATTTTGAAGTCAAAAGAGAGAGAATATTTGCCAAGGAGGGGTGAGTTATAGTATGTAATTATAACATACAGAAGTTTTTTGTATGCTGGTAACTAATTTTAATTTCCTACATTTTTATGTAGATTTCTGCTATTCTTGTCCTATTTTCCTAATCATCTTTCTATATGAATGACTACATAATTCTGAGAATACCAAAAGAGACAGACACAGAACCAATCGGATTCCTTTCTTCTTGAAGCTTCTGCACAGCAAAAGAAACTATCAACAGAGTGAACAGACAACCTACAGAATGGGAGAAAATTTTTGCAACAATGCATGTGACAAAGATCTAATGTCCAACACTGATAAGGAACTTAAACAAATTTACAAGAAAAAAAAAAATCTCATTAGAAAGTGGGCACAGGACATAAACAGACACTTCAAAAGAAGACACACATGCGGCCAACAAGCATATGAGAAAAAGCTCAATATCACTGATCATTAGAGAAATGCAAATCAAAACCACAATGGCATACCATCTCACACCAGTCAGTATGGTTATTATTAAGAAGTCAACGCCGGGCATGGTGGCTCACGCCTATAATCCCAGCACTTCAGGAGGCCAAGGCAGGCAGATCGCATGAGGTCAGGAGTTCCAGACCAGCCTGGACAACCTGGCGAAACCCCGTCTCTACTAAAAATACAAAAATTAGCCCAGCGTGGTGGCGGGTGCCTGTAATCCCAGCTACTCAGGATGCTGAGGCAGGAGAATCGCCTGAACCCGGGAGGCAGAGGTTGTAGTGAGCCGAGATCATACCACTGCACTCTCCAGCTTAGGTGACAGAGCGAGACTCTGTCTCAAAAAAAAAAAAAAATATTTGAATTTTGTTTAAATCGCTAACACATACTGGGCATTTAATAACAAAAAAAAAAGGACATGAGATTGTGATCCTTATGAAGGTTTGAGAGGCATTTCACTAGGGTTCAACATACAGCAGTCTGAAACATACTGTAATAATTTAATCCAATGGCTCATCTACAGCACCTAAAAAGATTACAGCAGATTCTCATTATTCAGTGTAGTTACGGTCTAGAAAGTTCCATGAACAAATAAAAAGTTAGGTTTCAGCAAGCTACTGGTCACACTTTTGTAAGCTTACCAACACCTACTTTTGTTGTATGTGTGCTTATTTAATATATATTGTTGGCCAGGCACAGTGGCTAACGCCTGTAATCCCAGCACTTTGCGAAGCCAAGGCGGGCAGATCATTTGAGGTCTGGAGTTCGAGACCAGCCTGGCCAACGTGGTGAAACCCCGTCTCTACTAAAACTACAAAAAAAAAAAAAAAAAAAAAAAATTAGCCAGGCATGGTGGCGCATGCCTGTAGTCTTAGCTACTTGGGAGGCTAAGGCAGGGGAATCGCTTGAACCCAGGAGGCAGAGGTTGCAGTGAGCCAAGACTGCACCACTGCACTCCAGCCTGAGCAACAGAGTGAGACTCTATCTCAAAAAAAATAATAATAATAATTAATTAAATGAAGAATAAATAAATAATATACATTGTTCATTCATTAACATTGAACTCACAGCCAACGGCACTACAGCACTCACGCCTGAATGGAGTTTATTTAATGCATGTATTTTCTCTGTAAGACACATCACAGACTTCTTGGACTTGTGAATGCTAAGCAGCACTTCAGCACTATGCTTGGGGGTTAATTTAAATGGCAAAACAACCAACAAACAGCACAAAAACAGGAAAAGCATGGCATTAAATAGACCACAAAAAGGATACCTGACTATTGTATGAGAGCTGAAAAAGAAGGCAGAATATCATCCTGTTCAAACTCAAATTCTTTGACACTCTGCGCAAACACATGACTATGAAAGTGCTGTGAGTACTGATTTGGGGGTTACAAAAAATAGTAGGTGAGTTCACAAATACAAAAGCTGAAAACAAGGAGGATCGACTGTATTTTCGTAGACAATCTAATCTCAGAAGATTTCAGTTCAGACAAAAATCATGATAATTACTGTATTACAAAAGGGCACTAGATAGGGGGAAAAGAGTAAAAATCACAATTAAAACAAAGGTTCAAAATTCTGCAGCAACCATATCCAGTTACACTTTAATATGTTTGTGGCAGACTACATTATTGTTCCCAACTCATCACCCCTCCCTATATCTAAAACCTTTCCCCAAGACAATGCAGTTCCTCCTGCTAGAGATCAGGTATATTTATCTATACTATCAATGTTAGCCATGGACAAGGTATGTGCTTTGGCTGACTGAATGTTAGTGGACATGAGAGAAGCAATGGCTTAAAATGTACTTCCAGAACTGGAGTTTCCTTGTGATTCTATCACTGTGACAAAAACACATTCTCAGGTAGTCCACTGATCCAAGGGGGAACAAACACACAGAAAACATACCTAGACTCTATCTGCAGCTTGCAGCCTCACCAAGCCAAGAACAGTCAACTCACAGATATGTTAGCAAAAATAAATGTTTTTCATACCTTAAGTTTTATATAATTATTGACCTACAGTTAACTGATATACAATATACATTAATCTTAAAATATCATTATCCCATTAAAAATACTTACATTAAAAACTGAGACCACTTTCTTTCCTTTTTTTTTTTTTTTTTTTAAATTAAGAGACAGGGTGTCTCAATGTTGCCCAAGCTGGAGTTCAGTGGCTAGTGGCTATTCACAAGAACGATCATCGCACACTACCTCAAACTCCTGGGATCAAGCAATCCTCCTGCCTCAGCTTTCCAAGTCGCTGGGACTATAAGTGTGTACCACAGCATGTCAGCTCTCTCTCTCCTTCTTGACCTAAAGCCTAGCATAAAATTAGCTAAGTAGAATGTTTCCAAAGATGGCTGCATCAGTATCTCCCATCCCACATAATTTCTGTTTGATTTTGCCATTCACCCATAAAATGGTGGGATCTACCTCCCCTCCTTGCAAATTTGAGCTGGCCCTCTGATCCTGTCTAAGATCTGAAGCCAGATATTAAGGTACTTCATTAATTTCCATGTTTGTCCTCTATGCAACCTAGCAATCAAGCAAGAAGTCAAAACATACTGACATAGTTTGGATGGGTCCCCACCCAAATCTCACCTTGCATTGTAATAATTCCCACGTGTCAAGGGTGGGGCCGGGTGCAGATAACTGAATCATGGGGATGGTTCCCCCCATACTGTTCTCGCGGTAGTGACTAAGTCTCATGAGATCTGATGGTTTTATAAATGGGAGCTCCCCTGCACATGCTCTCTCCTGCCTGCCACTATGTGAGACATGCTTTTGCACCTCCTTGCCTTCCACCATGATTGTGAGGCCTCCCCAGCCATGCAGAACTGTGAGTCAATTCAACCTCTTTCCTTTATAAATTACCCAGTCTCAGGTATGTCTTTATTTGCGGTGTGAGAACAGACTAATACAATAAGTTGATACCAGTAGAGTGGGGTGCTGCTGTAAAGATACCCGAAAATGTGGAAGCAACTTTGGAAATGGGTAACAGGGAGAGGCTGGAACAGTTTGGAAGGCTCAGAAGAGGATAGGAAAATGTGGGAAAGTTTGGAACTTCCTAGAGACTTGTTGAATGGCTTTGACCAAAATGTTAATAGTGATATGGACAACAAGGTCCAGGCGGAGGTGGTCTCAGAGGGAGATGAGGAATTTGTTGGGAAATGGAGTAAAGTCACTCTTACTATGCAAAGACACTGCAGGCATTGTGCACCTGTATTAGAAACGGGCATAAGATAGGCGGGAAAGAGGGAAAATAAGAATTTCTTTCTAGAGTTCCCTACAGATCTGTGGAACTTTGAACTTGAGAGAGATGATTTAAGGTATCTGACAGAAGAAATTTCTAAGCAGCAAAGCATTCGAGAAGAAGCAGAGCATAAAAGTTCAGAAAATTTGTAGCCTGATGATGCAACAGAAAAGAAAAATCTATTTTCTCAGGAGACTGGGTTGTAGAAATTTGCATAAGTAATGAGGAGCCAAATGTTAATCACCAAGACAATGGGGCAAATGTCTCCAGGGCATGTTAGAGACCCTCACAGCAGACCCTCCCATCACAGGCCAGGAGGCTTAGAAGGAAAAATGGTTTTGTGGGTCCAGAACCCCCTGCTGTGTGCAGCCTAGGAACTTGGGGCCCTGCATCCCAGCTGCTCCTGCCATAGGTAAAAGGGGCCAAGGTACACCTCAGGCCATGGCTTCAGAGGGTGCAAGTTCCAAGCCTTTCAGGTTCTAGGTGGTGTTAAGCCTGCAGATGCACCAAAGTCAAGAATTAACGTTCATGAACCTCCGCCTACATTTCAGAAGATGTATGAAAATGCCTGGAAATCCAGGCAAAAGTTTGCTGTGGGGGGGAGGGGAGGGGGGGGCCCTCATGGATAACCTCTGCTAGGGCAGTGTCAAAGGGAAATATGGGGTTGGAGCTCCCACACAGAGTCCCCACTGGGGTACTGCCAAGCAGAGCTGTGAGAAAAGGGCCACCATCCTCCAGACCCCAGAATGGTAGATCCACTGACAGCTTGCACTGTGTGCCTGGAAAAGCTGCAGACACTCAATGCAGCCAGAAGGGGGGCTGTACCCTGCAAAGCCACAGGGGCGGGGCTGCCCAAGACCCTGGGAACCCACTTCTTGCATCACCTAGATGTGACACATGGAGTCAAAGGAGGTCATTTTGGAGCTTTAAGATTTGCCTGCTGGGTTTTGGACTTGCATGGGGCCTGTAGCTCTTTCGCTTTGGCCAATTTCTCCCATTTGAAACGAGTGTATTTACCCAATGCCTGTATCCCTGTGTATCTAGAAAATAACTAACTTGCTTTTGATTTTACAGGCTCATAGGTGGAAGGGACTTGCCTTGTCTCAGATGAGACTTTGGACTATGGAATTTTGAGTTAATGCTGAAATAAGAGTTTGGGGGACTTAGGGGAAGGCATGATTGCTTTTGAAATATGAGGACATGAGATTTGGGAGGGGCCGGGGAAGAATTATATGGTTTGGCTCTGTCCGCACCCAAATCTCATCTTGAATTGTAACAATTCCCATGTGTCAAGGGTGGGGCCAGGTGGAGATAACTGAATCATGGAGGCAGTTTCCCCCATGCTGTTCTCATGGTAGTGAATAAGTCTCATGAGGTCTGATGGTTTTATAAATGGATGTTCCCCTGCACATGCTCTCTCCTGCCCACCATGTCTGACTAAATTTTGTATTTTTACTAGAGACGGGCTTTCACTATGTTGGCCAGGCTGGCCTCCAACTCCTGATCTCGTGATCCGTCCACCCCGACCTCCCAAAGTGCTAGGATCATAGGCATAAGCCACCACACCCGGCCTCTTTTTTTTCTTTTTCTTTTTTTTATCTGGAGACTGAGTTTTGCACTCGTTGCCCAGGCTGGAGTGCAATGGTGCGATCTCAGCTCACTGCAGTCTCCACCTCAGCAGGAGAGCAGGAATCTTCAGTGATCCACGGGCAAATATGCAGCCATTGTGGGCACCTGTTCCTCCCGCGACCTTTGTGCCCACGTCTCTCCCTCCAGTACCTACTGCACGACCCCCCACGTCCGCCTCCTGCCATTGCCAGCAGGTGCCTTGCGCGGGTACCTGGCTGCGCTTATTCATCCATTATGGTCGCTCTGTCACTGGTGCCATTATGTGCTCACATGCCCACTCCCTCAGGTTTAGAAGTCGCGTTGCCCGGCAACAGAACAATCTGCTGGCTTAGCCTTTGGCCAAGTTGGCAGCTGGACGAGGACGCTCAGAGCCCAGCTCTTGAGAGTTCAAGTATCCGACAGTTCCCCACTGCTCCCAGGAGCGGTTACCCGGGCACTCTGTGCCCCTCATTCCTGTTTGGGCCAAGGCCGAGGACCTGCGAGTAGGGCTCAGTTGCCTGGAGCCCCTTCAGCCCATCCCCCAGTTCACTTTGCTTGTGGGATCTCCCCGTTGCTCCTGCCCCTGGACTGAGTGGCAGGCCATCCTACAAACACCCGCACACTCGACATCACTGGTGTCAAGACAACTCTAAGAAGGTTTTCCGTGATCCTGCAAGACCTGTGTTCCATCCTGGTGATTCTGTCTTCAATTTCACTGCACAGGTACCACAGTAAGCCAGTGCTGTGTGCTCCGAGTTCCAGGGCATCCCCCAGCTCAGCCACTACACTGAGCACAAGGACTCTGTGGGGCCCAGGAGCAGGTAGTCACCCCTTTGGGGTCCACAACACCCGGCTGTCCCCAGACTTGTGTCCAGGGAAGATAGTGTTGAGGGCCCTCAAGGAGAGCGGGGCAGGGATGCCTGAGCAGGACAAGGACCCCAGAGTCCAAGAAAATCCTGATGATCAGAGAACGGTCCCCGAGGTCACCGGGGATGCACGGTCTGCATTTTGGCCCCTGCGGGACAATGGAGGCCCCTCTCCCTTTGTGCCCAGGCCCGGGCCTCTGCAGACAGACCTCCACGCCCAGAGCTCAGAAATCAGATATAACCACACATCCCAGACATCCTGGACGAGCTCGAGCACCAAACGAAATGCCATCTCCAGCTCCTACAGCTCCACGGGAGGCTTGCCGGGGCTAAAGCAGAGGAGGGGGCCAGCCTCATCCCGCTGCCAGCTGACCCTCAGTTACTCAAAGACAGTGAGTGAGGACAGGCCTCAGGCTGTCTCTTCGGGTCACACACGGTGTGAAAAGGGGGCAGATACAGCACCAGGGCAGACAATCGCCCCAACGGGTGGCTCCCCCAGATCCCAGGACTCTAGGCCCCGTAGACGCAAGATTCCCCTGCTGCCACGCAGGCGAGGGGAGCCTTTGATGCTGCCACCTCCCTTAGAGCTGGGGTACCGGGTCACGGCTGAAGACCTGCACCTGGAAAAAGAGACGGCATTCCAGCGCATCAACAGTGCACTGCACGTTGAGGACAAGGCCATCCCGGACTGCAGACCCTCACGGCCTTCCCACACTTTGTCCTCACTTGCAACAGGGGCTTCGGGTGGGCCTCCCGTTTCTAAAGCACCCACTATGGACGCACAGCAGGACAGACCCAAGTCCCAAGACTGCCTGGGCCTAGTGGCCCCCCTAGCATCTGCTGCAGAGGTCCCCGCTACAGCTCCCGTGTCTGGGAAGAAGCACAGACCACCAGGACCCCTGTTCTCCTCCTCAGATCCCCTTCCTGCCAACTCTTCCCACTCCCGGGACTCAGCCCAGGTCACCTCGATGATTCCTGCCCCCTTCACAGCTGCAAGCAGGGATGCCGGCATGAGAAGAACAAGGTCGGCTCCTGCAGCTGCCGCAGCAGCCCCTCCCCCCTCCACATTGAACCCCACGTCGGGGTCACTACTCAATGCAGTGGATGGAGGCCCCTCACATTTCTTGGCCTCAGCCACAGCTGCAGCACGTGCCCAGAGGTCAGAAGTGAGATATAACCAGAGATCCCAGACCTCCCGGACCAGATCCTGCCTCAAACGAAATGCCAGCTCCAGCTCCCACAGCTCTACGGAAGGCCTCCAGGAAGTAAAGCGGAGGAGGGGGCCAGCCTCATCCCACTGCCAGCTGGCCCTCAGTTCCTCAAACACAGTGAGTGAGGACGGACCTCAGGCTGTCTCTTCGGGTCACCGCTGTGAAAACAAGGCAGGTACAGCACCAGGGCAGACACTTGCCCCCAGGGGTGGCTCCCCCAGATCCCAGGCCTCTAGGCCCCACATCAACACTTCACTGCACGTTGAGGACAAGGCCATCTCGGACTGCAGACCCTCACGGCCTTCCCACACTTTGTCCTCACTTGCAACAGGGGCTTCGGGTGGGCCTCCCGTTTCTAAAGCACCCACTATGGATGCACAGCAGGACAGACCCAAGTCCCAAGACTCCCTGGGCCTACTGGCCCCCCTAGCATCTGCTGCAGAGGTCCCCTCTACAGCTCCCGTGTCTGGGAAGAAGCACAGACCACCAGGACCCCTGTTCTCCTCCTCAGATCCCCTTCCTGCCACCTCTTACCACTCCCGGGACACAGCACAGGTCACCTCGCTGATTCCTGCCACCTTCACAGCTGCAAGCAGGGATGCCGGCATGAGAAGAACAAGGTCGGCTCCTGCAGCTGCCACAGCAGCCCCTCCCCCCTCCACATTGAACAACACGTCGGGGTCACTACTCAATGCAGTGGATGGAGGCCCCTCACATTTCTTGGCCTCAGCCACAGCTGCAGCACGTGCCCAGAGGTCAGAAGTGAGATATAACCAGAGATCCCAGACCTCCCGGACCAGATCCTGCCTCAAACGAAATGCCAGCTCCAGCTCCAGCTCCCACAGCTCTACGGAAGGCCTCCAGGAACTAAAGCGGAGGAGGGGGCCAGCCTCATCCCACTGCCAGCTGGCCCACAGTTCCTCAAACACAGTGAGTGAGGACGGACCTCAGGCTGTCTCTTCGGGTCACCGCTGTGAAAACAAGGCAGGTACAGCACCAGGGCAGACACTCGCCCCCAGGGGAGGCTCCCCCAGATCCCAGGCCTCTAGGCCCCACATCAACAGTGCACTGTACGTTGAGGACAAGGCCATCTCGGACTGCAGACCCTCACGGCCTTCCCACACTTTGTCCTCACTTGCAACAGGCGCTTCGGGTGGGCCTCCCGTTTCTAAAGCACCCACTATGGACGCACAGCAGGACAGACCCAAGTCCCAAGACTGCCTGGGCCTAGTGGCCCCCCTAGCATCTGCTGCAGAGGTCCCCTCTACAGCTCCCGTGTCTGGGAAGAAGCACAGACCACCAGGACCCCTGTTCTCCTCCTCAGATCCCCTTCCTGCCACCTCTTCCCACTCCCGGGACTCAGCCCAGGTCACCTCGCTGATTCCTGCCACCTTCACAGCTGCAAGCAGGGATGCCGGCATGAGAAGAACAAGGCCTGGCACCTCGGCTCCTGCAGCTGCCGCAGCAGCCCTTCCCCCCTCCACATTGAACCCCACGTCGGGGTCGCTACTCAATGCAGTGGATGGAGGCCCCTCACATTTCTTGGCCTCAGCCACAGCTGCAGCACGTGCCCAGAGGTCAGAAGTGAGATATAACCAGAGATCCCAGACCTCCCGGACCAGATCCTGCCTCAAACGAAATGCCAGCTCCAGCTCCCACAGCTCTACGGAAGGCCTCCAGGAACTAAAGCGGAGGAGGGGGCCAGCCTCATCCCACTGCCAGCTGGCCCACAGTTCCTCAAACACAGTGAGTGAGGACGGACCTCAGGCTGTCTCTTCGGGTCACCGCTGTGAAAACAAGGCAGGTACAGCACCAGGGCAGACACTCGCCCCCAGGGGTGGCTCCCCCAGATCCCAGGCCTCTAGGCCCCGCATCAACAGTGCACTGCACGTTGAGGACAAGGCCATCTCGGACTGCAGACCCTCACGGCCTTCCCACACTTTGTCCTCACTTGCAACAGGGGCTTCGGGTGGGCCTCCCGTTTCTAAAGCACCCACTATGGATGCACAGCAGGACAGACCCAAGTCCCAAGACTGCCTGGGCCTACTGGCCCCCCTAGCATCTGCTGCAGAGGTCTCCTCTACAGCTCCCGTGTCTGGGAAGAAGCACAGACCACCAGGACCCCTGTTCTCCTCCTCAGATCCCCTTCCTGCCACCTCTTCCCACTCCGGGGACTCAGCCCAGGACACCTCGCTGATTCCTGCCCCCTTCACACCTGCAAGCAGGGATGCCGGCATCAGAAGAATGTTTCGTGTTCGAAATTGTTTGAGGGGTTTGGGTTTATTTTTGTTGGTTTTTTCTTTTTTTTTTTTGCTTACGTGGGCATCCTTCAGCTTTTAATAATCTGAAAAATTCTATTTACCCATTGTCAATGTGTATAAATTAATCTCAGTCAATTTTATACAATAAAAGGTGAACTTTTATCCATCAAACAATAATTTAACAAAAAATGTACCGGAAGAAGAATGTTCATTACAAATATAGGAAACATAAATATTACCAAATATTGGCAAGCACTAAAATGTTCAGAAATATAAGTCTATTACAGTTATAGCTCTCTCAAGCGAAAAAACAGCAGAGAAAAACTTAGTTTTCCTGAGGGGCTATTTATTTACTTAGGGATTTGTTAAAAGGTCAAATGGGGTCACACAGAATACTAAGAAGAGCTGTTCACCCAGGCCTCACTAAGAACTCTTCTTCATGCAGTAGCTATATAGTAATATGACAACTGCTCCTACGACCCAAAGAGGAACTACAGCAACTACTCTTTAGCATCTGTTGCTCCCAACTCTGCTTTGCAATTATATGACTCAAGCATTCTGGCTCCGTTAACTATTACTGCTGTTACTCCCAAGTAAATTCCCTCTAAAAAATAAAAATTTTTAAAGCTGTAATTTAAGCTCTCTGCTGCCTCATGACTTCAATTCCATCAGAGTTACGCATTGTTTCCTCTGTACATCTTTGCTCTGCTTCCATTGCTAATTCCCTAGTAAAGTGTTGTATATTCAAAGTTCCAAAGAAACAGAATATCCAAGACATCACCAATCATCCAAAACACAGTGTAGGAGGCCACAGTTAAGAGAAGCAACACCATTAGCTCTTTTTATAGGCTCGAGAACAACAGGATGCTTTGGTCCTGTATCAGCAGGACGCTTTTTGGGTAGATCCTACTGCCACCCTACTATCGGGTAGATCCTACTGTCACCCTAGCTATGGGCACATGTCAGAGTCCCATGTAATAAAGGAGACAAAAGGAAACCACCACGAGTATAAACTAAGAAAAGTACTCCAAGGTTTCTAAGAATGGAGCTGTATAACTCACTTTGCCCCATTTGTTACTTCTCCACGGTACTTACCACCACCTATTACATATATTTTGTTTATAGTCAGTCTTCCCCCATTAGAATGAAAGTTCCGTGAGGATAGGACTATACAGTCAGCCCTCAGTATCCATGGGGGACTGGTTTCAGGATCTCCTGAGGGTAACAAAGGATACTCAAGTCCCTGATATAAAATGACATAGTATTTGCACATCACCTTTGCACATCCTCCCATATACTTCATATCAACTCTAGATCACTCATAATATCCGATGTAAATGTCATGCAAATAGTTATTGTACTATATTGTGTAAGGAATAAGGACAAGAAAAAAGTCTGTACATGTTCAGTACAGACGCAATTTTTTTTTCCAATATTTCCAATCCTTGGTTGCCTTAACGGATGTAGAACCCAGGAATAAGTTCTGGTGTCCTATTGCATAGTAGGATGAGTATAGTTAACAATAACATATTATATATTTGAAAATAGCCAGAAGAGTAGATTTTGAATTTTCTCCCTACAGAAAAATCATTATGCAAATTACCCTGATTTGATCATTACACATTGAGTACATGTATTAAAACATCACATTCTACCCCATATATATGTACAGTTATTATGTGTCCATAAAAATTTAATGTCAATGTGTGAAATAAAATGAAAAAATAAAAATTTTTAAAGCTGTAATTATCTCCATCTGGTAGGAATATATACAATCTGAAATAAAAAATATATTTGTAATTGTTAGGACAAAATAGATTATACGTTAAGTCTGCAAATTATAAATTATAAAATTCTCACAGAACCTGAAAAATTATTGATACTGTTAAATATTTAAAAAGCTGTCCTTGGAGAGAAAGAAACCTATCAGATTTACATCAACAAGTGTAATATGTCAGCCTATTACCATCTGCTACAGACTGCATGTTTGTGTTCCCTCAAAATTCATATGATAGGCCGGGCGCGGTGGCTCATGCCTGTAATCCCAGCACTTTGGGAGGCCGAGGCGGGTGGATCATGAGGTCAGGAGATCGAGATCATCCTGGCTAACATGGTAAAACCCCGTCTCTACTGAAAATACAAAAAATTAGCCGGGCGCAGTGGCGGGCGCCTTAGTCCCAGCTACTGAGGAGGCTGACGCAGGAGAACGGCGTGAACCCAGGAGGCGGAGCTTGTAGAGAGCCGAGATTGTGCCACTGCACTCCAGCCTGGGTGACAGACAGAGCGAGACTCTGTCTCAAAAAAAAAAAAAAAAAAAATTCATATGATAAAGCCCTAACCCCCAAGGTGAGGATACTGGGAGGCGTGGCCTTTAGGAGAGAATTAGGTTTAGATGAGGTCATGAGAATAGAGCCCCTATGGTGGCATTACTTCCTTTATAAGAAGAGACACTAGAGCTGCTTTTCTCCCTACCATGTGAGGATACCGAGAGAAGATGGCCATTTCCAATCTAGGAAGCAGGCCCTCTTTAAGAAACACAATTTGCCAACACTTTGATCTTGCACTTCCAGTCTCCAGAACTGTGAGAAATATCTGTTTTTTTGTTTGTTTGTTTTTGTTTTTTTTGAGACAGAGTCTCATTCTGTCATCCAGGCTGGAGTACAGTGGTGCGATCATGGCTCACTGCAACCTCCGCCTCCCAGGTTCAAGCAATTCTCCCACCTCAGCCTCCCAAGTAGCTCAGACTACAGGCGTGCACCACCATGCCCAGCTGATTTTCGTAGAGACAAGGTTTTGCCATGCTGCCCAGGCTAGTCTCAAACTCCTGAGCTCAAGTTATCCACCTGCCTCGGCCTCCCAAAGTGTTAGGAATACAGGCATAAGCCACCACGCCTGGTCAAAATATCTACTGTTTAAGCTACCTAATTTATGGTATTCTGTTTTAGCAGCTGAAGCAGACTAAGATACCATCCTATAAGCTACAGACCAGCACTATCCAATAGAACTTTATATGACGAGGAAATGTTTTATATCTGTGCTATCCCTTATGTTAGCCACTAGCCACATGTATCCATCAAGTATTTGAAATATGGCTAGTGCAACTAAAGAACTTAATTTTTAATTTTCTTTTTTTTTTTTGAGATGGAGTCTCGCTCTGTCCCCCAGGCTGGAGTGCAGTGGCGCCATCTCGGCTCACTGCAAACTCTGCCTCCCAGGTTCACGCCATTCTCCTGCCTCAGCCTCCTGAGTAGCTGGGACTGCAGGCGCCCGCCACCACGCCCGGCTAATTTTTTGTATTTTTAATAGAGATGGGGGTTCACCGTCTTAGTAAGGATGGTCTCGATCTCCTGACCTAATGATCTGCCCGCCTCGGCCTCCCAAAGTGCTGGGATTACCGGCGTGAGCCACCACGCCCGGCCAATTTTTATTTCATCTTATTTAAATAACCACATGTGGCTAGTGGCTAATGTATTGAACACTACAGCTGTAGACAATACGAAATAAATATAAAGCAGTCTCCACTTTGGAAAAACAGAAGACTCTTACTGCCTCATAGTATAGATTAAAAAATGAAATACTAAGACAAGTAAAACGTTCTTTAAAGAACAAAAACAAAAGAAAACCTAATGAAAGCTAAAAAAGTCCATTGGATAATAATGCTACCAGTACTAAGGAAGTACAGCCCCTAAAAGTGACTTGCAGTCACAAATATAAAAATGACTATTCAAGTGAACTCCTAAGGTGAAAATTTCTTATTCACCATGCTCCAAAATGGTCTGTAATATTCTTCAGAGATGGCATGGTAAAGTACGATAAAAGGGTAATATTAACAGTATGCTGTCACAGGTGCCATTCTCTTAAAAAAGAAATCCAAAAATAAATATAAATGGAAAGCAAATAATTAATGGAGTTTTGACGGTCAATCAATGGTAAATATTATTGGCATTAGATTTTTCTATTAATTATAGTTTACCTATGATCATGTATTTTTCCATTTAAAAATTACCCTAAAACTTAATGGCTTAAAATAACAAATATGTATGACACAATTTATAGAAGTCAGGGAAATGATGGATTTGGGTAGGTGGTTCTGACTCGAAGTCTCTCATGAGTAAAGGTTGCTGTCATGTTGTTGACCCAGGCAGCATCCCCTGAAGCCTTTAACTTGTGTTGGAAGGTCCGTGTCTTAGTTTGTTTGCACTGTCGCTACAGAATACCATAGACAGGGTAGCTTATAAACAACAGAAACGTTTCTAATGGTACCGGAGGCTGGATGGTGCAAAATCAAGGTGCTTGCAGATTTGGTGTCTGGTCAGAGCCCATTTTTTAGTTCATAGATTACTGTCCTCTAGCTCACATGGCAGAAGGGGCAAGGACGCTTTTTGGGGTCTCTTTTACAAGGGCACTAATCCCCGGCTGGGCACGGTGGCTCACATCTGTAATCCCAGTACTTTGGGAGGCTGAGGCAGGCAGATCACGAGGTCAGGAGTTCCAGACCAGCCTGGCCAGTATGGTGAAACCCCGTCTCTACTAAAAATACAAAAATTAGCCAGGTGTGGTGGTGCGTACCTGTAGTCTCAGCTACTCAGCTACTCAGGAGGCTGAGGCAGAAGAAACACTTGAACCCAGGAGGCAGACGCTGCAGTGAGCTGACATGGCACCACTGCACTCCAGCCTGGGTAACAGAGCAAAACTCTGTCTCAAAAAATAAATAAATAAATAAATAAAAATAAAAATAAAAAATAATAATCAAGGCACTAATCCCCAACATGAAGACAGACTATCATCTACCAAAAGCTCCACCTCCTACTATCATTACACTGGGGGTTAGGATTTCACAAATTCAGTGCATCATAGTCTGCTTCTAGAATGTTTAATCATTTGGCTGGATATCAGATAGGATGCCTCGGTTCTTCATGTGAGCTTTCTAGAAAAGATAGTTTGGAATTATTTGCATGGTGGCTGGGCTCGTAAAGAGTTGAAGGAGAGAAAGAGAGAGAAACACCAGTAAGGAGCAAATTAGTTCACTCAAAATTAAAACCCTAGCCTTTGTGACCTTGTCTCAGAAGGTAACATTCCAATCCTGTGGTGTTTTATTTCTTAGATGGGAGTCACTCAGCTTAGCCTGCCTTCAAGGGGAGGAGTATGAAGCTCCACTTCTTAAACTGAGAAGAATCAACAAATATGTAGATATATATATTTTTAATAGTATTACAGCTCATGAACCCATTTAAACCCATTTTAGAACTTTAAAGAAATATTTTAAAACGGAATTTTCAATTAAGCAGAAGAAATTGCCAGCTGTGGAACAGTGAACTTTATCGCTGAAATCACACACACATATATACACACACACAGTGCAAACTCATACATGATCAAATCTATAATCTTATTACACAAAGTTTTGTGAGAGGAAAAATGCTTGACTTTTCAAAAGGGCTCATTTATTAAAAATAAAATGACCATTGTGTTCATTTTAGCTGCAACCTTTAAGCAATCAATGACTATATACTTGCTGTAATCATCCTTTAAAATTAGAATTATTGAAAAGCTTTATCACTGATGAATGAAAGAAAGTAATATTGATTTGTGGCCAAGAGAGATAATCTCAGGCAATAAACAGGTGCAGTCTTTGAAGGAATCATTTTATTTTATTACTTTCTGACATTATTGAAGCCAATTTTAAATAAATTCATCATGTTTTTAAATTTAATCACGTATTATTTTATCATACATTAGGTAAAGTTTCAATCTAAGTAACTCCTGGATAAAAAATGAAGTATATCAATTTACAATTACAAATACCCAAATTGTACAGGCATGCATTTTTCAATGACATTTATAAATTGTGTTTTGTTGTTTGTGCCTTGTGTTTGTTTTATTAATCAAATTAATTTATACAGATATATGTATGGAAATGAGACAGATATAACCAGTTCTCTATAAGTAAGCATTATCTAATGGAGTCTTTCCTTTCACTAATGATCATCAGGACAGCTAGGGAAGTGAGTTGAAATTTTCAGGCCATTAGGTTAATAGTTCTAGTAATTCTAGTAATGTTTCGACAGTCATAATATAAATGATACTATGTGGCTTGAATTAATGCATTTTCTTATGTAACAAATAATAAGACAATTTTTAAAAGTGGTAATTACTATTTTTAAATATGACAATTAAAAATAATGAAAGAAAAGAGGTTGTACATTGAGTAGCCATAACATTATCTTTAAACATATTTATTCTTCATTTCCTAACTTTTCCCACCTTTTGGCTAAATCGTATGTTCTTTCTCTAACCTCACTTCTGTTTTATTACTCTCTGGGAAAGATTTTTATATAAAACGTCTAAGCAATCAAACCTAACACAGGATGAATTTCTACACATTACTATACCCTCTGGTCACTATTTTTTTCTTCTCTTTATTGCCCATTTCCCTGATCTTGAAACATTCCAATTATTTGCCTTCCATGACATTCTACTCTTACTTTTACTTTTCTGTCTCTGATTACTCATTTCCAGTTCCTTTTGTCATCTCCTTGTCTTCCTACACCTGCCAATTAAATTTGAATTTCCTCTGCATTTCATCTTATGTCTCCTTTTCTTCTGCCAAATTCTCTCCTTAGACAAATACAGTCATTCCCATGGTTTTATATCCCACTTATATTCAAGGGCTCTAGAATGTATAGCGCCAGGCCAAATCTATCTTAAGAACTTACTTTACTTAACCAATTACAACTGCATCTGCTCAGGATCATGTAACCCACATCAGCATTTGGCTCTTCTGTAGACCCATTTTTTCTTTTCCTGGAAGTCTATTTTGACACCTACTTTCTGTCACTACCCACGTTTTAGCATTTAGCCTTGTCAATTTACTCTCATCCATATGTAACTCTATCCATTTTCTTCTCTCTATTATGAACAGCAGTTTGAGCCATCATGACCAATTTTGCAGTATCCCTTCTTAAATTAGCCTCCTGTTTCGCATTGGACATTTTCACCCCCCAGCAATTCCACCGATTTCATTCTCGGAAAAATATAAATGAAGAGTTACATTTTTCAATAGCCATAATCATTAAATTTCCATGTGTAAGAAAATGTTCAGAACAGTATCAGTGCATTTATAATAAAATTTTAAAACTTGACCCACAAATCTCTACTTGTCCTTCTAGTTTTATTTCATTTGTCTCTCGTCAATCTCTACATTCTCATCACCACAATCTTTTAATTCATCTGAAAGCTAAGCTCTCTCTTAATTTACATTCTCTATACTTGCAATTTTGTCTACCTAGAAGTGTCTTCTTCCATCTTTGGATTGTTATTGCAAATCCATTGAATAGTTCTCATCTGAATTGTTTCTTCCTTGGGATGACTTATAAACACTTCATCCTACAGCCAAATCAGAAGACCAATATCAAAATCTTTCATCACATCCTAAATTTGCTTATATGTAATTATATGGCAAGAATCTCTTTGTCTTTATAATCATGATTCACTTATCTATGTTTTTTAAAAACTCTTCTAGGTGGTGATGCTAAGCTCCGTAATGTTGGGCTTGTTACCTGTCTCAACTATCTTCCACACCTACCACAGTACCTGCTACATAGATGTATTCAATATATATTTTTAGAATTAGTAAATGATGAGCAAGCGTGTACTTTTGTTCTCTTTCATTACAGTGTTAGAAATGCTATTACAGCATTAGAAAAGATAATCAGAAAGAAAATTTAATAGATCATCAGAAAAAAATCCCAAGACTTTTAGGCAAATGAGCCTACAAACACAGGTGGAATGGACTTGCAATTTACCAAGAAATAGGTTTGTCATACTTAGAAACCAACTGTATAAACATGTTTTTATCTATTAATAACTCCATTTTCCAAAACGCTCTACTTTATATGAGACAATTCTTGATGGAAATACCATTTGCTTCTAGGCTCGTTGCTTAAACATAAAGTTAAAAATCTTTGTATGACACATAAAATTGTGGTGACTGCTTAACTTTGCAACTATAGCGCTCCTGAAATGCTCATTTAACCAGTCTGTGTTCCAGACCTACAGAACTTAGATGGTGCTAACATTGCGCAAAAATTGTGTATTTCTTCTACAACTAACTTCTGATAAAAAGGGGGCAGAGAAGGTTAACTCTCTCCCCCTTTAGCTTTATTTGCTTAGTGAATTTCTACAAAACATAATTTAAGTGCTATATTTTTCCAAGGTTTTAATAAGGAAATAAAAACCGCAATAGGTATCTTAAGCAGAAAGTGCATTTCATACATATACAATAGGAAGGGCTAAAATAACTAAAGTAGCTGTGGCATGGAGGAAGGTTTTGAGTTCTTGAATTCAAAGGCACGCAATCATTTCTGCAATCCTGGGTCAAAAAGATGCTCCTGCTATTAAAACTTTAAGCCTCTTATGCCCATGAAACTGGGGATTAGGCACAAGGATATTGAATCCTACCACTTCCACTACTTCTGAACTATTGTCCCCATGATTTCACTTGCCAGAATCAACAATAGCAAGACAGGCTTTGATCTCTTCCATTTTTCTAAGTCTGATTCATATGCAAACAATCGGTAAGTGGTCTAAGCTGCATTCATAAAGCTAGCTCAAGGGAAGCTGCATTGCTTGTTTTGTTTTAATTTTCTAACCTCTTCAAAGAGTGGAACGAAAGTTGAGGAAACCTGTCCAACAGTCTACCACACACCTTCCATGAAAGGTTCCCCAACACCTCCAACAAAATAATGTAAACACATGCTGGAACCTATATTACTCTCGCACCATAACACTTCCCACACTTCCCACAATACTTTTTCTCTTCATGGGAATATCCTTCCAAAACATGCTGATATCTCCTAAGCATTATTCATCTGTCGAATTTTCCCACCTATTGTAAGGTCTTCCAATTGTTAGGTTCTTAATAAATATATTTTAAATTATTAAAATTCTGAACTAATGGGTAATCAACTGTACAACCCGAATTGCTGATTTGCATACAGCTGAAGTCCCTCCTCAAAACTTCTGTAATACATGAAACTTAGGCAAATGGTTGGGTCATTACCATATATTACTTTATATTTTTATTTATCAGTATATGTGATTACAGTTATGCTTATGTTAATTGATATGTATATGTTAACTTTTATACATATGTACATTGTATTATTTTGTTACATAGCACAGCATTTTGTACTCAAAAAGTGACCAATAATAATAAGCTACATACTTTGGGAAGCATTGCAGGCTAGTCGTACAGTTTTGTTTTGTTTTTTTCCCTGCAGCCTGACAACCTTTTCAGTCATTCACTAAACCTCTCTCAGCTTCAGTTTCTTCATCTGCAACATATAGCAAATAATAAAACTTAACTCAGATGGTTCTAGTGTGAAATAATACAGAGTAAATGTGCCACCAAATACAAACCAATGGCTTGATTGACATAACTCACTGCTAATTTTCTTGAAATGATTCAAAGTATTTTCCAGACAAGCACACACTGAGGGAATTCGTCACCACCAAACGAGTCCTATGAGAAATACTCAAAGGTGTCCCAAACACAAAAATGAAAGGTCAACATTCATCATCATCATCAAAACACATGAAAGTAGCAAACTCATAGGTCTTGTAAAACAGTCACACAAAGTAGGACGAGCAATCAAATAGCAACACAACAGATTTCCACCAAACCACAAAGACAAAGAGACACACAGAAAGAAAAACAAAAAACAACAACAAAATAACCCCAAGGAACTTATAAAACAAGTAGAAAACAAACAGCAATATGGCAGAAAGAAAACCTCATGTATTAACATTAACCTTGAATGTAAATGAATTAAACATTCCACTTAAAATATATAGATTGATAGATATTGGGCCAGGTGCAGTTGCTCACACCTGTAATCCCAGCACTTTGGGAGGCCGAGGTGGGTGGATCACGAGGTCAGGAGTTCGAGGCCAGGCTGGCCAACATAGTGAAACCCTATCTCCATTAAAAATACAAAAATTAGCCAGGCGTGGTGGCCGGCACCTGTAATCCCATCTACTTGGGAGGCTGAAGCAGGAGAATCGCTTGAACCTGCAAGACGGAGTTTGCAGTGAGCCAAGATTGCGCCACTGCACTCCACTCTGGATGACAGAGTGAAACTCCATCTAAAAGTAAAAAAAAAAAAAAAAAGAAAGGTAGATTGATGGAACGAACTAAAAAATGATCCAAAAATATTATGCTTACAAGAAACATATAGACACATACAGACTGAAAAGTAAAGACACATACAGATTTAAAGTAAATGGGTGAAAAAAGATACTCCATGTAACGGAGACTAAAAGCAAGCAGGAATAGCTATACTTATATCAAGTAAAACAGAACTTAAATCTAAAACAGTATAACAATGACAAAGGAAGTCATTACATAATGATAAAGGGATCAATTCAGCAAGAGGATATAACAATTCTAAACACATATGCATCCAACACTAGACCACCAAGATTCATCAAATAAATATTACTAGACATAAAAAAGGAATAGACAGCAATACGATAATACTGGGGGACTTTACCATCTCACTCACAGCATTAAATGTTATCATCAAGACAGAAAACAAATAAACCTAAGACTTAAATTCAACCTTAGATGAAATAGACCTAACTGACATTTACAGAAAATACTACCCAGCAACTACAGAATATACATTCTTAATAAAACCGCAATTTCACCCAACAATCCCACTACTGGAGATCTACCCAAAGGAGAACAGATAATTGTATGAAAAAGGTATCTGCACCCATATGTTTATCACAGCACTATTCACAATAGCAATGTGTCCCTCAGTGGATGATTACATTAATAAATCTGGCATATATGCGCTATAGAATACTATTCAGCTATACAAAAGAATAAAATCATGTCTTTTGTAACAACATGGATGTAACTGGTCATTATTTTAAGTGAAACAAATCAGACACAGAAAGACAAATACTGCATGTTCTCACTTATAACTGGAAGCTAAATAATGTATACACATGGACATAGAATGTGGAATGATAGACAACAGAGACTTGGAAATTTCAGGAGGGTGGGAGGAGGGGATGATGAGAAATTATGTAATGAGTACAATGTACATTTTTCAGGTGATGTATATTCTAAAACCCTTACTTCAACACTACGTACTTTATGGAGGTAATAAGATTATATTTGTATCCCACAAATTTACGTAAATAAAAAATTGCCTTCTGTACTTACTTTAGCCCAGTTATTGTTAGGTTCAACATTCAGCACTTTACTTAAATTTTCTATAGCTTTCTGGACCTTTTTTTGATATTTATATATAGTAGTGTGGCACAGAAGTGCTAATATTTACCAAAATAAAAGTTATATTTTTAATTAAAAATTAATTAAAAGGTTGTAGAATCTCAGGATGGAATGCAGACTGTTACAAATTTATCTAGCTCTATTATGAACCATACAAAATAACTTCAGTGAGGGACTTAAGGGAAAGGGTGCTAGTCAAAGTGATATTGAAAATGAGTGCAGTCTCTTAAGATGAAAGGCAAAAGAAACTTGTACGAAGGCATTTAATTTAGTTGATAAAGATGTTCTTCTACTAAGGGCAGGTTATCAATTCTGGTACAGCTATATACATATACTGGAAGTGAACAATTAACTAAATAGATGTCACAAAATAAGAGTCAGGATTTTTATTGTTGGAGTGGGGGTTTAGAGATACAGGAAGGCATTGATGCTTGCGGGACTAGGTTAGAGGTAGTGACATCAGTAAGAACCCATGTTTAGCTTAATATAGACATAGATGGTGATATGGTTTACATTTTGTCCCCTCTCAAACCTCTCGTCCAATTGTAATCGCCAGTGTTGAAGGAGGGGTCTAGTGGGAGGGGATTGGATTATGGGGGCAGATTTCCTCCTTGCTGTTCTTGTGATAATGACTTAGTTCTCACACAATCTGGTTGTTTAAAAGTGTGTAGCATCTCCCCCTTAGTTCTCTTCCTC
Source organism: Homo sapiens (assembly GCF_000001405.40). Taxonomy (NCBI): domain Eukaryota; kingdom Metazoa; phylum Chordata; class Mammalia; order Primates; family Hominidae; genus Homo; species Homo sapiens. The sequence continues at coordinate 776,911 of NT_187651.1, forward strand.
CTTCTCCAGCCATGTAAGATGTGCCTGCTTCCTCTTTGCCTTCTGCTATGACTGTACGTTTTCTGAGGCTTCCCCATCCTTGCTTCCTGTACAGCCTGTGCAACTGTGAGGCAATTAAAGCTCTTTTCTTTATAAATTACCTAGGATCAGGTAGTTCTTTATAACAATGGGATAATGGACTAATATAGATGTTTACATATAGAAATATTTAAAGATATGTGTCTACATATGTGTAAGAATATACACATTGTTTCTTTGCTCTCTCATCTTAGAGAGCTATGAAAAAATTGATATTCCCTTAGCTACAGGCACAGCTAGCACTTAAATATTGATTTCATATATAGAAAGCAGGGCGTCTTTGAAAGTGGCTGATTCTAAGAATGGGGAAGAAAATACACAAGATGAGCCTGGGACATCCTCTAGTGCCAGAAATTATGAAAATACTAACAAAAATCTATTTGTGAGATATGTCAAACAAGCACAGGGGCCAAGTGAAAGGTCTTTCAATTTCTAGAATAATTTTAGCAACACAATACATTAATTGGTATTATATTTGGATTATACCCAAAAATGTAATTTTCCTTAGTCCATATTGATATCAATAAATGACTGAATAAACAAATGAATGAGATAAAAGAGGTAAATCTCCTCTGCAAATAATTTACATATGTATTCCAACTAAAGGAAGTCAGCTCTTAAAGACATCTTAAGCAATACTGCAACTGAATTAGCTTTCCAAAGATACTGTCACAATTCATCTATTCCAAGACCTATACATTTCATATTTTAATATCTCCTGAAAATATAATGCATTTTACAATTCAGTGGTATGTCTTAGTTTAATTAGCCACAATGCGAATTACTTGCTTAACGGGACATAAAATAGTGCATTATACAATCTATGGGCTCTTGGACTCAAGAAAATACGATAGAAAGGAGTTTATGTTAGAGTCTGCGCACTGACTAAAGATCAGAGCAGAAAGCAGATTCTAGGAACAGTCACATTTGTGGCAGTCACTGGTCTCGGCATGCAACAAAATTCAAAGTAAATAGTGGTAAGGTGGGAAATGGACAAAGCTATGTAGCTAGAATCAGAAGTCCTTGAAATCAAAACATCAAGATTCAAACTATTTAGGGGCAGTGGGGCTGACGTGGTGACCGTGGGCCTGATCAGATAAAACCTTTACAAAGAAACAGTAGCTCTCAGACTCACCTCCTGAGACAGAGTTGTTCTGAGGGGAAAATGGGTAAGTTTCCACAGTAACATACAGTACTTAAACATACAGTAAGATACAGTACTTAAAGCCCTGACCTGTCCAGTTCCCAACACATCTTTCTTGATGGGCACCTAAATGTCACCTTTTGGTTTTATTTTTGTGTTTTTCTCATCTAAGCTCGGAGAGCAAAGCCTGACAGGGTGAGCCCCCAAAGTGTGTTCATGTCTTAAGAGTGTCCAGAAGCCACCTAGGGAGTGTGCAAGTTTTTCATTTTCATGCCAGGGACAATGTCTCTCTTTATTGAGCTAATGGCAAGGTATGGGCCTCAGAATATGTACAGTTTGAACATATTTGCATCTTCCCTTTAATTAACTGTGAAATCTGTGAGGCTAATGAGAAGAAAATTGATGGGTAGTCGGTGGAAGAATTTTTTTTTCATTGTCATATCTTCAACTTTCCTGGGGTATAATAAGAGATGCACAGTCAATTCAGTATACTTGAAATGTGTGATGTGGTCAAATTTGAGATAGATATATATATATATGTATATACTTTTGGAAATATCACTACATTCACAACCATCATTATGAAAAGTTTTCTTGTGCACCTCAGTAATCAGTCTCTCCCTCCATGCTGTCTCCAGGCAGCCATTTGATTTTCCATCAGGTAACATGAGTGAGAAGAAAATGTCTGTTGCAAGCTATTGAAATTTTGTGGTTGTTCACTTTTTAGAAACTCTTTGGAATTTTCTTTCTCATATCTTTATTAACATATAAAGTGTCTGTCTGGCATACTTTCAGATAATGTAAATAATATACTCAGCAATTGTTTTGTGCTGGGCTTCCATTTAATCTTTCAAGATCATATGGATTTTTATAGCTTTATATGTTGTGTTTGGCATCTTAAGCTCACTATCTACCTACTGACTCTTAAATCCCAAACTCTAAAGAGGTTCTGAAGATTCCAAAGATGCTATTCACATCCGGTAAGTTTAGGGCAGGAAAACTGGTAAACCTCCTATAACATGAGGCTAGAGCCCACAACAAAATTATCAGGTCCAAAAATGTCAATAGTATTGAAGGTGAGACAATTTCTAGGGAGATATTACACCTTGATATTCTCATTTAATATGCTGGTAATGTAATCCAGCATTTTTCCAAAAATGAGAATAGCCTGGTGGCCTTAAATGTCATTGTTTTACTCTTACTTACATTGGACTAAAGAATGAGTTCAAATGCAGCTGAATAATTTGGATATTTAAAGCAATAACATTTTTCACTAACGCGCATAGGCTTAATGCCTGGGTGACAAAATAATCTGTATACCTATTTACCTATAGGTTTACCTATATAACAAACCTGCACATATACCCCTGAACTGAAAATAAAAGTTAATAAATAAAGTAATTACATTTGTTTAGAAATAAAATAAATTTAGAAATGGAAAATATTGTTGAAAATATTCTAAGAATTTTAAATTTATACATTAAAATAAAAATAATCTGAATATTATTACCAACAGAAAATCTTTGTCTTGATCTCAAATTCCAAGTAGAATACCTTTAGACTATCTCTAGCAATAGCTAACAGAATAAGATTTACAAATCTTGATAGATCATTTTTCATGCCTGTGTCATTTTAAAATGAATTGATGGCTGTTAAAACTTAATTTAATTTGAGTCTCTTCCGGATCATATACATAGTTTTACAGACAGCCATGTTCAATGAAATTATAATATGTAACACAAGAAATATGCCAGATGTAAAGTAAGAATCTCTTTTAAACGCTCTGATATTCAAAAATCTTTATCAGATTTCCTAAACTAACGATTTTAAACAAAACCTTTTAGTTAAGAAAGCATTGGTCTCAATAGTAAATCTGCCAATATGAATTGCTGCATTTTATTTTTGAACTTTCTAAAGGCCATCTGCCAGAGTAATTAGATATAAAATCCTGCATGCAATCTAATATTAGATGAAAAGTTTAAACTACCAATGATACAATATTGATGCACAGAGGAATGAATTGATTTTTTATGTTATTCTCAAATTGAAAGTCAATCTTTTTATAAAATAAATTTATAAATAAATCCAAATATGATATTTTAGCTCACTTTTGACAGTAGGTTTTCAGTTTCTGATGTTAACAATGGCATAATTATGATTTGCTGAATGACTTTAAAGTGATCGGATAAGGAAACAATTAGGGTTTGCAGTAGCTGGAGAAAGAAAAAAAAGAAATATTTAGATATTGCATACTCAATATGGCACATACTACGTCACAGGCTTTAATATCAGTTGACTACTCTCTTTAGAAGGAGTACGGTTTGACCTAGACCAGTTTATTTATTCATTTTTGTAATAATTTTTCCTCATTCTCTTTGACACATTGGTTAACCTAAAATTACTGTGTTGCTTAGGACATTGACTAAAAATCGTAGTCTTTCAGTTTGTGGCTGCTCACAGGATTTTTTTTTTTTTTTTGCTTTGGCTTACTAAATAATCTTTTATTGGAGTTAAAACAACAAAGCTAGTAAAGATATATAAATCAATGCCAAAAAAAAGGAGACAGGCCTACTTATATGCCATTATCTTCTGTTATTGCCGTTGGATAGAAGACAGACATTATCATTTTTAATCAATTGTATACTTCATAAATATGATACAACAGATATTTTTACTTCCAAGATTATACATAGAGTTTTTATGATTCCTTTGTGAGTGTGAACTATATAGCTGTCCCTAAAACATAATTGAGAACAGAAAGGTTTTATTTTTAATTATATAATTTTCTTGCCCAAGTTATATGGATTCATAGGTTACAGAATGTATAACAATATACATTTTTTGCATTTTTAAATTTACTGTATAATTTATTTCTGAAACCAAATTTGATATACAACTATGTAAACCATTAAATATGATCTGGATTAAAATAATCTTAACAGACAAATCCAAAAACACTGCATTTTATTATTTCTATTTCTAATGTTACCTCCAGGTTTAGACTCCCCTAAGTAATTGACTCTACCTATTATGTTTGTGTTTTGAAACATCACTCTATATTGTAACAAAAAGAAAAATGACACAATTAGTTTCCTATATGTACACAAAAATTTTCAGTTTTAAATAAGGAAATATAGTTTTGAAATTTAAAAAAGTAAATGTTATAATATTTTCTCAAATAATTTACTACTCATATTCCCATTGCTTAGTTTCATTAATTTTTACACTCACATTTTACATATCCAAGATATATTTCCAGCTTTATTTTCAGAATGAACTGCTAGGATCTTAGATGAGTTTATTATTTTGCACGAGGTGCCACTGCTTGACACCTGACTGTGTGTATACCCCCCCCTTTTTTTTTTATATACTTTTAAGTTTTAGGGTACATGTGCACAATGTGCAGGTTAGTTACATATGTATACATGTGCCATGCTGGTGTGCTGCACCCACTAACTCGTCATCTAGCATTAGGTATATCTCCGAGTGCTATCCCTCCCCCCTCCCCCCACCCCATAACAGTCCCCAGAGTGTGATGTTCCCCTTCCTGTGTCCATGTGTTCTCATTGTTCAATTCCCACCTATGAGTGAGAACATCCGGTGTTTGGTTTTTTGTCCTTGCGATAGTTTACTGAGAATGATGATTTCCAATTTCATCCATGTCCCTATAAAGGACATGAACTCATCATTTTTTATGGCTGCATAGTATTGCATGGTGTATATGTGCCACATTTTCTTAATCCAGTCTATCACTGTTGGACATTTGGATTGGTTCCAAGTCTTTGCTGCCCAAGGTAATTTATAGATCCAATGCCATCCCCATCAAGCTACCAATGACTTTCTTCACAGAATTGGAAATAACTACTTTAAAGTTCGTATGGAACCAAAAAAGAGCCCGCATTGCCAAGTCAATCCTAAGCCAAAAGAACAAAGCTGGAGGCATCACGCTACCTGACTTCAAACTATACTACAAGGCTACAGTAACCAAAACAGCACGGTACTGGTACCAAAACAGAGATATAGATCAATGGAACAGAACAGAGCCCTCAGAAATAACGCCGCATATCTACAACTATCTCATCTTTGACAAACCTGAGAAAAATAAGCAATGGGGAAAGGATTCCCTATTTAATAAATGGTGCTGGGAAAACTGGCTAGCCATATGGAGAAAGCTGAAACTGGATCCCTTCCTTACACCTTATACAAAAATTAATTCAAGATGGATTAAAGACTTAAACGTTAGACCTAAAACCATAAAAACCCTAGAAGAAAACCTACGCATTACCATTCAGGACACAGGCGTGGGCAAGGACTTCATGTCTAAAACACCAAAAGCAATGGCAACAAAAGCCAAAATTGACAAATGGGATCTAATTAAACTAAAGAGCTTCTGCACAGCAAAAGAAACTACCATCACAGTGAACAGGCAACCTACAGAATGGGAGAAAATTTTCGCAACCTACTCATCTGACAAAGGGCTAATATCCAGAATCTACAATGAACTCAAACAAATTTACAAGAAAAAAACAAACAACCCCATCAAAAAGTGGGCGAAGGACATGAACAGACACTTCGCAAAAGAAGACATTTATGCAGCCAAAAAACACATGAAAAAATGCTCACCATCACTGGCCATCAGAGAAATGCAAATCAAAACCACGATGAGATACCATCTCACACCAGTTAGAATGGCAATCATTAAAAAGCCAGGAAACAACAGGTGCTGGAGAGGATGTGGAGAAATAGGAACACTTTTATACTGTTGGTGGGACGGTAAACTAGTTCAACCATTGTCGAAGTCAGTGTGGCGATTCCTCAGGGATCTAGAACTAGAAATACCATTTGACCCAGCCATCCCATTACTGGGTATATACCCAAAGGATTATAAATCATGCTGCTATAAAGACACATGCACACGTATGTTTATTGCGGCACTATTCACAATACCCCATTCTTTAGACTTTTAAAATCAATACCCACTCTTCCCCACGAACAAGAGAAAGTAAAAACAACTAACAGTGGATTTCTGTATCACGATGACTCATTTTCAATAGAACACTACCATAGGTCAAATGGATGAATGCATAAATAATGAATGGATTAATATCTTTTACATAATCATGTGCCACATAACAACGTTTACATCAATAAGAGACAGCATGTAAAACAATGGCTCATTAAGATTATAATAGGGTTGAAAAATTGCTATCACCATTATAGATTGATCACTCTATGAAGTTTGCACAGTAAGATAATCACCTAGCCACACACTTCTCAGAACATATCCTCATTGCTAAGTGACACAAGGCTGTATTTCATTTAATGATTGCGTAAATAGTTGTTGAGAAAAATCTGCACTCTAAGTACCAGGATAAAAGAGATTAATAATAAATTAATGATTAAATGCACCATGATCAATCTTATCATTGAGGTCTATATGCTACATTTGGATTACATCGTAAAGGCAGAGGTTAATCATCGCAACTTACACAACAGGATACAGAGTGGATCAGCAGATAATTACATAATAGAATACAGTTTGAAACCTGCAAGATGCATTAGAATTAATTAGAATCAAACCATATGTGTGACTTTGGTTTAAATGTGCAAAACCTATTAATATAGATATAGCCAGGACATTTCTATTGTGTGTGTGTATATATATATATATATATATATATAGTGTGTGTATATATATATACACACACACACATATACATGTATATATACATACATACATATATATATTTTATATATATATATATATATATATATATATATATATATATATATATATTTTGTGTGTGTGTGTGTGTGTGTGTGTGATGGAGTTTCGCTCTTGCTGCCCAGGCTGGAGTGCAATGGCATGGTTTCAGCTCACTGCAACCTCCGCTTCCAAGGTTCAAGCAATTCTCCTGCCTCAGCCTCCCAAGTGGCTGGAATTACAGGGGCCAACCACCACACCAGGCATATCTTTGTATTTTTAGTAGAAACTGCTTTCACCATGTTGGCCAGGCTGGTCTCGAACTCCTGACCTCAAGTGATCTACCCCCTCGGCCTCCCAAAGTGCTGGGATTACAGGTGTGAGTCACTGTACCCAGTTTGTCTTTATAAATCTTATAGAAATATTTAACTTTTAAAATCAACCACACACAATTAAGACTTTGATAAAAGTAATTAAGAAGTAAAGCAATGGAAAAAGCAATTTTTAAAAACATATATGAATGATTGAAAGCCAGGAGTAAAATTAAGAATTGTATTAAAATATCACTATTAAAATTAGCTACATAAATATTTAATTAATGCAGCTAAATTGTTAACAAAATTTACAGAAGAAAAGTATGTTAACATTACTGAATCATCTTAAAATCTTATTAAAATTTAAAGTTCTTCTCAACTGAAATTATATCACAGAAAAAAATAATGTCACCTTAAAAAGTTTAGGATTAGAAATACATAATTATTTTTAAATATAGTCTTTATATATTAATTATATTTCATTAATGTCTTATTTCTTGAATAAACTTTTTTCATGATACTATTTAAGTGCCACATTCTACAATAATATGGAAAACAATTCTACAAAATGTGGCATACAGTAATTGATAGGTAGTATAGCACACCTTTTATCTCTTTATAGCAAAAACATAATGTGTAAATTAATATAACACTAAGTCCCATATTGTCATTTTTTGTCAAAGAGCTATCTCCTTGAAAACCATCATCCTCAGATGCATCTCTAACTTCAAAAAGACCTTAGAAACTGTAACAATTGTAAATGCGTTATAACTTAAAGAGATATTATCTTCACATTAGAGGCTAACAGGCTTATACCTACTGATAGCTGACAAGTATTATAGGAATCCTGGCAGGCAAATTGTTGCATAAAAATTATGTAATTTACTAACTGTAAAATAACCTTTAGAGTTTAGAATCAGTCAGATAAGTAGAACAGACAATTGTTATCAAAGCCATATAAATGGCTATTAAAATTATTTTTTGCTACCCTCATTTTATCTCTGAAGAGACATCTTGTTAAAAAATGAATAACAGACACATATAAATACCTAATTACAAGCAGAGTTAAGATTAAAATTCAGCCTCATTAGGGGTGGGATAGAAATCAGTACACTAAAGAATATTTTGGTGCAGGTAGTTTGTTTCAAATGATTCAACCTTCAACATTACTTCACTTAAATTTTAGCAAACTTTCTGCTATAATTTAAGCATACAGACCTATGACACTAGACATATGTCCTGTGTAAGCCTGGGCTAGGGGAGCTCTATTTAATACTTACATAAACCCCAAAGATGTCCTAAGAAATAAAATTTGGAAAAACTTTGATGTGCTACAGCACGGATTTTCTCCTACAGCAACAGAGCAGACACTTGAATGTAGTTATACTCCTGCTTTCCACCTCCCTGTCAAAACAATAAAAAAGGCCACAGGCCTGTGGTTCTGGCCTCCAGGGAACTGGTGGCTTCTTTAACCCACACTGCTGCTGCTGAATCCCATTTAGGTTTAGGGTTTATTTTGTATATGCCTTTGTACAGGCTAAATGCTGGTCTAGTTGAAAATCAACCTAAAACAACCTTAATAGCATCTCATTTTATTGTGACTTTACTTTTTGTGTTGTTTGGTGTTTTACTTTTGGAGACAGAGTCTTAATCTGTCACCAAGGCTGGAGTGCAGTGGCATGATTATGGCTCAACCTCCAGGCTCAAGTGACCCTCCCACTTCAGCCACCTGAGTAGCTGATACCACAGGAACATGCCACCACATAAGGCTAACTTAAAGAACATTTTTTTAGATGGGATCTCACTATGTTGCCCAGGCTGATCTTGAGCTCTTTGCCCCAAGCAATCCTCCCACCTTGGCCTCCCAAAGTGCAGGGATTATAGGTGTGAGCCACTATGCCAGGCCTCTCTCATGACTTTAAACTTGAACATGCTTTTGTGCTGTGGCCGAGTTTAGGATCCCAACCAGCCTGTGATTACTGTGGTCACCACACAGATTCCCTCTTGTTCCATCTTTTATATTCCATCTTCTCACTCTCATAACTGTGTGGATAGGAAAACAATTATCCATACAGGTATGATATTGGCAGAGAAAATCACAAAATGTTTTAATGAGCAAACACTTTGGGGATGGTAATAATCTTTCTACCACCTTCATTGTCTTGTTTAAGTATCTCTACATTCTTCTTTAAAAATTAGGAATATATCTTTCTTGCTCTTTCGTTGTTGTTGAACACCAGAAGGGGATATTCCTTAATTCTCTCTCCATAGCTAAGGACAGTACAGCACAATATTCCATTCAGCAGGTGAAGTCAGTATGAATGAATGCATTTCAATCAGCAAATTGCTGGTTGTGTTGCAACTCCTAGTTATGATGTTTTGTGTACTTTGAAGGGCTCCCATTAATTAAGGTATTTCTTATAAGCATTCAGAAAGTTTCTTTTCTTGGCATGCGACTTGAAAATTTGTCCTGATATTTTCCCTGTGACAATGTTTTGTGAATTGTAACTCAGCCACTTAAGTGGCTCCTCATAATAAAGCCACATGGTATCCATGTACACATATTTAACAAATCAAAGAAGTGGTTCTCAACCTAATCTCTAGAGGAGGTCCTTCTTGTTCACTTTCAATAACTATGTTGAAGAATAGATTCTAAAAAGCTATCACCAAATTTTCGAATATGTTTTGAAATTTGTGTCCACAAAATCTATAAATCAATAAATGTATAGAATAGAGCATAATAATCCAATTAACAAATTTAAGATGTCATCTAAGCAGGAATGAATGCAATAAATAGGCCTTCTTACTTCAAAATCAACTGCAGAGGCAATGCATTGCCACTAGACTTGTGTGCTGTGTTGGTAATAAATTAACAAAAACTTTGGGGATAAGAAAAATCTGCAAATAAAATGGTGTGTCATTTGTGAAATATAATCACAAAAATGTTCAGATTGTTATAATTAACAGAAAAACTATTGTTTTTATTATATCCAGTGTTTAACAGACACTATTCATGTATACATACAACATTCTTATAATAACTCTTGTGTCCATGTAAATAGCAGTCTTGCCAAAAAGAATTGATTATCATGTAGTAGTTTGTAAGTATTTTCATGCATAGGCTGCAACCCTTTAGAGTGCTATTCTAATAAATTATTAATATTAACTTGATGAACACAATTCTAAGACATTTCATTTGAGGATATGTTTATTAACTATTAGGTTGGTACAAAAGGCATTGCGTTTTTTGCCATTACTTTCAATAAAAAATAGAACCAGCATTTAGAAATCTACTTTCAGAAACTTAATAAAATGAGAATTTGTCCTCTTTTACATATAGGAAGCCTGCATAATAAGCATTCTGTTGCTAGTACATAAGCTTCCCATTTTCATCAGGAAACTATACACTTACATTTCACTTTTACTAACTTCAATGCATGACTTCTATCTTCAAGGTGATTTCATGCTTCTAGCCACCATGTCTGTACTCCAGGACAGCAGCACAAAGTGTAGAAAAATAAAAAAGACATACCTCCCTAATGAGTCAACTGCACTTAAGGAGCCATCCCAGAAGTTTCACACGGCTTATTTGAATACAGCTATATCCAGATGCAAGGAATGCTGGGAAATGTGGTATTGTGCGCAGCTAAAGTTGGGATTATGTTAGTGAAAATGAGACCACGAACATTGGAAGGTTAAAAGCAATCTCTCATGACATATACAATTACAGAAATTAAATTAAATCTTTAAGCAATGTGATAAACCTATGGAATGTTAACAGGCAAAAATAGCAACATTAAAAATTACAGTGAGGGAATAAGGTATGATTCGTTTGTAGATGGTTTGTGTGTCATTAATCTAGGCAAAAAGTCATAAACTCCTCTAACAGTGACCACATGTATAAAAGAAATAATAATACACACTATGGCTAACAACATTCCATTTTGGCCTATTTACTGTTGTTAAGTCTCTATGGTTAGCATCAGAAATGTACAGTTTTGATAGCCTATGACCTCAACATGTTCAGTTTGATAGTAGAAAGGACAACATAAAGACAAACCAATCAACAAATAAGAATAAAAACTGTTAAAAAAAGGACAATATTATCATAAGAACATAAGGATGTGATAATGTATTTGACATATCGTTTATTTATTGTTTTATAGTTGGATAATACATATAAATTTACTGCTCCTTCAATGTTAGAATCAATAGAATCATAGCAGAAGTAATTAAGCAGATAAAGATCAAAACGTCACCTTTATTACTTACTGTTTGAAAAATAGTCTAAGGCTGGTTTTACAGGGTTGCTCCTATCCATCACCTGATGTGAAGTTTCTTAGGAAGCTTCAGGACTACACCAAAGAAGCAGAACCTGCTCTTTCACTCTGTTGCATTGTGTGGAGTGCAGGCCATCATGACTGCTCTCTACAAGAAAAAGAAAGGAAATAATTAAGAAACGCACAAAAGTTTGTGAATTGAGAATCCCAAAATAGGTATGAAATTGGTTAGCTTTCTAAATTCACCAATCTCATAACTAACACCTGTCCCCATGCAGTGAATGAGTAAAGGATGGACAGACTCCATAATGATTATTCTAGGGAAAGCCTTCTGAGTAGAAAGAGGAGAGTTTTGCAAACAGTTTTGTAGAGTTTACTCTTGTTTATGCACTGATAATAAATAAGAGTTCCTAAAATTCTCTCTAGAACTCTAGGTAAATGAGATATTTCACTGCTCATGCTGTGTGACCTTCATGTCCCATCTGCCTAGACTGTAAATATGCTTTCTGAAGTTTAAAAGAATTAGTATACTATGCTTACATTAAGCAAAAAAGTACCCTTATTGTGCAGGATCAAGTAACACTCTAAAGATTCATGTTTATGAAAAAACACTGATGATTCTATTTTATTATGTGTCTTCTAAAGAGAAAAATACTTGTGCTCTGCAGCATAATTTTACAATGTGCTATTCTAAATACTTTCATTTAAACAAGACCATTATGAAAATGTTTTGCACACAGAAATATATTTTGAATACTTTTTTAAAAAGATCACAAAGTATATGGTCTCTGTACGTGTTCAATTATTTTAATGCTTTCACTATAACAGGAATTCTTAAAGAGGATATGTACTTGCATAATGCTGATAATTCTTTCTCATTTCTGTTTGTGCTTTGGCTGTTGTTACAACCACTGAAAGTAGTAATTACATGAGTGTATTATCCATGATTATCTTTAGATATATGTGCATTTTCTTTAATTAAACTATAAACTCTAAATGAAAAATAAAAAAGAAGTCACCTCTTGTCTCTTTGTACAATATTAAAATTTTTTTCTTGTATCCAGAGTTTCCCAAATGCCTGTTGCAAAATTTTACTTAGGGAGTAGAAAGTGGAGAATCAATATGGTAAAAAAAACTGTGTTACAGGGAAGGAGACACAGGGTAAGCATTTTCCTTATCTTCTCTCCTGTATCTACGTGCTGCACAAGCATAAATGATAGCAGTCACATGAACGAGTACTTTTCAAGAACGTAGAATATGGTGATGGAAAAAAAAAACCGCTTTGAAACATCGAATAATATAAAAGCCAGAACTACTACAACTATTTTTTACATCCATAGAAGGTAAACTATTTTTAGATATAAAATTCCTTCTGACGGTAGTCCTGATCATTTAACCAATATTTTGATAAATCAAAGAAGGGAAAAATGGACATTCAGTCCAAAGATGGGCATGTATTCCCATGCCCAGTCAGGCAAAACTTGTGGATGTTCTTTAAAATAACAATTCATTCAACAAATAATTTTTAAATGGCTACTGAATACCTGGAAAGGTTCTAGACACAGGGGCTATAGTAAGAAACAAGAAGGAACTAATTGACAAGAATGTGCTCACCGACAATGAAACATCTCCTCATGGAGCTTGAGTTCTGTTTGAAAAGACAGAGAACAAAAAAATATTATTGCACAGAGTGTTAGTTATGTGTGAATTAAAAGACTGGTCAGTACTTGAAGGAGAAGGAGTGACAACAAATCTCACTTCCAGTTCTATTTACCTGAACAGATTAATTCTATTTTGTTTCAATGCAACAGTAGTCCTACGGTTAACAAGATGCACTACACAAAGCAAACAACTTATAAAACGCATTTTTTCCTTATATTGCAAATCAATTTTAAGTGGATCTACAAATATACAATAAATAATATAAATTACGGATCGTTTGTTTCTAAGGTAATAAGTACATTTGTTAATTTCACATAAATAATTTCAGAAGGAGAGCAAATGTAAAAATGTGTTTTAGACAGTGGAGATGCCATTTTATTGTAAGACTATTTATACTCAAAGGACAAAGTAATCAGCTTTCTATGTCAATGATCGTCCTTCTCTATTTCACCCAGTTCCAGACAAACCCAAGTCTTCCAAGTCTCTTCATATATCTGATCCAATAAAATCTATAATGAGTTCAGTTAGCATACACACACACACACACACACCACACACACACAAGCACACAAACACACACACATGACTGCATTGAAATACTTGCTCTAGGGAAGGAACATAGTGTATATGCAACTTGTGTACTTTCTAAGTATGGGAAGACTAATCCTTTAACAACTGCATTTACTTTCTTTCACTTCTATCGTTGCTATCTACTCCTCAGAAATCTACTTAAACAACCAATAAATATATATGATGTTGTTATGAGAGTTTTGGAAATAATTCCTAAAAATTTGCATGGTTGCCTCTTTATATTTGGCAGCTTCTATCACCCATGGGAACAACCCCTACAGAATGATCAGAATATAAAGCATGTGAGCCCTGGGTTTCTCAGGCACTGGAAGGACCTGTCAGAATCCTCTCAGGTGGGTCAAAATGGCCAGGCTTTATAACCTCATCTCCATTCGTGTTTGCATGTCCAGTGCTCCAGGATGCCCTAACATTGAGCCAGACAATGGTTACAGCTGAGGCAAACTTTGAAGGAGCTGAGAGCTGAAGGCTGCTTTGTAATATTGCTCCTAGCAGCCAAGGGGGAAAGAAATCTTTTCTTGAAGAGCGATCTGTGTCCATAGCAAAATGTTTTTTTCTTAGCTCTTGTAAAATCGAAATTGTTTGCTTTTGAATTTTTTTAAATGATTCCTTTAAGATTCTTAATACCAAGATATCACAAGGTCAAGGAATTTTATAAAGAAGTATTTCTATTTATGTAATTTCCTAAATTTATCTATACACAAATCAGCACTAAAACATGCCTTTGATACTAACAACTTGATCCGTTTGTGAACCAAATCTGTCATGCAAATACATACGGCTGTTTTTAGATAAATTCTAAAGGTATTACCAAATCATTTAATTTTATTGTGTATCTCAATATTCTGGTTGATGTATAAGTTTAAATAGAACAAACTATTTGACATTGAAATGTTCTTTATCAAAGGAGAAGGAATACAATTTTAAAGCCACAACGAGTGACACATAGTTCTGAATGATTTATTGGCTGTCTGCCATTCTGAAATGGCTGCCAGTCAATGTTACATGTGACATCTTTCAGATAGTGTGAACTCTTTTATGCAAGCACCTTTCACTATAAAATTACAGCTGGAGATCATGAAGAGAAAAGTGTGGTGTTTATCTTAATGGGCTGAAAGACCTATTTCAACAGTTACAGTAATTCAGAAAAATAGTCTGAAGTCTAGTATTTCAATAATGTTATTTTCATAGATTTTAATCTCTAAAGACAATGCTTCACTTTTGTAGAAAATGACTTTTCTAATCATCCTGGATTTCAAAATTCTTTCCATTACTTAATATTTAAATCACTGGCAGAACTTGGCATGAGGACTAGAGAGCTGTCACCAAGCAGCCAGTCATTTTTCTTGGCTTCCCATATGCCATGCCCAGCAATAGAGCATTTCTTAGTAGCTGAGGAATAGCAGCAGTGCTAAACACAGAGATGACATTAACAGGAATGAGAGGGTCCAAGCTGTTTTCCTAGACTAATTCTCATTCAGCCTGAATTCAAAGCATTTTCCTATCATTATCATAGATATTTCGCTTGTGGTATTATCTATCTTTTGGCAATGTTGATTTTTTTCTGATTATCCAAATAAGTAATGTTAATGGAAAAAATCAGATATTAGGGGAAAAAAAACTCTAGAAATAAATGTTAACCCAAGACAATAACAATTCAATTAATTTATATGATACCTTAGGGATTGTGTCAATTATTTTTTAAATGAAATTCAAAAAATTCAACACCTGTGTTTTCTCCTATGATTACAAATTCAACCAGGGCACAATTGTAAATGGTTGTATTTGGTTGAATTTTTAGATTGTTTATAAGTTTTACTCTTGCAGACAATAATAATGGAGTTTCTTTGAAAATAAATTTAGTTGTTCTATAACCAAGGCATAAATATTCAATTCAATAAAATTAGCAAAAATATTAAATGAAAAGTATATTATATATAAAATGCATAAATAAAATATCCTGCACTGATCATTTTATGTCTATGGTTACCCTATTGATTCTGTGCACATTTGCATATGGGTATATATGCAATTTTATACAATGAAGTATTAATAGTGTACATAAATTTAGTAATTATTTTACCCCTTAAAAGTATATGCAATGAGTGTCACTTATATATAAATTCTGTTAACGTGGAAGAAGAATGTTAGTCAAAAAAACTACGAATTTAACAATTTTCTGGTTAATTCAAAGGGCTTTCCAAAAATGTCTTTTAAAATTCAATTTCATTTATTTTCTCATAGCAGAATATGAGAATGAATCTTTTTTGCTGCAAATTGGCTAGCAATAAATTTTTATTTTTATTATTTTAATTCTGTGAATTTCGGGAATGGAGTCTCATTCAGTATAAATATTATAATACTAATGAGATTGACTCCCTCCTTCTTATTAACAGTGTGCATTTTTACCCTCCGTGATTCAGTGCATGGTG